>NC_000010.11:103324913-103627943 GCF_000001405.40 Homo sapiens | reverse complement strand
GGGCAAAGAAGTGTCAGGGAAGAAGGGATGAGGAGGAAGACAGGACCGTGTGAAGAGGACCTTCTCGGAAGGGACCAAAGGCAGTTAGTGGAGTCCCAAGACCTGGGTGCTCAGAGGACTTTGCATGAATGAACAAATAAGATGAATGAGGCTTTATCACGTGGCCATGATCGTCAAGCATCAGCTGAGGATGCAGTGCCCACTTACCGCGACTGAAACGTGAACACACTTAAAGGGCAGCTGTGAGTGGCACCAATGCGAAGGTACCGCTGACCCGCGATGGGGAAAAGGCAACCGTTGACCGTTAGAGACTGTCTGTGAGGCACTTAGCTTGAAAGCTGAGAAGGCAGCCAAGCTCCAGGCAAACCAGTCATCCTAATGGGTTTCAAAGACCATAAATGGTCTCTCTGTATGGCCGGAGCTCCCTTGGCCTTTCCTGCAAGATGAATTTTCACACACTGGACATATCACTATGTCTATTTCATTTTCCATCAGACATTTGTTAGTGTGGCTCACAGTTTATTGGTCCCACTTCTCGGGAAGTGTGCTGGTCGTTTCTGCCTTAGAACAGACGCAGGCTCCTCGAGGCTGGAGCTGGGCCAGGCATTTGCTGGGTCCCCAGGCCATCTGGCTCCATGCTCCGCTTCTTGTGCCTCTCCTTCCATCCTTGTCCTGGCCCCCGAGCCACCCCTGCCACCCTGCAGAATCTCACAGTCCTGTTCTCTCTTGTCCTCCCTGCAGGCTGGTGGTTCGTGAGCACTTCTGAGGAGCAGGGCTGGGTCCCTGCCACCTACCTGGAGGCCCAGAATGGTACTCGGGATGACTCCGACATCAACACCTCTAAGACTGGAGAAGGTGAGGGCTTGCAGGTCCAAGGGGCAGGGAGCAACGCGGCCTCTGGAGGCAGCTCTCTCACTCTTTCCCTAGAACCAACAGAACCCCTAAAGTGAGCTGAGCCATATCCTAGCCTCCTCCCTTGGGATCCCATCTCAGTAAGGTTGGCCCAAAAGCTCACCTCCCACCCCAGTCCGACCCCTGCTGCTCTGTCTCAGGGGCTCAGGAACTGAGGGATGGCTCAGACCCCTACACAGTCAGCCTCTCTGATTAGCTTTGGCTTCATGAGGTTTGTTTTTCCACCCACCCCCCTTTTTCTTATTTTTTTTTATTTTTGTATTTTTTTCTAGAGACAGGCTTTCACCATGTTGGCCAGGCTGGTCTCAAACTCCTGGGCTCAAGCGATCCACATGCCTTGGCCTCCCAAAGTGCTGGAATTACAGGTGTGGGCCACCGCACCCAGCCCTTCCTTTTTTTTTTTTTCTTTTTCTTTTTTTTTTTTTAATTCCAAACACTTAAAAACTACTCAGTGAGGTTTTTCAGGGTCTTTCTCCTTGCATTTCAAAGAGTCTGCCCCTGCCCTCTAAGCCAGCACTGGCCTGGGCCTATCTGTGGCTTCTGTACTCCCTAGAGCAGGCTGCCTGAGCCCAGTCCGTTTGCGCCACCCCCAGTTCTTGGCTGCCTGCTCCTAATGGCTTCCAAGCCTCCCATGGCCTGGCTGCGGGAATTCTTTCCCTAACGGTTGGTGGGGATGGTCCAGATGGATGTCTGAAAGCCAGAGGGATTGAGGCCACCACCCGGTGCTCGGGCCACCTCCAGGCCTGCTTTCTGCTGCCAGGCCAAAGTAAGCAGCCGCCAAGTGCCAGCTCCTTATTCATTCTTCCCCTAAATGTCGGTTACTCGGCGGGCAGCTGGGGCTTCGCCCTTCCTCCTATGTCGAGGCTTTACTTCAGCCCCTTGACCAGAGCCTCGGCCCCTGCCATGTGCTTCCACTGTGTGACAGGTTTCCAGGGACAAGGCCCCATTGGGAAGGGCCCGCATGTTCAGGCTGGGCTGCTCCCTGAGCCCTGGGGCTGAGCCTGCACCTGTCTTCCCTCTGGTTCCATTGCACCTCTGCAGCAGGGGAGAGTCTTGGCCCCTGAGCTAGGTCTGGTCTCATATGCCTGCAGTCCCCAGCCTCACCTCCTACCTAGTTCCACATTCTTTTTGTTGTTGTTGTTGAAACAGAGTCTTGCTCTGTCTCCTAGGCTGAAGTGCAGTGGCACAATGTCAGCTCACTGCAACCTCTGCCACCTGGGCTCAAGCAATTCTCATGTCTCAGCCTCCTGAGTAGCTGGGATTACAGGCACCTACCACTACGCCTGGCTAATTTTTGTTTTTAGTAGAGACGGGGTCTCGCCATGTTGGTCAGGCTGGTCTTGAACTCCTGGCCCCAAGCAATCTGCCACCTCAGCCTCCCAAAGTGCTGGGATTACAGGCATGAGCCACAGTGCCCAGCCCCTAGTTCCACATTCTATAGGGCATGCCAGGGCCTCTCAAAAACAGCAGGAGCTCACAAAGTACCAGATGCTAGACCAGGTCCTGAAATGCCCTTGCCCCCACCCTGGGAGGACCCTGTGGCTATGGCCATCCCCATCCTTCCAGCTGTGGCAACTGAGGCTTCAAGATGTTTATCAGGTTTGGACCCTAGTCCACCTCCTTTGTCCCTTGGTCCTTTCTGCTGTGCCACACACCTCTCTGTGAAGCATTTTGCTCGTAAGCAGTACAGGCAGCTCTAGGGCAGTGCGTGTATGAATCAGAGCCCCAGTTGAAAAGGCTGCACCAGGAAGGTCAGAGCGGAGCTGTTGGGTCGATTATGGAGGACCTAGGCACTGAGTGGGGAGAAGGCCAGGGCAGGAAAGCGCACGAGAGGTGTGGAGCACAGATGCCAGCCTGGTTGGAACAGAAGGCAGGTGCTTTGCGCACAGAACAAGTAGTAGTGGGTTGGGCAGGATTTTGACCTTGATGGAGGAAGAATCAGGCAGCCAGTGCAGATTCTGCGTTCAGAGGCGGTGTGGGTGTATGTGTGTGGGGGGTGGGTGTGGGTGTGTGTGCGCGTGCATGCGTGCCCAGGGCGATTCTCCTAAAATAGGTTCCTGCGCACGCCTCTGACAGGGCCTGTGTGCCAATTCTCCTGGCAACTTCTGGATAGCTGTGGATTCCACCGTCACATCTTGGGCATTTCCCACCCAGATCTACAGAAGGGCTCAGGGATGGGTCCCCTGGGCCTAAGGCCCCAGCTGCTGTGGTGTGTCCGCTAGTCTCTCTGCACCTGCAGCCACATGGCCAAGAGATTGGCCGACACTAGTTCCCTCTCCAGCCATCTCTACCCCAGCGCTATGGCCATCCCATCATAGGTGCCCTGAGCCCTGTAGACAGAAATTGGAAGCCTGCATCCTATCAAAGCTTTCCTAATAGCTCATCTTCATTACTTTAGGAAGAAAAGATGATTGGCTGTTCTGGTGTGTCCTTATCATGAGACACTTTGATGTATGTTCATGCTGCTCTTGAACCCAGGTGTGCTGTGGGAGTTCAGTATGGTAGGAAGGGTGGGAGTTGAGACTTCCTTGTCCACTGACAGAGGTGCGGGTCCAAGCCTGACATTCGCAGGGTGCTTCAGTGAACCAGGAGAGGTGTGTTACCTCTGTCAAGCCCTCGGGTTCATTTGTGATAGAGCCAAGACCAGAACCCAAGTCTCTGCCTTTGCTCCTGTGTCCCACATCTACCAGTATGGACCTGCTTCCTCCAGAGTGGGCGCATATTGGGACATGCGGAACAGACCACGGTCTTCTGTGCTGCTGTACCAAAGGCGTGTACCCCATTAGTGAGCAGATCCCCCAGCACCCAGACCCTGTTCCCTCCCCACATCCCCTTCTTCCCAGGGCTTGGCAGCCCAAGGGGCAGCAGAGTTAGGGGAACAGCAATAGCTCGGGGTGCAGAGTCTGTGCTAAGAGTCTAGGCTTTGGAGCCAGACTGCCTGGATTCACATGCTGCCTGACACAGAGTGTTCTTTAAAGCCCTGTGCCTCTGTCTCCCCATTTGTAAGATGCCAACCACATAGGGCTTTTGTGAGGCCCAAGTGAGATGATCTTTGTACATGGTTTAAACTGGGCCTCGCACACAGAGTAAATGCCGACATCAACACCTTACTGTGAAAGCTGCCTCTGGTCTGGCCATGAGCTGAACCCCTTCATCTCTGCAGAGAAGCCCTACACACCTCCCCCACCTCTCCCTGCCCCACCAGGAGGCCTTGCACAGGACCTGATTCATGTTTCCCAGAGCCCATTCAGCCCCTTGTCTAGGCTCATGCCAGGGCAGGTGGTGTCACTGTAAGACAGATGAGGAAAGAGAGGCTTAGAGATGGGTGGCTGGCCTCCTAGAGTGACACAGGTTGCTGGCAGTGGGGCCTGGACTGGAGTCCACACCTCCTACCCTTTTGTCCTTATAAGAAGCAGGTCAGACAGGTCCCTCTTCTTCCAGGAAAGCAAATGCTTTCCCAGGGCCTCGGTGGTCTGGGACGGTTTTATTTTCACTCCAGCCACTGGCCCCTCTCCCACCCCCAGACCCGGGCAGCCTGGCACCTTCTTTCTGTGGTGGCAGGAAGTGAGGCCAGCTGGCACCCTGGAGCCCTGGTCCAGTATCCATTCCATCTGGGAGTCTCACAGGAAGACAGAGGCATCTGGAGCTGGGGTCTGAGCAGAGGGTGCAGGGGGCTCAGAGCCAAGCAGCAGCCACCAGAGGAGCAGTGCAGGATGCTGCTCAGGGCACGGGGTCAGGAGCAGTGAGAAGCTGGGGAGGGGGCCCCTGTCATCAGATGTCCCGATGGGTGGCCTGAGAGGAGGAGCAGAGCCAGGGCCTCTGGCACCCACCCTTGTGTCATTCCGTTCAGCAGGTGCTTCCTGGGACCCAGCTGTGTGCCCGGCCCTGTGCTAGGCCCTGGGAATGCAGAGACACAGGGAAGGGTTCCCAGAATGGCGAGAGCTCTCAGCCCCGCAAGGAAGGGATCCAAGTCTCTCTTGGGCACACTGATTCTTCCAAGCATGGTGCCTGTCCAAGGTAGCACGTTCACAGTCAGTACTCAGTGAGCGAGTGGACATAAGCTCAGATGTTGCAGGACCCCACACCCTCCTGGGAATCAGCACCGCCCAGCAGTGAGGGACACTGATCTCACCATCCCTGGAGGCTGTAGCTGAGGGGCTGTCTTGCACTGGGCTGGAGCTAGGGACCCTCTTTTCTCTAAGGTGCTGGGATTCTAAAGGCTTTAGCCCACTCCTAGGCTCAGGGGCACACGCTGTGGAGTTTGGTTGAATTTTTCCCTGTGTGCCGACCATGACCTGTCATATCTGCCCCATCCAACAGGGGCGTGCCCTTTGGTTCAGTCCAGGTGATGGTGACTGGAAGTGTGGGCCTCCCCTCCCTGTGCCCCTTCCTCCCACCCCCATCCCATCTCATCCTCATCTCCATTCTCTCCGCCGGTTGCTGTTGGCCGCATGCTCCATCGCCATCTCCCACACCAGTGTCCAAGAGACGCAAGGCCCATCTGCGGCGCCTGGATCGCCGGTGGACCCTGGGCGGGATGGTCAACAGGCAGCACAGCCGAGGTGACTGCGGGAGCTGGCTTCTCCTCCCTCGCAGCGACCGCCTGTCTCTCGCTAACACTGCTCTTTCTTTCCGGGCTCTGCTCTCTGCCCTGTGGCCTCCTTGTTCACCCAGATTCACGGGCCAGGCTTTCTTCTCACCTACTGCAGCTGGTGTGGGGTGGGCCTGCTTGGGAATCAGGGTGGCACTGGGGGTGGCTCTGGCTTTGTCAACCTCCTGGGTATGAGGGTCATGGAACACAGTTGTGGGTTCCCTGAAAAGGTACAGGGGCTTGAGGAGGGGGACAAGGGGGTTTCGGGTCTTTAAGAAAGGCCACATTGGCCCTGGAAGCTGCAGATTAAAGGAGCTAAGCGTGTCTAGCCCTCTGCTGGGGCCATCCCACTCCCCCATCCTCCATGGCCCCTGTCCTCTGAGAAAATGCTCCCTCGGCCAAAGTTGTTCTATCAGTTTCTTGGGAACAAAGCAGAAAGAAGGACTGGCTCACATTCACGCTCCTCCTGCCAGCTCCACGGAAACTAGAAAGGGAGCAAAGCCAGACCCAGCCTGGCATCAGGGTGCAGCCCAACAGGCTCTGCTGAGGGTCAGGTCCAGCCAGGAGCAGTAACTGCTGGGGCTTCAGGAGGGGCCTGATCCAGGGGAGTCCAGGGAGCCCCCCAGGCCCAGCACATGGGCTGATCAGATGTTTGTGGGTTTAGAGCTTTCTCGCCCAGGATCTTTCTAGCATCCAGGAACCTGGGAGGTAAGGGAGTGGAACAAAGCCCCAGGGCTGGGCTGCTGAACAAACCCTTAAACATCTGCAGTCCCCTGGGCCAGGGCTTGGCCAGCCCCGCATGGAGCAGGGTGTGTGTGCTTCTCACAGTGACGGCACAGAGAGAGGTGTATCATAAACACTGGCCTTTCTGGAAGCGGGGACACCCAGTGACCCCCACCCTCACAGCTTGGTTCTAAATGACTGTAAGAGCATGTTTTGGTGTCTGCCCCAGGCCCAAAGCAGCAGGAAGCCTGGACACAGGTGGCTACAGCCTATGGCTGGCTCAGCATCAGGCACAGAGCACTGGCCATGAGAAGTCCAGCTTGTCCTGAGGGCACAGCCTGGGCTGGACCCTGTGGGCTGACACAGGGCTGGGGGTCAAGTTGTAGAAACAGCAAGAACAGGCTGGACATAGAGCAATGGCCACCCTAAAGCTGGGACGCAGCTCAAGCCTTGGCGGCAAAGGAGAGTGGGACGTAAGTCTGGAAATGCATGGCACGGATGAAGGTTTGGCTCCAAACACCCTTGCACACTGAGCCCCAAACACGACCATCTCCACAACCCCACAGACATGCACAGCCCTCATGGCCACAGATACGACTGTGCGCCCTGTCACATCCAGCCTCCCTGACACCCACATATCCACAGTCCCAGGCACACAGCCACTCACAATACACATACACAATTCCAATTATGCAGCCACGCATACACCGTGCCATGTGTCTTCTGTTTATACCACCACAAATGCATCATACACAGTCACAAAATCATCACACACACACATATACGCAACATACACACATACGCCACCCATTCCTCCACAGCAACACTCACAAGGGCACATACAGCTTCATACACACAACGCCTTGCACCACATATATGCCAGTCACAGACATACAGTGATATGTGGAGACACAAATACGCAATGAAATGCCTAATTCTTGGTCACCCATACCTAAGCAAATATAAGCCCCCAGCTCTTGCTCTCTCTCTCTCTCTCTCTTAAATAAGAGACCTAAACAACATAATGTCCCAGCCTCAGCCTGATGGGCTAAGTTAAACCAGGCAGCCAAGAAAAACTTGCAGAGAGTTGGCTTGGAGACGCTTGCTGCAAACAGCAGAGCTGGTCGGGGAGGCAGGCTGCAGGTTGTGGAGGAGCTAGACAAGAGAAAAGCGGAGCTTCCCCACGGCCTCCGCTCCCCGTTCCCTCAGCCAGCCAGGCCCTTGGAACCAAAAGGCCTCTCTCAGTGGGGTTGGGTAAGTCGTGGGGGCAGGAAGGGAGTGGGGAGACTGCTGACAGAGGGGAAAGTGTTGGGGAAGAGGAGGCTTCTGTGGTTTGGAAACTACAGGACATCCAGCCCCTGCCTCCAAAACCAAAGCAGGCCTATCCCCCTCACCCACCCGGCTGACCGCCTGGCCAGCCCTCCCCAGGGCAGGCTGCCACCGTCTCCTGGTGGCGTGGTCAGTGTTCACGGCCCCAGTGCTTCCCAGAAGCCCGGAGGATCCCACTGGAGCTCACAGCCTCCCTTCCCTCAACCCCATTTCCGACGGGACATCTCTTCCCAAGACCCTGACCACCCTGAATCATGCAGCTGCCCGCTGAGGCCATGTCCGTCTGTCTGGGCCTCCTCTTGTCTGGCGCCCCCAGATGGGGTTTGTGGCCCAGGCAAGTCTCTCTTCCTTGGGACACCTGTGAGTTGGAAGGCCTGAGACCCACAAGGCCTGTGTCCACATGGAAAGTCCATGCCTCTGCCATCTGAGCCAACTGGGTGGAAACCCAGGAGCTGGGACGGCCTGGTCTGCCTGCCTAGCCCTGCCAGGGAGGAGGGCTCTGGGTTCTCATCCCTGCAACCTGTGCAGTGACCGGGGCAGGACGAGCCTCCCATCCAGGAGCTCTCACCAGCAGCACGTGAACTCCTGGACATCTGTGGTTGCTGCAGCCCCAGAGTCCCCAAGAACCTTTTGCAGGAGCAGCTCAACTTTACCGGCCAGAACTGATATCCCTGGTTCTGCCCCCACCCCCAAGAGGTCAGGAGAAAGCCTGAGCTTACATGGCCCACGGGATTCTGTCTTCCACGCACCCCGGGAGGCTGCGAAGGCTGGGGCTGGGCCCTAGTGGCCCAGGAGGCTGAGCCCACATGATGGGCTAGACCTTGTTCTCTGCCATGAAGCAGGGCAGGGCTCCTCTGATCTTCCCACGAGAAGGGCTGTCATTTTTCCCTGCAAATGCAACCTTGCCTAGGAAAACCTTAATGATGGCTTCCTGCTCGAACCACAGACTTTTAAAAATAGCCCAGCTGAACAAAGGCAAAATGTGGAGCCCAGGCCTCGCCTCATCCTAACCTCAGAATCCTGGATTCCCGGAGCCTGGCGCTGCCCCTCTGGCCGCCGCTGAGCTGGGATTTGCCATGCCTCACTGGAAAATGGAGCAGAACCAGGAGCAGGCAGGAGAGCAGAGAGAGTTGGACTGTGGAGCCCTGAACTTCTCAAAGGGCCGAGTCAGAATCTGGCTGGGCAGGGTTCTCAGGCCGCCTTGGCAGCAGTCTGAAGCATGGCTGGGTTGGAATCTGAAAGCCTCCAGAGTAAGGCCCTCCCTGAGTCGATGCTGACCAAGTTCTGCAGCAGAGAAGGGCGTACTGAAAAATCCTGCAGGCTCCCATGGGTCATCACCCTCCTTCTGCTTTTGGGCAGCCGTTTGAATTTGGCTAGTAGCCCATCAGTTCTGTCTTCACAGCCTGGCAGGGCAGCCACAACCACCCCCAAAGGGAGCTGCTATCTCGGCTCAGCACAGGGCTGCAGACAGGGCCCCGATAATCCAGGGGAGAGTGGACAGATGGCCCTCCCACAGCTGGGGGTTGGGGTGGCAGCTGCCTCCCACCCCCACGGCCACCAGTCTTAGGCAGGCTGCCCGCCAGCATCCAGCCAAGGAGCCCAGGGGGTGGCTGTCACAGCTGGGAGCCAGGAGGGGTGGGTGTCCCAGAGACCAGAGGCCAGCAGTCTGCTCCAGCATCCCGCTGTTTTGAGCTCACAGCACTTCCCATCGGTACCCTTGCTCAGCCTTGCCTGGTCGTGATGCAGTCAACAGTGTCTCGCTGTCTGCCAGGCACTGTCTCAGCCCCTGGGGAGCACCCACGCCAGAGAGGACAACAGTGGCTCAGGGTGACCCTTCAGAAGGGCATGGCCAGATTGCCACTTCCTCCTCCTGTCTCAGCTCCTGTTGCCCCAGAAGGTGAGGTGGGGAGTGTTCCACTCTGAGCAGCCCTCTACGGAGTGTCTCAGGCAGGAGGCAAGGACTCTTTAGCCAGCCAGCTAGGAGCAGAGCCAGGGAGTACTCAGCTCTGGGGTCTACCTATCAGGGGCTTCCTGGGACAGGGAAAGCTGAACCCCAGCAGGCATGGAAGAAACACCCTCCTGGAAGCCTGATCAAGGACCCAAGCGGGTGGCACCCAGGCCTCCTGCCAGGAGAGAGGCTGAAAGAAACCAGGGGAGGCACCATGGTGCCCCACTCTCCCCACACCTGCCCTCCCAAGCCTTCCTGAGAGTCTACAAGGCACTTCTTTCCCAGCACCTCGGGAGGACCTTGGGCAAGACCCTGAAGTGACATCCTTGAAAACAGAGCAGGCTGCCCTCCAGAGGGGCTAGGCCTCGGCTGCGTGGTTGGCACAGCATGTTCTGCAGAAGCCACTTGGGCCAGTGCTGCCTGATTGTGCTGTGCTTGGTGTTTCCAAGCTCATTTGGCCATCGAACCCTTGTCTTAACAAAACACATGTAACTGCTTCCATGAGACCTGGGTTC
The DNA here is from genome assembly GCF_000001405.40 of Homo sapiens. NCBI lineage: Eukaryota > Metazoa > Chordata > Mammalia > Primates > Hominidae > Homo > Homo sapiens. The sequence goes on along the minus strand of NC_000010.11, from coordinate 103,617,925 downwards.
CATGGACTCCTCTTGGGAGATTACATGACCAGGTGTTAATGGATGAAGTGGGTGCTCAGGGAAGGCTTCACCGAGGAGGTGTCCCTAGAACCTCTGAAGGTCAGACAGAGGAAGGATGCAAGAGGCTGAGCTGGGGGCAGGGATAGGAGAGTTCATCTGGGACACAGATGGAAACAGGGCACATTTCGAGGAAAAGCGGTATGCCGTGGGGCCTCAAGGCATGCAAGGACACCTCATGAGGGGCCGGCTTCTCCTAATCCTGCCCTCGGCCCAGCAAGCTTCTGAGCCCTGTGGACTCCAAGGTCCCGGCAGCCTGGCCGCCATTATCAGGCTGGGAGAGCCGACTCCCTGCTCCCAGGGCCTTGCCTGACAACCTGGGTCCTGGCTGGCTTTGGCACACACTGGGAGCAGCAGTGACCTCTGCTCCCATGGTCTCCCTGCTGCCACCTCTGGGGCCTGGTCCTTCCCTCCCCTGGAGAAGCCAGAGCCAACCCAGTGGACCTTCTTGGCAAGCAGTTGAGCAAAAGCCAGGCCAGGGCAGGAGGAGGGGACAGGAAGCAGGACCTGCACCCCGACCTCAAATAATCTTGCTTGCTTGCTCCCACCCCCAGAGGAGAAGTATGTCACCGTGCAGCCTTACACCAGCCAAAGCAAGGACGAGATTGGCTTTGAGAAGGGCGTCACAGTGGAGGTGATCCGGAAGAATCTGGAAGGCTGGTGGTATATCAGGTAGGGAACCCTTACATTATGAACGAGATGCCTCTCGCCCACCTGGGCCCTGGGCAGAGTGCAAAGTGGCCATGGCCACCTGATGGCAGGTAGATACTGACAGCTTTGTGCCCACGGCACAGGGCTGGGCTGCTGCACCTCTGCACAGCTGAATAGCTCAACCAGAGAATGCTCATCTTGCAAGTTTTCTCCCGGGACGCGTAAAGCAGAGCTTGAGCCACAGCCAGCGGGGCACAGAGGCCCCGGGTCAGCTTGCAGGCTGTGGTGCAATCCCTTCCCACGTATCTGCCAAGAGAGCTCAGCACATCTGAATTTGGTTTTGTGTGTCCGGCCTTGGCTGCCTGGTGTGCTCCACAGCTAGGGCTGCCTGGAGCACTGGCGTCCGCAGGCCTTGCTGAGGTCCCAGCAGGCAACCTCTGCTGCCCAGGCTCAGTACTCAGGGAGGTGGGCTGGGGGCGGGGGCGGGTGCAGGTGCAGGCCTCTTGCAGCCACGTCCCTGGTGGATGGGGACTGGCTGTCCAATCTGCAGGGCTGGCTGCAAGGGCTGGAGCAGAAGTCAGGCCTCGGCTCAGGCCATCGGAGGCTTCTTCCTTCTCTTGCCCCTCCCTCTCCCAGGCCTAATCACAGTTCCCAGCGTAGAATCCTATTGAATGGTATGGGTAGGGAAGTGGGGTCTTTCCTGACCTGCTGGAGGCAAACAATCCCGTGGGTTTCACTCACCATTACCTGGCCAAGACCTACCCTTCCAGGACCCCTGCTCTCAAGAAATGCTCCAGGAGACTTGATCTCAGTAAGTGCTTTTGGTGTCCTTGGAACTGGCTCAGCTGTGATGACTTTGCCCACCTTCTCTCTTCTCTGCCAGTTACCCAGCTGACAGGGATAGTCCTATATCCTTGGGCTCTGGGGACCCCAGATCCACTGTGGGCAGGACATGCATTCTAGGTGGTCTCCGACAGAGGGGACAGGATTGTGCAGTGGCACCAATGTGCCCCAGGGGATGTGAGTACTCGTGGGACAGTTGCTCAGAACATGGTACAACATGATGGCATTAAAGGCTAGTCCATGCTGAGGTCACTGGCCATATGGAGATTGCACCTTAGTCTGACCTGATGGAACATGGCTCCATGGCACGCACCACACCCCCCGCCCCTACCCCGCCCCCACCCCGCCCCACCCCGGAGCCCTGGTGCATATCAGTCAGGAGGGCTGAGATGTCCCTTTCTGTCCCATTGGGTGGGATGGGACTGTGCATCTGGATGTGTATTGTCCAAAGCCAGTGCCCCTAGACTTTTATGTTCTCTGAGCAATGGAAACTAGAGTCAACCCAATCACCCACCAGCCATGAGTTGAACATGGGAAAGCCAGGAAACATTCTGGCAGGCTGGTGGCCTAGCTCACTTGCCTGGAGCTTATCTACAAGGCTGCTTTATTATTATTTTTTTGTTTTCTAAAATGACCAACAAAGTCACTCTGAGCTGCTTCTAGTCCGCTCCTATCCCCATGGCCTAGTCTTACAGCCAGCAGGAGCTTGGACTGAGAAAACCCGGCTGAAAAGATTCCACCTTAAAAAGGCTGCCAGACACCCCCTTAAATATGCCATTTCCCAACATTCCAGGCTCTACGTTGATCCTCATTTCCTGTCTTTCTTCTCCTCCCCCAACCCCTACACACACACACACACACACACACACACACACACACACACACACACACCCTCGCACTCTCCATCGCGCCCTTTCCAGCTTGCTTCCCGCTGGAGTCATTTCATTCTCCATTGCTGGAAAGCAGATGTGAGCAGAGCTGGACCCAGACACACACAGGCACTCCTGATTCCCTTGCGTTTCTCCTCCTGGAATCTTAATTTTACCCATGTAGTGCTGAAGGAACACAAATACAGCACTCGGGGCCCTAAGCAGGCCTGACCGTCACCTCCATGAGCCCCCTCTCCCCATAGCTCTACAGTGTCCATGTAGAAAAATCGTCAGTGAGGGCCAGTGGGCTCATCTTTGTCTTTTCTCTGAGATGCAAGAGCACCAGGCTCTGGGCCAGATGCTGCTAAGCGCTCACTGTGTGACCCCCTTGCTTTTCTGAGCCGTAGTTGTTGGCTCACATAAGATTAGGTATTTTTACTCGTTGCTTCCATCCACCCTTAAAATTCTGTGCTTCTGTTTGCACCCATTGCATCAGGGAGCCAAAGACAGGCCCCTGACTCCCACCCACGTGTTAACTCACCTCTGCCTCCCAATCCCTGGGGAGGCGAGCTTGGCTCAGCCTGCCTGCATGTTTCTGTGACAGAACGTAAGGAGCCACCTCCTACCTGAGCTTTCTCGCAAAGCTCAGACATGTTGATAGGAACTTCAGCTTTCATATTCCTTTTCTCCCACCTAATGAGCGCCCAAGAACAAGGTCAGATCAGGAAGACGGTGGGCGGGGCGGGGGGGGAGGTGTTCAGACATCTGGTGTGGAGGAGCCATTCCAAAGAGCCAGATGTGTCCAGGGAGCAGATGGGGACATTGCAACCCAGACTTGGGGGCACTGGCCAGCGACTACTGGACCAGGAAGTGAAGTCCCCATGGGTTTGGGTGAAAACTCAACACCACGAGGAAAAAAGGAAAAGCTTGTTTTCAGAAGTCATCGAATCACCAGAAATTAAGTCAGCCCTATCATTTGCCTTTTGCCTTTGTTTATGAGCTTTTGGTTTTGTTTCCTTTTGTTTTGTTTTGTTTTTGTTTTGCTTTGGTTTTAGTTTTATCTAGTCATGTGCTTTTGTCTTTTCACTTATGGTTTCTGCTTTTGGAGCCCCACTTAGATTTTCTCAACCCCCAACATTATGTCAATCTTCTATTTGTTAATTCTGCTATATGGTATAAAGCCAGTGTCTGTCTTACTTGTTTTTCCTAACTGGGTCATCAGTTTTCCCCAAATCACTTTTTACATTTTTGGAGGCAGGGTCTCACTCTGTCTCCCAGAGTGGAGTGCAGTGGTATGATCATAGCTCACTGCAGCTTCAAACTTCTGGGCTCAAGCAATCCTCCCACCTCAGCCTCCCAAGCACCTGGGACTACAGGTATGCACCATCACACCCAGCTAATTAAAAAAAAAAAAAATTTTTTTTTGGTAGAGATGAGATCTTGCTATGTAGCCCAGGCTGGCCTTAAACGATCCTCCTGCCTCAGCTTCCCAAAGTGCTGTAATGACAGGTGTAAGCCACCTCGCCCAGCCCCAAATCACTTATTGAATAATGCATCTTTGTTCCACTACAGTAAATTTAGCCTGGTTTGTGAACTTGGTCTGTGACAGTCTATAGAGGATCCACCTACTCTCCCTGCAGTGGCACCACAGCTGTCCCATTCAGTCATCTGGCATGGAGGAGCCATTCCAGCTAAGATGTTGGAGACAGCTTAGTTGATCTCAACATGTCTGTCCTTCTGGGTACATTTTTAGCAGCGACTCTATCCCTGCATCTTGCAAAAGAGACACAAACTGAGCTCCAGGGAAGGGACTTGTGCAAGGTACCACAGACTAGAACTCAGACTGCCTGACTCTCACCTTCTGGAGTCAATTCCCTCTCTAATAATACCTCCCCTTCCTACAGGCCATTTACCTCTACATACCACATCCACACCTTCTTCTTATCTCTCTAATTATCCTCAACTGACTGGGAAGTAGCAGGCCATTATGAAGTCCTCCTTTGGGCAACCCAAAAGTTGATAAATCTGATCCCAAGCTCCCACATTTGCCTGACTTTGCAGAACATGAGAGCCCACCCCAAGAGGGATCAGGCAAAGAAAAAGGAGCATGGTGGGGGGGCAGTGGGAATTGGTGTTCTGGGTGTCTTTTCCATCTACCCTCGGTGCCATTTCTCTCCAGAGTAGTGGGATTGCCAAGCCTTGCAGAACATGGTAGGGAAGGCTCCACTGGGCAAGGCCAGATGGATCCTAGGGCCTGGGAGTGGGCTGTGAGGTCAGAGTGCTCTAATGATAGCACATCCTGCTCCTCCCCACAGATACCTGGGCAAAGAGGGCTGGGCGCCAGCATCCTACCTGAAGAAGGCCAAGGATGACCTGCCAACCCGGAAGAAGAACCTGGCCGGCCCAGTGGAGATCATTGGGAACATCATGGAGATCAGCAACCTGCTGAACAAGAAGGCGTCTGGGGACAAGGAAACTCCACCAGCCGAAGGCGAGGGCCATGAGGCCCCCATTGCCAAGAAGGAGATCAGCCTGCCCATCCTCTGCAATGCCTCCAATGGCAGTGCCGTGGGCGTTCCTGACAGGACTGTCTCCAGGCTGGCCCAGGGCTCTCCAGCTGTGGCCAGGATTGCCCCTCAGCGGGCCCAGATCAGTAAGAGCCTCGCTGACCTCTAGGTCCTCACTGCAAAGCTCCTTAGAGAATGGGCATGGGTGCCGTGAAAGCCAGGGGGGTGCACAGGACCCCCATGGCGTTTTCCTCCTGGGCTACAGACTGGCCTTTGACCCTCACTCTGTCAACTTGTGTCATGCTCATCACAGGAGTGGAGAAGGCAGAGGAGTATGATGACTCAACTGCTCCCAGCTGCTCCACGGAAGCTAGATCACATGAGGATGTGGGTGGTAGCGTTCCCTCCTCTAGTGGAGAGCCAGCAATGGTCACTCTGCAGATACACGCGTTCCAAGAGCAAGAAATGTTTTCTTTTCCTTATGGTAAAGGCTTTATAAATCAAGATAGATGATGTGTAGCTGACTTTTAAAAAATCAAAAAAACACATTTCCCTGGGCTGTTGAATGTGGGTGCTATATGCAGGGCTGCCCTATGGAGTGACAGTCTGTAGAGAAACGTCTTTCTGGGCCTTAGCAGCTCCTTCCCTATGACTTTCCACTCGTTACTGGAAACCTAAGAGACTTGGGAGCTAAGGCTTTACCACTCTACACAGGCAGTTTCAACAGGGCGTTCTTCAAGAATCATCTTCATTTCTACAGGAGACTCCAGGCAGTCTGGCACCCTCCATCTCTGGCCCAATAATGCCTTTTGTTGAGGCTTAAAACTTCCATGTTATAGGAACCTAGCTTTTGTTTGTGTCCAGCCATTCTTAAAATCTGGAGGAAAGCTGTTTCTTTAGTTTAGCTCCACTGGGTTAAGTTAGCTCTCGTGCCTGAAATCTTTTAGGGAACCAGCTGGGAAACAGTTATTGGGCACCTCCTCTTGCCTGGCATTATGCTAGCTTCTATGGATTTAATAGTAAGCAAAAAACAGACATGGTCTCTGCTCCTAACTTTGAAAACCTGATAAATCTATACACCCGTTACCCTGAAAAATGCCCACATAGCTGCACATTTTGAAAAGTGCACATAATTTTAGAGTGTTCATAGATCCCCTGGAAGCACAGCCAAGGTAAAGGTCTATAGTTTCCCCTTGAAAAAGCCCAACCACAGTGCCCATAGTGACTTAGAGTGTCAAGTCCTTCATAAAGGCTGAGCTAAAGCATGAACTTGAAGGATCAGGAGTTAGTTTCACCTAGGGAAGGCAGGTATGGGTACTGTTGCCCATCGTCTGACTAGGATTTCTGAAGCCATGTCTCTTCCTCTAGGCTCCCCGAACCTACGGACAAGACCTCCACCACGCAGAGAATCCAGCCTGGTATGTGTACTGAATTTCTTCTCCCCTTTCCTTCCTTTTCTGTGAATGCGCTATAGCCACCCGATCAATTGGCTATCTTGCGGCAGAGCCTCTTGATCCAGGGGTTTTCCAGAGCCCTGCTGGGGCTTCTAGTTTTGTGGGGCTAGGGGCAGGGAGGGAAGCCTGCAGATCCCAGCCTTCCTGGAGGCCTGGCTGGACAGTTTATAATCGGAAACACACTGCACTCCAAAGCTAAATAAATCCATCCCAGCCACTGCATTGGCAGACATAAACATTTAGACTGCCCGGCAAAAGTGTCCAGCCAGGGCATTGCCAGAGGCTGGAAATGGGGCTCCTGTCCATGCTAGCCTGGAAGCCTTTCAGCTTTCCCTGGTCAGGAATGCCCAGTGGAGGTGGTGGATGGCAGAGTCTGGGAGGGCAGAGGGCAGATCAGTGAACGTCTTCCAGGGAGGAGTGTGAGTTGCAAGGAGTGGCTCACGCCCCAGCTTTAAGAGGTTAACACTGCCAGGGTCCCTGGTTCATGTGGGTGGGGTTTCCTGGTGTCCAGACCCTCGGGCAGGTAGATACGCATCAGGGGCCAGGGCTTGGGGTGCCTGCGATGCTGGTGGCAGGCTGAGAGCCTTGGAACAAAGAACTGTTAGTAAGCGCAGTGGGATGTAGTGGAAAGAGTGTGTCTTCAAGTGCCAGGCATGGATTCGGATTCCACTTCTGACACTTAGAGGCGGAGAGACTGTAGGTAAGCCAGTTGCCCTCTACAAGCTTCAGTGCCCTTATTTATCAGACGGGACAGTACTAGCCATCTCTTAGGGCTGTTGTAAGGATGAAATGAGATGATTTATGTGGGGGGCTAGCAAACAGGTTTCCATTTCCTATGTCAGCTCTTGCCTGCTTGGTAATACTACCTGGTGCACTGGGTTAAGGAGGATTCTGAAGTCACATCTGGGCTTAGCAACAAGAGTTACTGTGGTCAGTGACATCAGCCCTGGCTAAGGGAGATGGCACCAGTCTATGGAAGAGTAGGCCCTCCATAAAAATATGGTTTTTAAAGATTTCATCCCTGGAGATGAGACCTTCCTTGCCTTGGCCATGGACCCCAGTGGAGTTTCTCTTTTTCCTCCTGAGTTTTACACACCCAAACACTGAATTCTCCCTCTCAACCATCTCTCCTAGCCACGGCTAATTATTTTCAGGCAGACTTGATTTTGGCAAGAATGGGGTAATTCCTTCCACACTTACCAAATGTGGGGATTGCTGAGGCAGGGCTGCTGTTTCCAGTTAGGCCCAGCTGCATCCCACCTGGCCAGAGATGTGGCCTGGGCTGAGCCTGGGCTGTGTCTGCTCACATGCACGGCTGCACAGCCAGGCCCTGGGGCCAGGAAAGGTGGCAGATTCTCACTCAATCCCTCAAAACCAGCTTCCTCCCACCCCTCACTCACTCTGCCTCAGCTCAGTTTCAACTGGTGGGGTTAGGACATGCAGAGCCTTGAAGGATGAGGAAGGCTGGGAAGAAGAGAAGTTCAGAAGGAGTGCTGAGTTCCAGCTTCTATTTATTGAGCTCTCCCTATGCCCCTCGCTGGGCCCAAAGTGATGTATGTTATCTCAGGGATCCTCTTCAGGATGCTGGTATTAGTTCCATTTTACAGATGAGAGAACTGAAGTTCAGAGACGTCAAGGGCTTTGCCCAGGGCCACACAGCTGGTAAATTGCTATGATTGGAGTCCAGCCCCAAGGTTGAGGTCTTTCCAGGTCTTCCTGCTACACCAAGCTTCTTCCCGTCCCCTCATCCCTCCCACCTTTTTTTCCCAATTGCTTTATTTGAACCCCTTTGCATGAGGGAGGACATAAATAGCGGGGTACAAAGTCCATTTTAGCTGAGTAGAGACAAGACCATTGAAGCAAAAATATACAATCCACAAGGGCAGGGGGTTGTCCATTTGGTTTCCTACTGGGCGCTCGGTGCCTTAGACCAGTGTCTGGCACCCAGTAGACACACAACAAACAGTTGTTAAATGAATGGGTGAGGCTCACAAACCATGGGCCAAAGCCAGCTTCTAAATGTCCTTGAATGTCATGCTTAGATGCTGCTGTGCCAGTTTCTGAAAAGCATTGAGGATCTCCAATGAGTTCTACCCTGCCCACAGAATATTGCGAGTTTATTTAGTGCTTGCCTGCCTATCTGGCCTTGTCATGATGACCAGCCAAAGACTTTGCTCACTCAACCGCACTGCCTTCTTACACACACACCCCAGACTAGAGACCACTGTGCTCCATTGCCTTGCCTGTGCTGTCAGAAGTCCCACCTGCAGCCCTCACCCCTAGACTCCAGGACAGTGGCTTTCCTTCCTCTCCCACAGGGCAGTGTGCAAGTGCTTTGTTAGAATGATTTCTCTGCTTTTTCTTTCTTTCTTTTTTTTTTTTTTTTTCAGAGACAGAGTCTCACTCTGTCAGTTGGGCTGGAGTGCAGTGGTCTGTTCATAGCTCACTGCAGCCTCGAACTCCTGGGCTCACGCTATTTTCCTGCCTCAGACTCCCAAGTAGCTGGGACCACAGGTGCATAACACCATGTCCACCTAATTTTTGTGTGTGTGTGTGTATGTGTGTGTGGTAGAAATGGGGTCTCACTATTTGCCCAGGCTGATCTCAAACTCCTGGCCTCAAGCAGTCCTCCCACCTGGGCTTCCCAAAGCACTACGATTACAGGAGATTTCTCTGCTTTTTAATTTTCATTTTGAGATTCAGCTATTGAGGCATCTGAAAACTAGACCTCCAGAGATGTAAGATTAGAAATTACTGCATTAATAATGAGCATTTTGTGCTGGGCACAGTGGCTTATGCCTGTAATTCCAGCACTTTGGGAGGCTGAGGCAGGAGGATTGCTTGAGCCCAGGAGTTTGAGACCAGGCAAAACCCTGTCTCTAGTTTTTTTCTCTTTTTTTTTTTTTTTTAAAGAATAGAATAATTTAATTAAAATGTGCAATATTTTGATGAAGAAAAATCACAAAAATGAATTGAAGGCCTGGCAGAATGGAAATAAGGTACATTTATGGATGAGAAGACTCGGTATTATTCAATTTTATCCCTAATCTGTAAATTCGATGAAATTCTAATTTAAATCCCAACACAATTTTTCTTTTTTTTTTTTTTTTTTTTCTTGACATGGAATGGTGTCTTTATTTTTGGGGGCTGCTGTAACAAAGTACCACACACTGGGTGGCTTAACAGCAGAAACGTGTTGTCTCCCAGTTCTAGGGGCGAGGAGATCAGGGTGCCGACAGGGCCTCGTTCCCTGGGAAGGCGTGGGAGGAGGACCTGTTCCCCGCCTCTCTCCCGGCTTCCGGGACTCCGGAAGCCTGACTCCAGGCTTCACGTGGTGTTCTCCCTGCTGGTGGGTCTGCCTCTGTCCTGTGTTCTTTTTTTTTTTTTTTTTTTTAAATTGATCATTCTTGGGTGTTTCTCGCAGAGGGGGATTTGGCAGGGTCATAGGACAATAGTGGAGGGAAGGTCAGCAGACAAACAAGTGAACAAAGGTCTCTGGTTTTTCTAGGCAGAGGACCCCGAGGCCTTCCGCAGTGTTTGTGTCCCTGGGTACTTGAGATTAGGGAGTGGTGATGACTCTTAACGAGCATGCTGCCTTCAAGCATCTGTTTAACAAAGCACATCTTGCACCGACCTCAATCCATTTAACCCTGAGTGGACACAGCACATGTTTCAGAGAGCACAGGGTTGGGGGTAAGGTCACAGATCAACAGGATCCCAAGGCAGAAGAATTTTTCTTAGTACAGAACAAAATGAAAAGTCTCCCATGTCTACTTCTTTCTACACAGACGCGGCAACCATCCGATTTCTCAATCTTTTCCCCACCTTTCCCCCCTTTCTATTCCACAAAACCGCCATTGTCATCATGGCCCGTTCTCAATGAGCTGTTGGGTACACCTCCCAGACGGGGTGGTGGCCGGGCAGAGGGGCTCCTCACTGCCCAGTAGGGGCGGCCGGGCAGAGGCGCCCCTCACCTCCCGGACGGGGCGGCTGGCCGGGCAGGGGGCTGACCCCCCCACCTCCCTCCCGGACGGGGCGGCTGGCCGGGCAGAGGGGCTCCTCACCTCCCAGTAGGGGCGGCTGGGCAGAGGCGCCCCTCACCTCCCGGACAGGGCGGCTGGCCTGGCGGGGGCTGACCCCCACCTCCCTCCCGGACGGGGTGGCTGCTGGGCGGAGACGCTCCTCACTTCCCAGACGGGGCAGCTGCCGGTCGGAGGGGCTCCTCACTTCTCAGACGGGGCGGCTGCCGGGCGGAGGGGCTCCTCACTTCTCAGACGGGGCGGTTGCCAGGCGGAGAGTCTCCTCACTTCCCAGACGGGGCGGCTGGGCAGAGAGGCTCCTCACCTCCCAGACGGGGTCGCGGCCGGGGAGAGGCGCTCCTCACATCCCAGACGGGGCGGCAGGGCAGAGGCACTCCCCACATCTCAGACGATGGGCGGCTGGGCAGAGACGCTCCTCACTTCCTAGATGGGATGGCGGCCGGGAAGAGGCGCTCCTCACTTCCTAGATGGGATGGCGGCCGGGCAGAGACGCTCCTCACTTTCCAGACTGAGCAGCCAGGCAGAGGGGCTCCTCACATCCCAGACGATGGGCGGCCAGGCAGAGACGCTCCTCACTTCCCAGACGGGGTGGCGGCCGGGCAGAGGCTGCACTCTCCGCACTTTGGGAGGCCAAGGCAGGCGGCTGGGAGGTGGAGGTTGTAGGGAGCCGAGATCACGCCGCTGCACTCCAGCCTGGGCACCATTGAGCACTGAGTGAACGAGACTCCGTCTGCAATCCCGGCACCTCGGGAGGCCGAGGCTGGCGGATCACTCGCGGTTAGGAGCTGGAGACCAGCCCGGCCAACACAGCGAAACCCCGTCTCCACCAAAAAAACACGAAAACCAGTCAGGCATGGCGGCGCGCGCCTGCAATCGCAGGCACTCGGCAGGCTGAGGCAGGAGAATCAGGCAGGGAGGTTGCAGTGAGCAGAGATGGCAGCAGTACAGTCCAGCTTCGGCTCGGCATCCGAGGGAGACCGTGGAAAGAGAGGGAGAGGGAGACCGTGGGGAGAGGGAGAGGGAAGGGGAGGGGGAGGGGGAGAGCTTTTTTTTTTTTTTTTTTTTTTTTTTTAGCAAATTCTTCCAGATCCTGAGAGAGCCCATCTCTACCAAAAAAAAAAAAAAAAATTAACCAGGTGTGGTGGTGTGTGCCTGTAGTCCCAGCTACTGGGGAGGCTGAAGTGGGAGGATCACTTGAGCCCAGGAGATGGAGGCTGCAGTGAGCTCTGATTACTCCACTGCACTCTAGCCTGGGTCCCAAAGCAAGACCCTATCTCAGAGTAATGATGATGATGATGATGATGATGATGATGATGATGATGATGATAGTAATAGTAATGTGAGAATTTTGATAGCTCAGACAAGTCTTCCGTGAGTCCTGAGTATTATTAGAAAGCCTCATCAGAGTAGTCCCCTGGCGATATATACCCTGAGACTCCCATGATAGATACGTACTCAGGCCAGCTGCTGTCCAGCTGGTGTAAACGGCCATCCGCACCCCCTGGGGACTGAGTGGGGACCAACCCTTGGCCAAGTTACTCTTCTGATTTAGGCGGGTTTTGCCCACTGTGTGTTCCTTAACCTTAGGGGTTCCAACTGCCAAAGCCACCAGAGCCCCCTTCTGTTGAGGTGGAGTACTACACCATTGCCGAATTCCAGTCGTGCATTTCCGATGGCATCAGCTTTCGGGGTGGACAGAAGGCAGAGGTAAGCCTTGGGCCATGAGGCCGAGGGTTTTAACTCATTGTGGTGGAAAACCTACTGCATTTCCCATTTTAGGCCTTGCTAGTAAGATTCCTGAGGGGCAGGCAGGCAGGAAAGGTACAGAAATGAGCCCCACAAAGATGAGCATCTGCCTGGCGCTGGCCAGTGCCATGGCCTAAACTAGATCCCAGCTCTCACGCTCCACCCTGAGCTCACAGGGCTTGTCTCACAACATTTCCCAGAGCATGTGCAGGAGCTTGTGACAGGGGGGCCTTGAAACAAAGGGCTTCTTTGGTCAAATGAGCTTGCAGGACAGTGGATTAAACAAAATCCAACCCATTTGTTGTTTTAATTGCAGGGCTTCCCAGAGCCTAGGATACAAGGATGTCACTGGGAGTGTCACCTACAAGGGGTCTAGAATAGACAGCATTGCCCAACCCCACAAGCTTTCTCTCCCAGGAACATCTCAGGGCCAGGATCCTGCAGAAGCCACATCAGGAAGTGTTGTTAGGAGGATGTGGACCAGGCAGGTAGACTGAGATACTGGGGACCTGGGCTCTGGCCAAGTCCACACCACATGACCCCTGGCCTTTGATGCAGTCACTTCTCTCACCCGCCACCCCCAACTTTAAGCATTTCTCTCTGCAAAACAGGGTGATAGATCCTGGGACGCCCCTCCACCCCCCAGCATGTCTTCCAGCATTCATGCCACTCTATTTTGTGGCTGGGGCTGAGCATGGTATTCCCGGCAGCAGAGAAGAGCTGTAACTTAGTCAATTCTCTGAGTGGCTTTGTGTAGTAATTGAGTTAACTCCATCTAATACAAGTGAACCTGTCAGACTCATTGGGCAGTCTCTGCCTCTAAAGCAGTGACATTCCCAATGTGAATGTTTTAAATCACATGCCTGGAACTTGCAACTAAATTTCCAAGAAAAATCATTCTCTCTGTACTGAGGTTTCCAGGAGAGTCTGTAAAGAGCATAATGTGGCAGAACTGTCAGGCTCAGGAGCCACCTGTGCTTGAACTGTAGGTACAGGGCTGGGGCAGGGTGAAGGACAGAATGTAGGACCCAAAGAAGGAGAAAATCTTTCTCTTCTAGTGGGGGATGCAGAGGACTGGTCTCTTCTTGCCTTTGCATTCTTCACCTTTCCCTCCCTCCTTGGCCCTCTTCCCATAGTGCCAGTGTTTTCACGCTACCCCTTCCCCACCCCAGGACCTTTTCCTCCAGGAGTGTCCCACAATCCCCAGTTATCTGCCCTTTATGTTCCCCAGTCCAAATGGACCCCAGCACAACCAGCAGCCACACTTTTGGCCATTGGTTGATCTCCAGAAGTTAAGGAAGAAGCTCCTTAAACCAGTTTATACTAACATGGAAATGACTGAAAGCCCCCTGCCCTTCCTACAGGAAACCAATCAACCCAAAGAAATCTCTTCAGCTAGTGGGATTTCAGTGGGATTCCAGTAAGATGACCACAGCGGGTGGATCCTGGGGAAAGGCTCTGCAGAGAGGCTCTGGCCTCGGGCCTGTACCTCCCAGGTCACTTCATCTGCATCTTCCCATACTCTTCTGACCCTAGAGACCCTTTCAAGGAACTCAAAGGGAGGACCTAGCAACATCGAGGGTACGAGGAGGGAAGGGGCAGCAGAAGGGCAGTGTTTTCTTCATACGTGTCCTTAGTCTACTGGCAGGATTGTAGGGACTGGGAACAGTGCAGTTTAGGGGGAGGCAGAGTGGGCCAGCTCAACCCGGCTGTTAACACAGACATGGAGGATCAGGGAGGGAACTTGGCAAGTGGGAACCCACCAACCATGAGATGATAGAGACCTAGGTTTGAATTCTGGTGCATTATTTACTATATTGGGTTTTGGGCCACTTACTCAGTGGCTCGGTTTATTATCTGTAAAATGGAGATAATTTATCCCAGAGCCAAAGTATGATACTCCTACCTTGGGATGTCATAGGGTTCCAGATCCTCCCAACTCACTGGCTTGTCTGCACTCGTACCCCAGGTCATTGATAAGAACTCAGGTGGCTGGTGGTACGTGCAGATCGGTGAGAAGGAGGGCTGGGCCCCCGCATCATACATCGATAAGCGCAAGAAGCCCAACCTGAGCCGCCGCACAAGCACGCTGACCCGGCCCAAGGTGCCCCCGCCAGCACCCCCCAGCAAGCCCAAGGAGGCCGAGGAGGGCCCTACGGGGGCCAGTGAGAGCCAGGACTCCCCGCGGAAGCTCAAGTATGAGGAGCCTGAGTATGACATCCCTGCATTCGGCTTTGACTCAGAGCCTGAGCTGAGCGAGGAGCCCGTGGAGGACAGAGCCTCAGGGGAGAGGCGGCCTGCCCAGCCCCACCGGCCCTCGCCGGCCTCTTCTCTGCAGCGGGCCCGCTTCAAGGTGGGTGAGTCTTCAGAGGATGTGGCCCTGGAAGAGGAGACCATCTATGAGAATGAGGGCTTCCGGCCATATGCAGAGGACACCCTGTCAGCCAGAGGCTCCTCCGGGGACAGCGACTCCCCAGGCAGCTCCTCGCTGTCCCTGACCAGGAAAAACTCCCCCAAATCAGGCTCCCCCAAGTCATCATCACTCCTAAAGCTCAAGGCAGAGAAGAATGCCCAGGCAGAAATGGGGAAGAACCACTCCTCAGCCTCCTTTTCCTCATCCATCACCATCAACACCACTTGCTGCTCCTCCTCTTCCTCCTCCTCCTCTTCCTTGTCCAAAACCAGTGGCGACCTGAAGCCCCGCTCTGCTTCGGACGCAGGCATCCGCGGCACTCCCAAGGTCAGGGCAAAGAAGGATGCTGATGCGAACGCTGGGCTGACCTCCTGTCCCCGGGCCAAGCCATCGGTCCGGCCCAAGCCATTCCTAAACCGAGCAGAGTCGCAGAGCCAAGAGAAGATGGACATCAGCACTTTACGGCGCCAGCTGAGACCCACAGGCCAGCTCCGTGGAGGGCTCAAGGGCTCCAAGAGTGAGGATTCGGAGCTGCCCCCGCAGACGGCCTCCGAGGCTCCCAGTGAGGGGTCTAGGAGAAGCTCATCCGACCTCATCACCCTCCCAGCCACCACTCCCCCATGTCCCACCAAGAAGGAATGGGAAGGGCCAGCCACCTCGTACATGACATGCAGCGCCTACCAGAAGGTCCAGGACTCGGAGATCAGCTTCCCCGCGGGCGTGGAGGTGCAGGTGCTGGAGAAGCAGGAGAGCGGGTGGTGGTATGTGAGGTTTGGGGAGCTGGAGGGCTGGGCCCCTTCCCACTATTTGGTGCTGGATGAGAACGAGCAACCTGACCCCTCTGGCAAAGAGCTGGACACAGTGCCCGCCAAGGGCAGGCAGAACGAAGGCAAATCAGACAGCCTGGAGAAGATCGAGAGGCGCGTCCAAGCACTGAACACCGTCAACCAGAGCAAGAAGGCCACGCCCCCCATCCCCTCCAAACCTCCCGGGGGCTTCGGCAAGACCTCAGGCACTCCAGCGGTGAAGATGAGGAACGGAGTGCGGCAGGTGGCGGTCAGGCCCCAGTCGGTGTTTGTGTCCCCGCCACCCAAGGACAACAACCTGTCCTGCGCCCTGCGGAGGAATGAGTCACTCACGGCCACTGATGGCCTCCGAGGCGTCCGACGGAACTCCTCCTTTAGCACTGCTCGCTCCGCTGCCGCCGAGGCCAAGGGCCGCCTGGCCGAACGGGCTGCCAGCCAGGGTTCAGACTCACCCCTACTGCCCGCCCAGCGCAACAGCATACCCGTGTCCCCTGTGCGCCCCAAGCCCATCGAGAAGTCTCAGTTCATCCACAATAACCTCAAAGATGTGTACGTCTCTATCGCAGACTACGAGGGGGATGAGGAGACAGCAGGCTTCCAGGAGGGGGTGTCCATGGAGGTTCTGGAGAGGAACCCTAATGGCTGGTGGTACTGCCAGATCCTGGATGGTGTGAAGCCCTTCAAAGGCTGGGTGCCTTCCAACTACCTTGAGAAAAAGAACTAGCAGAGGGCCTGGGCTCTTCCAGCCTCAGTGTGCCTCTCTGGCCGCCCACTGGATGAGCGGTGAGACGAACAAAAGGGAAAGGAAAAAATGGGGGTGGGGGGTGGGGGGTGGACAACATTCAACACTGCAGAATGGGTGACCTCAAAGATGCCCCCTGTCCAAGCCATCCCACAGCTGGAAGGTAGGGGATGGGGGTGCCCACACTGAGTGAGGAAGGGAATGGACCAGGGAGTCCCAGGCCTGGGACCCAGAGCCAAGAAAGCTGAGATATCCTGTGCACCATAGGGACTTCACCAATGGATTACATGCCATCTGGGACAGGCCATGTGGGAGACCCCAGTTGTGCCTTTGCTACAGATCTGGAAAAGACAAGGTCATGGGGGCCTCCAGTGTCCTGCCCCTGCTTGGCCCAGTTTTGATTGCTGGCATCTTGCCACCCCAGGTATCCCTGGTATTGTCCTAAGCTGTATTTGTGAATTGTGCTGGTTTCCTGGGCATTGCCACGCCTACCACAGGTGGGTACATTAGAAGCCACCACTGGCTTTCAGGCTTGGGGGTGTCTTCTGAGCTCAAGCCTGCTTCTGGGCCAGGCCATTGTCACTGTTAGTTGAAGAAAAAGCAGTTCCCAGGTGCCAGCAAAGACCATCTTTCATAACTGTCACTGTCTTGGCCTTGAGAAGAGAGCCCGCTCTCCGTGGGGCACCCCATGGAGGACACAGTACCAGAGTTTACAGAGAGGGTGGGCGAAGCCACCGGTCTCTTCCTAATCTGCACAGACTATTTTGGGTATTTCTGGGCGGGCAGTTCCTTTGCATGTTTCGGGAGAGGTTTGTTGATTTGGGGCTTATATGTCAGGCCTTTGGTTTGCGTCTTATTTTAGGGGTTGTTTGGGGGCCTGGGTGGTCGGCCTCACATGGGAAGGGGATGGGTAGTGGATGGGGTTTCTGTTGTATCTTGTGGGCGGGTGATTTTGCTTTTGTTTTTGTTTCACATTCTTCCCCCTCCACAAGCCAAAGTCGTTTCATTTGGTTTCCACTGTGTGGACTGTGCTGGAGCTTGGCGCCTGCCAGAAAAATTTGGGGCTAGGCAAGCCCCAGGTTGCAGACATGGTGAAGCAGAGAAACTGTTCTTCTGGTTCCTGCACAACCTCAGAGGGGCAAAAACCCTCCCCAGGAAGGAGGAGGGTGTTCAGGAGCCAGACTTTTGGAGAGAAGGCAGCTCCCAGCCTGCTGGGTGACCGCCATTCTGCGTGTGTTCCCCAGCTGGGCAGGGCTGGAAGCCTTACGTATGAAGCATGGAGAAGCAGCCATTGTCCCCACTATGGGCAGAGGGGGGACCCGGCTGGCCCCTTGGGTCAGACTGGAGCCAACACCGCCAGCCACCCCCTCTGGCCTGCTGGCAATGCCACAGGTGCCCAAGAAGATGGAGGATCCCTGTGCCAGGAGCCAACCTGGTCTTCCCGAGGGTCAGTGCCCCAGTGAAGACAGAAGCGAGAGAATAAAGTTCCCTGTAGGTCCTCTGTCACCTTTGGGTTGTGTTTTTCAATTGTTGACATTTCAGAGGGGACCCTCCAGAAGCCCAGCCGGCTTCCCCCAAGGACTCCCCCTTCGCTGGGAGTGGATTTCCACACGTGCCTTTGATTTCGGACAGATTGGGCCTCACAGCCACCGATTCAGCTGCCAGGGTCCCTGGACTGGGGGTTGGTGTTTTCTATAGAGGAGGAAAGGCCCTCCCTCACCCTGCTCCCCACCCAGGCAGGGCAGCATGGGACCCAGTGTCTCAGTGCCTTCAAAACCCACCCCCACCCCTACCCTACCCCACCACACCCCATCCCAGAGGCCTTGCCTGGGCAACCCTAAGCCCCTGTCCCTCGCCATACACTGATGCCTGGCAGCTAGAGCAAATGGCTCGTGTTCTTTGTCGAAGGCCTGTGGTGAGATTGTTTTGTTTCCTTTTGTTTTGTGAGTTTGTTTAAAATTGAAATTAGTTATTTTCTTCTGCTGGACAGTATTAAATAGAGCAGGATGTTGAGTTAATCTGCTAGATTGCAGTACTAATGGTAGTGGTTTAGTGTCTTCATGTTAATATTATTTGTACTTATTTGAACAATAATGATAAAGAAGTGGTTCATTATTTTTTAATTAATGCACTTTAAATAAGGTAGAATGGAAAAAACCCAGAGAGCAAAGTGCATTACTTAAAGATGCAGTATATACTTTTCTCATTTTTAAACAGCACATATTTATTAAGAGAAAAAAAGTAATTTATGACTATTTAAAATAAAATTTAAAAGTAGAGTGACTGTCAGGTAAAGAACCTTCAATGTAGCTATCTTCCAGGGGGAGGGCCCTGCAGCCTCGCTCCTCAGATGTCTGCACTGAGCCAGTTCAGTCACTAGTGCGCCAGCCAGGCCAGGAGGGAGTGCAGAGCATGTCTGCCAAGCACAGAGCATCTCAGTTGGACTGGACCACAGTGCTCCCGAGAGCCTGCCTTTCCTGCCCTTCCCCACCACCTGCACTGCCCCCCACATTCTCCCAGCCCCCCCCAAGGACCCCCTCTCCTTGACCCCCAGTGCTGTAAGTAATAGAGTCATTAAAATGCAGGACTGAAAGAGACCTCAGAGGTCTCTATCCCATCCCTTCCTGTTACTGCGGCCCAAGGACAGGAAACAACTTTTCCAAAATCCCACAGCTAGTTAATGACAGATCTCCCCACTACATTAATCCCGTGCTCCTCCTCACTGCCATTATAGTTTATTGTGTGGTCATGTTTACATTGTGACATCCAGCCCCAAGGATGGCTGGGAGTTGCTCAGGCATCCAGGAAAAGTGGGGAATGCTGCCATCTGGTGACAGCATGTAGATTTGGGCAGTGAACAGGGATTGCCATGCCCCAGTCTTCGCACCTCGCCCCCTCACCCCCTAACTCACAGCACAAACCCTGCAAACCCAAAGAGAATATTAATACTTGAAGCAAGAAGGGTGCATGCCAGTCCTTCTCCGACATGGCCAGGGGGTACCAGGCCTTGTGCGCCTGGCCTCCTAGCCCTAGCCAGGGCGAGAGGGCCTTTCCCTTGAGCTACTGAGCTGCTTTGTGATGCTGAAGGATACTGCCGGCAGCAGGCAGAGGAGGGAGGGGGCCTAGGGCTCTGACCCATCTGGAGGAAAACCAGATCGGACTAAAAAAGGAAAAAGAAAAACAAAATCTCCGCAGTGTCCAAACCTAGTTTCCCATGAGTTGCGACTGAAAATGTGAAACGACACTGTATTGCTGTATACTGCAACTTTAACCATAATGAGCCCTTCTGAGGTCATTATTGAGGTTCATATAATGCCCGAAGATGCAGCATTTGGTGCTTTGTTTTCCTTTCCGTTTCAAGACCTTTTTCTTTTATTGCAAGGGGAAAAAAATGTCATCTCCCCCCACCTCATCCCTCTTTGTGACAGCAGACCTGGCTGTGTTGCCCCTCTCCTCCTCACTATTCTCACCAGGCCATGGGACTTTGGGGGCAGTGAGAGAGAGCTGGAAAGGGGCAACCCTGAGCAGCAGGTGTGCCCCATGCCCTGTGGGTTTCCCCTATGTCCAATGACTGTAGACGGGCTGTCTTGCCAGGCCTCAGCCCCGTCTACCCTAAGCCTGGCCCCAAAGGTTTCTCTTTCTTCCTCCTTGATTTTCCATCTTGACGAAGGCATTATATAGAATCATTTTAATCACTTTCAGATGTTAGAGCAGCGTATTTTACAGGCATTTATATCCATTGCTTTCCTCAGCAAGGCATGTTACTACTTTTATCATCTAAGGAAAAAAGACAAGGGAATTCCAGTCAGGCATTATTTTCCTATTACTAGTGTTTGCAGAATAGGTGTAGGACTATTTAAGTTTAGACCTTGGTTTGGTAGTTCTTGTTTTTAATAAGGGGAAAAAGATAAAATAACCCCTATTTTTCCTGTTATTGTATTTAACTAATATATTATTTCTTTAAGGTTACTCACTTCCCCTACCCCTCCAAATACCTTGCATTCTCAATCAAAAATGGAAACAATCTGAGAGACAGGAAAAGTGCAATATTACCAAGATGGATGCCAGGGCTCATT
Source organism: Homo sapiens (assembly GCF_000001405.40). Taxonomy (NCBI): domain Eukaryota; kingdom Metazoa; phylum Chordata; class Mammalia; order Primates; family Hominidae; genus Homo; species Homo sapiens. The sequence continues at coordinate 103,597,721 of NC_000010.11, read as the reverse complement.
GGGGACAATGGAGGGAATACCAGTGGCGCTCAGAGAGCAAGAGGCAGGGAGCGGGGTGCTGAAGGAATCCTAGCTGTGGAACAGGTGGGTGGGTTGGTGGAGTTTGATCTTGTGGCGTTCTCCTCTCCCCCTTCTTTGGGAAGATGATAGGGGTCCCTGCCAGATCCACCCAGAAGAAAGGGATTCAGGCATGGGGCCCTTGACCTCTAGGCCCCAGTCCCTGGAGCAGAGGCAGGCCCTCGGGAGCTGTTCCTTGTTTTGATTTCTGTTGTGGTGCAGCCAGCTGCTCAGAGAGACCTGGCCTAAAAATGACTCCCAGCAGCCCTCTCTCACCCCAGTGTCCTGATATTTGGGCTGTGATCCTTCTGGTGTATGTTTGAATCTTTCTAAAACTGGGTGCCCTCAGTTCAGTTTCTAGGCAGGAAGCCTAGAAGTCACCAGATCTTTTTGGGGGATGTGAGAACCTTGAGCCGCGCACACCCTGGTGAGACACCAATTCCCACAAGCCTGCAGCAGGGCCTGGGGCTGAGCCTGGGCTGCCCATTCATCTCAGCGACTTCAGCCTGAGAAGTGAGCCCTGCCTGGGCTCCACACCCAGAGAGTCCATACAAATTCTGCTCCGGGAAGAGTCGGGGGGTCTATTCAAGTTTCTCTGCAGACAAAACTTCCCACAACAGGTACCAATCTGGCCTCCTTCCTCAGCACCGGTAGAGAAAGCAACAGAATGGGAAGTTTCCTCTGGGTTGGAGCCTCAGAGCTCTGCCCCTCAAGGTGACAGGGACGTCCCTGTGGCTTGTTCCCTCCACCTCCAGTACTGTATGCTTGCTACTTCAACCCCCTATTTGGTGAATTTCTGCACAGACACAGATCTCTGTGCCTGGAATGGGACTGTGCCCTGTGCGGGTCTCTCCCTTGGCGTATATCCATCTAGATATTTAGTCTTTGAGAATCTCAAAGCAGAGCTCTCTGGGAAGAGAACTGTCCACATTGCTAAATAATTAAGATTCCCTCACTTTTTTGAGGGCCATGTGTTGTGAGAGAGAGAGAGAGAGAGAGAGTGTGTGTGTGTGTGTGTGTGTGTGTGTGTCTGTGTATGCAAGTGTTGGTAACTTCCCACTTGAACTAAATAACATGGGGTTAGAGAAAAAAAAATACCAGGCAAGCTGTCTCCATTGAACAAGTCCTTGGCAATGGGCAGGTCCCAAGGGACTCACAGCTTCTGGCAGCAAGTGTGTCATTCACACACATCATTCTGGCTGGAGAGTGCAATGTGTCATTTTTTTTTCTTTTTGTAATTATTTTATTAAGTATTTAGTTGGAAATTTCACACTGGCATTAACAGGTCTAGCATAAGTGGCCTAGGCAGTCATCCCAGGCTCCAAAATGAAGATGTGCAAAAGAGATGCCACTGGGAATAGAAACACTGAGTTGGTTCAGTTAGGTCATCCCCTGCAGACGTGTCATCGAGCAGGCTGACTCCCACCCCTCAGCCATGCCATGGGTATGAGAAGCCCCTTATAATGAAAGCTGCCAGCCCTTTCGTCCTTGTTTCAGAGGGTGGGTCAGGTGGTTGGGGTGAGAACTTGCTCACGGTGCACCCAACAAGACCTGCAGGTGCATATAAGTTTAGTCCCAACTGCAGGGCCAGACCAAACACTTCCTGGGAAGTGTGTGGAGGGCTGTGCTAGACCTTCCTGAGTTTCTGGCTAAATCATCAGCCCTGTTTGGTGCAGTCTCATGTCTCTGTGGTTCCCAAGCTGCATGATCAGAGCCAGTGAGAAGACAGGATCAGTGACCCACAGCTTTGGGGAAAAACAGCCCCACTGTTAACTTCCCTCCTGCAAACCTGGGTCCCCAGGCCATAAGGTGGGCACACTGGTGCTTACAGACTGGGTGGAGAGCCCTACCTTCCAAGGTCTTGATCCCAGCCTGCCTATAAGGTTGGGATTAGCATGCAATCCCCCTTCCCCAATCCTGTCTTTTTAAAATCTCAAGTTTGCACTTAACCTTGACAACAGCACCCTCTCCTACTCCAGTCCTAGAACTCAGTGGCCTTAGAGAATGGGGTCCCCTGCACTGAAGGTCCCCGCCTTGCTCCCAGTTCCATCCTGGCCAATAGGCTGCGCCTCAAGAGGTGAAAGAGAAAAAAGGGAGGGAGGGAGGAAGAATTATTTAGAACAAAAGGATGGCTCGAGCACGTTAGAGGCAAGTGAGAGGCACGTTGGTGAGAAGAGCATGTGCATGTTTGGGGTAGCTGGGGCCTACTGTCCCTTCATTAGGGAAGGAGGCTTCCAGAAGCGGATGTCTTCTAGAAAGAAAAATTGTGTGAAGGCTGAAAAGGGGCTTGGAGTTTTGTCTTTGTTGATTAGAAAGAAGGAAGAAGTCAGCTCTGAGTGTTTCAGGAAGAAGAGAGCAGGTAGAAAGGGAATTTAGTGATTTAACACCCAAGGGTCCAGCCATAGCAGGTTGGAAAATCCTCCAAATTTGGCCACAGAAACTGGCTAGGAAAAAACTGCCACTCATTGGGCCACACGCTGGGTCCCCATCAGTTCTCAATGAATGGTCATTGATTTACTTAGCAGAGAGAAGTCACCAGCCACAAACCAATCTTTGAGTTTGCAGGCCCTGATTCCAGAATATATGCATCCAGCTCCCGGGTTCTCAGCTGGTTTTGCCCACTTCCCTTTGACTGTCCAATCCAAAGCCAGTCTCTCAAGTTGTATGGCTCAAAGAGCAGTGACCACAATGGGTCATACAGTAGGGACCCACCTCCACAAATTAGAACCAGAGTTCAGACTCCATTGGGCACATCTGGGAGGAAGGCAACCTCCTTTGTCGTCTTGTTGGTACCAGTCATTCTCAAGTATCTCTGACACCTGTGGTGGTTCAGTTTGCTGAGCCTGCCACCTGGTATGAATTAGACTGGGTGTGATGAACATTCATCCATGGATATACCCTACCATTTTGCGTTGCCTTATAACCAAGGCACACTCCCCATAAGAGTTTACTGCAGAGAAAGAACAGCAAAACAGCCACCCTCCTTGAATTTACAACTCATTATCTGCAACAGGTTTTCTTTAAATCCAAGACACAGGATGGGAAATGGGTTTCCCCACCAGGTACTCAGAGGTCTGCAGGAAGTGACTCCCGGGCAAGGCAGACTTCAGTAATCCCTGAAGCGTGAGCATGTGGACTGCATGGCTGGGTGGGGACTGGTGGATGTCTCTGGAGCTCCAGAACCTTGGAGAATTCCTCATGGAATTCCCCTCCCAGCTCTTAGTGGGCTCTGTGGGGTCAGGAGGAGCCCTTCCTCCAGGTTTTCCTTCTTTCCTCCTCAGCAGAGAAACTGGAGAAAGGACATTAAACTCAGTGCAGTCGATTTGAGTGCTGAAATATTTCCAGAATCAATGGTGGTGCTAAACTATCTCCATGTTTCTAGCATTTTTAATAGTGGAGTTGGTTTGTTTTTAATCTCATCACAAAAATGCAGTGCCCTTGGGGAAGGGACCAGCCCCTTGGCCTGCCACTTTCCAGGTGTCCTTTATCACTTTGACGGGACTCTTTGGTCTGCAGAAAATGCTCTGTCTTGGCATGCTTCTAGACTGTAAGATTTGGGTTTTGTTTTGTATTTTATGTTTACATGCATCTTATATTTCCCTGAAAACTAAATAAAGTTTTGGGCCTTTTTAACCGAACGGAATCACCTCTTAATTCTCCCTGTCACCAAAAACACCCATCCAGCTGAACAGCCAATGTCCCATTATCCCAAATTGCAAAGTGGACTTCAGGATCCCAGGGCCCTCTGAAAGAAAGGACACTGGAGGGTGGGGGCAGGTAGGTAAGCTCTCGCTTTTTTTTTTTTTTTTAACAGGGTCTCACCCTGTCACCCAGGCTGGAGTGCAGTAGCATGATCATAGGTCACTGCAACCTCGACCTCCCTTACTCAAGCGATCCTCCCACCTCAGCCTCCTGAGTAGTTGGGACTACAGGCGCACCACCATGCCCAGATGATTTTTCTATTATTTGTAGAGACAGGTTCTTGCTATGTTGCCAAGGCTGGTCTCAAGCTCCTGGGCTCAAGCAATCCTCCTGCCTCAGCCTCCCAAAGTCTGGGATTACAGACATGAGCCAGCTCTCACTCTTGGTGAGAGCTGTGGTCAAGCTCCTCCAGCCTCTTCCCCACTTTTGGGAGGCTTTCTGGGCAGTGGCCAAGGCTTTGAAAGATGCAGATCTTGGGGCCAAGGACCCACATCCAGCAGGCCTAGCTGGCTCCTTAGCATGGCCCCCCGACCCTCTCCTGCTTTTGCTGGACCCCAGTAAGCAGGACCAGGTAACCCTGATGCAAGGAACAGGCCATGGCTGTGCAAGGCCATGCAGAGGCTGGGTAGCCTGAGCATCCTCCCTGGAACAGGATGGGCAGGCAGGTATCCCATGTGCCTCTGAGGCCTGGTGCTGCCAAATGAGCTCAATTCCAACACTGTGCCTAGACCTTGGGGCCAGTCTGGCTGCCTCCTCCCCACCACCCCTCTCCCCTCAGCCTTCCCCACCACTCGGATCACTTAGCGCATCTAGAACACTTCTCTAAAGGACTCTATCCAGAGGCTTCCCTTTTCTCCTCAGTGGCACCACCCATTTGGTATAGGCCTCTGCACCCACCAGTGGGAACACAGCTGAACTCCCTCCAGATGTGGGGGTCTGAGCCTGGGGAGAGGGGTGGAAGCCTTGTTCCTGGGGAGCTCAGAGCACAGCCCCTGATGACCTGAGTTGACCACTTGTCATCCTCCCATTAGCCCCCTAGGTGGCACTGCGCACCCCCCTACAAGCGGCAGATTTGAGCCCTGCTCAGCCTTAAGGAGAAGCCCCATCCCAGGGCACCTTCCCCACCACACCCTGCTCCTCACAGATGCAGTAGCCTCTCCCAATTTGCAAGGCTCACCTGGCATTCTAGACCCAAGTCACGCTCCAGCCCCCGACTCCAGGGAGTCTTCCCTGATTGCCCCAGCCCACCTTGAAGCCTCAGAGGCCTGCAATTACCCCTCAGGGAAGGGCCACAGCTCCTGATGACTCCCCTAGTATCCAGGACACCAGGCCTCCACACCCCAGCCTGCCCCCACATGTGCACGCACACGCTGGCCCTCCTTCCCCAGTGCTCTGCGCACAGCACCGCCCTCAGGCTGGTACGAAATCACTTTTATTCACAATCACAGCGACCCAAGTGCACAAGGGAAGCAGCAGCCACCCCTGCACTGACAGAGGTAATGAGATGATGGCTTCCTCTCCCCAACCCTCAGCCTCTGGGATCCCTGGCTGGGGGGCCCGCTAGCCAGCCCCCGCTCCCTCCCACACAGAAGGGGTCTCCCAGGGTCAGTGACTGGGTAGTGGAGACCCATAGTGGGACAGTGACTTCCCCACACACCCACTGCAAGGCCAGCACAAAGGCCCAGCCTGAGGTCCTGGCACACCACCCCCTGGCAGCCCTCACGGAAGAACTCCCGAGTCACACAGAAAGCCTGCCCCTCTCTCCCGAAACAACCATTTTATAGAAATGGAAGCTGGGCTCCAGGGGGCTACGACTCGGCCAGGGCCACACAGCTGGTCAGTGGCCAGGACTAAAACCCATGCCCTGCCTGCCACACAGAGGTGCAGTCTCTGATGGATGCAAAAAAAAACAAAAACAAAAAGCCATCTGAGGGGGCAGAGGGCTGGGAGGCTGGGAGAGCCCAGGCCAGGGCAGGCAGGGCTGAGAGGACCGACCTCAGCAGGTGGGGCGCTCCCTCCCCAGAACTTAGAGAACCTGGAGGTGTGAGAGGCAGCCCTTGCCTCCTCATCTTCCCTACGAACAGGCTCCCTGCCCCGCCATCACAAGGTCTCCCTGTCCTGTTCCTGGCCCACACTAGGAACACTGGCCCTCCTGGAAGTTTGACGTCCTTATGGAGGGGGGACCTCCTGGGCCACCTGAGGTACCTAAGCCAACCATGATAACCCAGCTCTGGCCCAGGAGGAAGGGTGCTCTATGGCTCTGGGTGACCATCAGCCCCAGGGCACTAAGGAGGCTTGGTTTGCCTCTCTGTAAAATAGACACTGTTTGCCAAAAGGCCTCCCAATTTGGCCCCTCCTTATGGAGTTCCAGTTCATGATTGGTAGGGCTGGGTATGAGCTTTGTGGCTGGAGTCAGGGGAAGATACTGCATTATGACTGCCTCAGCCACACCCTTTCCCAGGTACCCCACACACAAAGGCAGCATTTCTAGGGGCCCAGAGGATGGGAACTCACCTACAAACAAACAAACAAAAAAAACCCAAAACCACAAACCAAATAAATAAATTAATTAAACTGAGGAAAAAGGCTGGTCTTGGCCCAGGGAACCCACACCTCCCCACCCAGGGCCCTGGCCCATCCCAGGTGTGCCACAGGCTCTGACTATCAGCCTAGGCCCTGGACAGCACAAGATATGGGGAAAAGGTCAGAGAGGGTAGCTGCAAACCTGTTCTTAGGGACCCTGGCAGAAGACCAACCCTTCTCCCCAGCCCATACCGAAGGGCTACCCCTGGGCAATGGCATCCAGCGAGATGATTGGGGCAGGAAGGCTACAGCCAGGACAGGATCCTCCCCTTCTCAGCCAGGGGCCCAGAACCTGGAGCCCTCTGCAGCCTGTCCATGTGCCCATCAGGTAGTGGGAGAGAGACATGGCATGAGGCTGCAGCCTGCCCAGGACGGGAGGCAACCACCAGCCTCTCACCCCCAGCTGCCATGCCCAGTGGGCAGGGAACGAAGAAAGAGAAGGTAGGCATAGGTCAGAGAGGGAGACAGCAGCTCAGGAGCGGCCTGCCCAGGGCGGTTGTTGAGCAGGCTGTACACTGCTCAAGGGCAGTTGGCTGAGAGGGCAAATGAGCCTAAAATCCACTCCATGCTGCACTAGCCAGGCCACATGTCCTGGCTCAGGGCTGCAGCTGCCCAGAGGAAGGTACATGTTTTCTAATTCTCACAAAGGTGCCACATGGACTACAGACACCTCCTAGAAACCTGCCTCAGATGGGGAAAGATTAGGGCAGGCTGAGATCCCAATTTAGCCCTCAGCATGCAGAGAGGAGCTGGGTGCAGAGACGGGAGAGACAGGGAGAGTGCGGCCTCCTCTCCTCCCCTCCCTCTGCCCGGTGATTTGCCTCTGCCCCCTCCCTGCCTGATACCCCCCTCTCCCCAAACCTTCAAGGGCTTCAGTTTCCCATGTTTAATAGAGGAGGAAAAGTTTCCAAAATGAGGAAGAGAAGGGGCCCCACTGGCTTGTTCCTCAGCTGGGACTGGGCTGAAGCCCGAGAAGATGGGTATGCGGGATGGGCCACCGCAACGGGCTAGGAGCTGCGGTAGGTCTTGATGATGTCCTTGATGGGGCGGCGGCAGATGGGGCAGCAGGCGTGCAGAGCCTTCTTGAGGCGCAGGCCACAGGCGTAGCAGAGGCACATGTGGCCACATGTGTAGATGACCGTGTCCACCGCGTGTTCATAGCAAATGGTGCACTCATCGCTCCACTGGCCCAGACCTGGGGTCACTGGCGACTCGGGCAGGCTCACTGGCGAATTGGGGGCTGTCCCTGAGGACAAGGGGGCACCAGTCAGGAGGAGACATGGCCCAACCCGGCGCTGGATTCACGGGAAGAGAGCTCCCCGGCCTCTTGTGTCCCCCTCCATTTATCAGGATCTGCCTGTTCACCCTGACAACCCAACTTCCAGGGCACAAGGGAAGAGGCTGAGCTCTGAGCAGCCCCACTTCTGACCCACTCCAACCCCAGATGAGGGGACAGAGTGGCTAGGAGGCAGTGAGAGAAAAGAAGGCAAGATGGAGGAAGGAAAGGGTCCAGAATCTTTTAAGGTAGGTCCCTCCTGAGCTACCCTTTGGCACTGCCCAGCTAGGGGACAGGAGGGGATGACCCCAGAAATCACCCCCCAACAAGGGTTTACTGAGCCCAACTCCAGCTCCTCTCCACTCCCAGCCCCGGACACAAAGGCTGCATCCTTGCTGCAGTCCCACATGGTCACCAAGGAACAGAGGAGCCAGCCTACTTACCACCAGCAGAGCTACCCAGAGGGCCAGAGCTGCACGTGCTGAGCAAGGGGTCAGACAGGCGGCTGCCCAGGGCACTGGGCGAGGTTGGCGTGGAGGCAGGGGAGCAGGGGAGTGATGGGATACCCCGCTCGGCCAGGATAGTGGAGCCTGTGAAAGGGGAGGGAGGGAAGGACACACTAGCTGCCTGCCCAGGCCAAACTGGAGAAAGCTCTGTCCCTCACAGTGGGTTCCCAGGCCTGACCACACAGCCCAGCCACAGGGCCAAGAGCGGGATTTTGCAGGCTGGCGCGGGGATCATTTGATATTACCGCCGTGGAGTATAGCTAATCAGCTAAAGACTTTGACCCCAGACAGCACCCAGCCTGGCCTCTGTTCTCACCTATGAACTGGAGGGTCATATCCTGCTTTCTTCTTGTTAAAACAGCAGCTCCAAACTAGGCCCCTGCCTGGCACCTACCTCCGCCCCTCCCCATGTATGCTTTCTGCAAAGCTTCCTGGGCCGGAGCATGTATATTACCATCTCCCCTGCCCCGCAACCTCACCCTCCTGTTCGGAGCCCTGAGCTCTTCACCACTGTCCCCAGATATCACCCACCTTTTCTGCATGGCACCTCTGCAGTGCCTTCACTTTTTCCCACCTTGTTCTGATCATAGATTCTCTCCTCCCCTCCTTCCTCCTTCCGTCACTCACTTCCTCTCCTTTTTTTTTTTTTTTTTTTCAGACGGAGTCTCGCTGTCGCCAGGCTGGAGTGCAGTGGCACGACCTCGGCTCACTACAATCTCCACATCCCAGGTTCAAGAGATTCTCCTGCCTCAGCCTCCTGAGTAGTTGGGATCATAGGCACATGCCACCACACCCAGCTAATTTTTTAATATTTTTAATAGAGACGGGGTTTCACCATGTTGGCCAAGATGGTCTCCATCTCCTCACCTCGTGATCTGCCAGCCTCGGCTCCCAAAGTGCTGGGATTGCTGGGGTGAGCCGCTGCGCCCGGCCTTCCTCTCCTTTTTAACAATCCTCGCCTCCCTCTTTCCCTCCTTCCTTCTCTCCTCCCTTCAACAAATCCTTACCAAGGACCTACCAGGCATCAGGCCCCGTGCAGACAGAAAGCTAGAGACAGCCCCTGACTTCAAAGAGCTGGCTGTCCAGGGAGCCTCTGACAGCTGTCCTCAAACTCCTTCCTCTGGGCCGCCCTGACTACCCCCAGACCACATTACTCCCTCAAGTACACACACACATGCACTACAGACATACAACTACACAACCACAAAGGCTGGGGTAATATTTGTTCTGTGCCCAGGACTCCAGTTTTGTTTCTCCAGTGAAACCATGAGCTTTCTTTTTTTTTTTTTTTTGAGACGGAGTCTTGCTCTGTCGCCCAGGCTGGAGTGCAGTGGCGCAATCTCAGCTCACTGCAAGCTCCACCTCCCGGGTTCACACCATTCTCCTACCTCAGCCTCCTGAGTAGCTGGGACTACAGGCGCCTGCCACCAGGCCCAGCTAATTTTTTTTGTATTTTTAGTAGAAACGGGGTTTCATCATGTTAACCAGGGTGGTCTCGATCTCCTGACCTTGTGATCCACCCGCCTCAGCCTCCCAAAGTGCTGAGATTACAGGTGTGAGCCGCCGCGCCCAGCCCATGAGCTTTCTTAGAACAGGAAATAGTATTCACCTGTGACTCTCCTACAAATCCTAACATAATGCCCTGCACACACCTAAGTGCCCAATGAGATCTTTTTTATCTGTAGTTATTCTAATTCATTTAGTTGTGTTATTATTTCTAAGAATATTCAATAGATGCCCACAGGGTTTCTCTTACTGTGTTAATATTTTTCCAAGTTAATTATCATCTCCTTCTTTCAGGAATTCACAACTCCTATTTACTTTTCTTGCCTTGTTGCATTGGCCAGAATTTTCAGAACAACATCTGTAAGCCATCTCTATTATATTCCTGACTTTCATGAGAATATTTCTGATGTTTCACCAATAAGTATGGAACTGGCTGTATGTTTTGTGATACACATGAGTGAAGGAAATAACCTTCTATTTTTAGTATACTTAGGCTAGCCACAAAGCCAAGCATTCCTCTATAAGGTTAATAATGACCCTTCATACATTGCCACTGGTTAGTTATTCTTTTGAAGTCAGTCAGGATCTTCAAACACCAATTTGCTGGTTGTGATGCCCAATTTTCCAAACAGATCAGGAGCACTTTGTTGAATGTATATTGAATTCTGGGTGGTTCTTCTTCAACACCCACCTTGGCCTATCCTCCTCTTGGGAGAGAGAAATCTGGATTTTTTTAAGCCTCCCCTTTGCTCCAGTCTAGTAAACCTCTTTGGGCAACAGAAGCCTTACTGGAAAGCTGCTTAGCTATTATTAGATGGTGCTGAGGGAAGAAAGTACCTTACTCTTATGTAATTTCCTTGCCCTGAGGAGTAGTATATCCTGGTCAATGAAATCAGCTTGACTATTTTTTATTTTTTATTTTTTTGCATCCCAGCCTAATTTCTTTTTATTCCATCTTGAATTCTCACCCAAGCCTGATTCATCTTGCCTGCTTGCTTGATTTTTCTCTTTCTCTTTCTTTCTCTCTCTCTCTTTCTTTTCTTGAGATGGAATCTCACTGTTGCCCAAGCTGGAATGCAGTGCCACTATCTCAGGTCACTGCAGCCTCTGCCTCCCAGGTTCAAGTGATTCTCCTGCCTCAACCTCCCGAGTAGCTGGGCTTACAGGCGTGCACCACCACACCCAGCTAAATTTTTTTGTATTTTAGTAGAAATGGGGATTTGCCACATTGGCCAGGCTGGTCTTGAACTGCTGGCCTCAAGCAATACATCTGCCTCGGCCTCTCTAAGTGCTGGGATTACAGATGTGAGCCACCGCACCCAGGCTTTTCATTTCCTTTTTATTTATGTTTCACTCCATCTTCATTTGGTCTCTTTGCAGAGGTGGAAGTCCCCAATGTTTTTTATATGATTTCTCATGCTCTCACAAGCCAACAGCATTACATGCATTAACATATGTGTATTCAGTTACTCACATGTGCCTATACACAGTACGCCAATCTCATAGAGTAACTACCTCATGCTCACTCATCTACACACATTATCTTATCTATCAAGCCTCCTGGGCTGAGGTCTAGGCTAGGGGCTGTGAGGCCCAGGGGTCTCCAAACTTGGGTAAGCATACTTACTAAAGAAAAACAATTCAGATGTCCAGAACCTGTCCAAGGTCTACCGAATTAAAATCTCTGGAGGGGGGGTCCAAGAATCTGCACTTTAATAGGTCCTCCAGGTAAATCTAACGAAACCAGCTCAGTCTCACAGAGCTGGTTCAAAGACCGGCACTTGGAAAGCATGAATACCTGCTCACTCTGGGGTACAAAGGTACCAGGAGACACTTTGTGAAAAGATTTCCGGTCAAATTAGTATGGAAAAACTCTACACCAAAACCACCATCACCGTCTCCTTAATCAAAGTGCATATTAAAGGCTCTGAGAAGTCTTCCAATAAAGAATCTTCCTCCCTTCTTTTCTTAACTCAATGCACATCCCCCCAGTCCTTTCAAACCCTGTGCCCCCGAGAAAAGGCAGGCCCAGAACTCTGCAGCCCCACTTCCCCCAAGGCTGCCTGCTCAGGGATTCCCCCGAGTCCCCCAACCAGACACCACCCTGCACCACCTGACTACTGACATTCCAACCTTTTTTTCTCATTTGGACTCACAAACTTCCTTAAAGGTGAGGACCTTTATTTCCATTTTGGAGAAATGGTAACCGAGACTCAAAAAGTTAACTGCTGGGGGAAACCTTTTTTTTTTTTTTTTTTTGAGACGGAGTCTCACTCTGTCGCCCAGGCTGGAGTGCAGTGGCACGATCTTGGCTCACTGCAAGCTCCGCCTCCTGGGCTCAGCCATTCTCCTGCCTCAGCCTCCCGAGTAGCTGGGACTACAGGCGCCCACCACCATGCCCCGCTAATTGTTTGTATTTTTAGTAGAGACGGGGTTTCACCGTGTTAGCCAGGATGGTCTTGATCTCCTGACCTCATGATTCGCCCGCCTCGGCCTCCCAAAATGCTGAGATTACAGGCGTGAGCCACCGCACCTGGCCTTTTCCTCTCATTTTTGAGTGGTCAGTGGGTTGTGTGCTTCTGGACTGTTTATGTATCTGTGAGACTATGGGTTGATCTGATTCTGGGCATCAAACTCAATAATCCGCGCTTTCCCTCGCCTCACCCCCCAGGTGAGTCTCCCAGGTGACATATAAGGGCCACTGACAAGATGACCAAGTCCCGCCCAGAACTCACCTTAGGTGTCTGTGATTCCTTAGCAACACCATCATGAGCCTGGAGGAAGGGGAGCTCGCCCTTTGTCTCCTACCCGGATCGTCCCCGCCTCCAGGAAAGGCATACGCCCAGGCGCAGCTGCGGGCACTCACCGAGGATGCGGATCTGCGTGATGGTCCCGTGCAGGCCGAAGAGCATCCAAAGCGGCTGCGAGGCGTCCACGCACAGCTGCATGCCGGCGGCCGCGCCATTGTGGCTGAGGTGCAGCTCGCCGTCGGCGTTGACCACCAGGCCCAGGATGTCGCCGCTGTGCAGGGGCCCGGGCACGCGGCACACGGCCCAGAATTCCTTGCGGTCCACCAGGGCCTCAGGGCTGAAAGGCAGGTCGGCCGGCCGCAGCGTGCCGGGGTCGCACGTGGTGACGCCGAACGACAGCGCGCCGGGCCGCGCGCCACCCGAGCGCGTGACCTTGACGAAGATGGTCTCGGCCACGCGCACGGGCCGGCTGGTGAAGACGAGCGCGCGCTCGTCGCGCCCGTGCTCCACGCGCGCCACCGTCTGCTCGTCGAGGATGCGGACGTGCGCGCCGGCGCGCAGGGCGTGGAAACGCAGGTCGCCGTCGAGCTGCGCCGGCAGCGCGCGGCTGTGCTGCGAGTTGAGTGAGTTCTGCGGGATGGGGCAGCCGGCGGCCGGCGCGGCCTCGTCGCCGTCCGCGCCCGGCACGTTGAGGTCGCATAGGCTCACCGAGAGGCGCGCGTCGTCCGCCTCGCGCCGCAGCGACGGCCGCCGCAGGGCGGTGAAGGAGCGCGGCCGCAGACAGTCCGGGAGCACCAGCTCGCTATCTGCGCGGGAGACACGGGGCAGTGTCACGCAGGGCTCTCGGGAGGCGGCCCCGGCGCGCCCCGCTGTCCGGTCCCTACGCGCGCACCGTTACAATCCCGGATGGCTAATGGCGCACACGATGCTTGTGACATAAATTAGCGAACACAGTCAAGAAACGACTCTTGCAGGACATCTGTTTAAGCAGAGGAATAGGTGGGGGGAAGCACCGAAACTGAAACCATGTGGATGCTTCCAAATGCTCACAGGTGCTTGCTATATGCATATGTGTACTTCCTCATTTTCTACAGTAAACTTGTATTCCTCATAATTTAAAATTTTCAAAAATTTAACTCCTGGGCTCCTTCCGTCTTATCCCTAGCAGCTAGAACAGCGCCAAGCATTCTGTTGACAAACAGTAACCGTCTGTCGAGTGCACTGACGAAGGCCTAACATCCTGGAAAGCCAGGGAGCAACCACCCCCCAGCAAACACACAGACACCCTCTTTGCGTACATTGTCTCATCTAACCTTAACAATCACCTTTTGAGGCTACCATTGCCATGTCAGGACACAGGCTGAGAAGTAGATCTATCCAAGATACCCTTTTGAAAGTGGCTTAACAGGGAATCAAACTCATCGTTCTTTTTTAAATCATACAAGTTATACAAAATATAAAACGGTATTTTGTAGAAAATTCAGTTCAGCAAAAAGAAAAAACAATCGCCTATAAGCCCACCACCCAGAGAAAAGCATTTTTAATATTTGGATGTATGATCTTTTGGCCTTTTTAAAGGCTGTATTTTTGGGTTTTTTGTTTGTTTGGCTTTTTTTTTTTTTTTTTTTTTTTTTTTGAGACAGGATCTTGCTCTGTGGCCCAGGCTGGAGTGCAGTGGAGATATCTCAGCTTACAGCAACCTCCGCCTCCCAGGCTCAAGCCATCCTCACCTCAGCCTCCCAAGTAGCTGGGATGCACCACCGCGCCCAGCTAATTTTTGTATTTTTGGGGTAGAGACGGTATTTCGCCATGTTGCCCATCTGGTCTCCAACTCCTAGGCTCAAGCGATCCTCCTGCCTCAGTCTCCCAAAGTGCTACGATTAGAAGTGTGAGCCACCACACCCAGCTGGTTACTTTTTTTAGTGCAAAAATTGAGTCATGCTATATAAACATCACTTGTTTTTTACCTTTTATATGTACTACATCACTTTGAAAATGTGATGACATTGACCCTTTTCCCCAGAAAAATGAACATTCTCACTAAATTCTGTAGATAATTTCTCGGCATTCATGAACTACATGAAGCCATTCATGGGCAAGGACTCCAGGCTAAGAACCCTGGTAGCTTTTTTCAAAATTTTCAAAAATTTAACTCCTGGGCTCCTTCCATCTTATCCCCAGCATCTGAACACCTCTCCGTGCCAATAACTGTTTCCAACACCATATTCTTCTAATGGCTGTGTTATGTTCTGCTTTATGGAGTCCTATAACTTTCAATAAAAGTGATCACCATGTTCCATGAATTACCCCTGCAATTCATCCTTACGGCAGCCCGTGGAAGTGTTCCCGTTTTACAGATAAAGCTCAGCGGCGTTATGACAGCCGCCATGTGGCAGATCCAGGATTGAAAAAAAGGTCTGTCCAACTCCTAATGCCGCATTCTTCACTTCCAGACTCTCCTTGTTTATTGAAGCCTTTCTGCGTGAGTCAATCTCTCCAAATATGCCTGGTGCCACTGTAAGCCGCACCATGGACCGATCCCTTCCTTTGGGCCTTCTCCCTGAACCTCTCCAAGGGAGAATCTGTGCTGTCTCTTCAGGAACTGGGTTAAGGATGGCTGGGGTTCTCAGGTATGACAGCAAAGCTTGGGGGATTGGTCTGGTAGGGACAGCAGAGGCCAAAATTCAGTTCCAACTGAATGTAGACATGGTCACTAAACCTCCCTCTTTTCTTTCACCCTTTCACTGCCCCTTCCAGGAACTGTGTTGTCTGGCCCCCAGAAAGCTCTGGGTGTGGGCCCTTCCCCCCAAGCCTCCTGAAGCTCTGGAGAAGCCTCCTGGGGCCTGGCTGATTGGGGTTTCCTGGAATCGTGTTGGCGAGGAGGAGGGAGCCGGCCAGAAAATGTGATTATTCCAGGGAATTGACTCTGTGACAGTGATGGTGCATAGAGGCTGGGGGGCTGCAGAGAGGCAGAGGCAGAGGCCAGGAGGGCCTGTGCAGGGGGGAGGTAGGAGAGACAAATGGTGCAGAGTGGGGGAAAGCCAGTGGGCTGACCTGGACCCTGGGGAACAGTCCCTGCTCCCTCACCCCTCTGGGATTCCAGGCACTGACCCTTGGGAACTTCAGAGGGTGGGAGACAGAGAGGGGAAGGGGCAGTAACAGCAGGGAGAAGAGGAATCAGGTCGCTCAGAGATGTCCAGCCAGAGCCTCCAGGAACACAGCTGTCACAGGGCCCACACCACCCCCTCAGGACAATCAGTCCAGAGCTCCTGGGGCTGGGCAGACCCTCAGAACAGAGCTCTTAATGGGGCTGGATGCAAGCTATCCTGGTCTCTCTGCCCCTTCAGGAGTCCCCTTCTACTTAAACATGCACACTACCAGGTGCTCACTAACTTCCAGGCAACCTGTTCCATTGTGGAGTTAATCTGTCTTTAAAGAGTATTTCCTTCTTTTAAACCAAAATCTACCTCCCTGTATTTAACCCACTACCTCCTGAGCTGCCTATCAGCCCAGTACTGAAGACAATTCTCAGGGAATACTCAGAGTCCCCACACACCTTCCCACCTCTTAGATAATGAACAAAACCAGACTCAGTACTCTAGATGTGCACCAACCAGCTCAAGGCATAGTGTGGCCATCACCTCCCTTGGTATATATGCTATACTTCTAATAATGCAACCTAAAAGTACATTAGGTTTTTTTCAGTAACCAACATTCATATACTAGTAGGCAGGACAGGAGCACAGTTAAGTGCAATGAATTTGAAGTCATCAGTCTAGGTTCAAATCCTGGCCCTGCCATTTCCTGTATGACAGGGCTATATGACTGGACAAATAGCTGAACTTCTTGGGGCCTCTTCAGCAGTGAAATCAGCATCTACTGATTTACATAAAATCTGTATCTAATACTCCCCTTAGAAGAGACGCTGTGAGGATGAAAAGGAGTAAGGTACACAGGGCACCTAATAGGAGACCTGGCACAGTCATTAGGTTAATATAAGCCGTTGTTATTGGCATGTGAAATGCCACATGATTCAGAAGAAAGTGCATGGGCTTTGGGGTGATCCAGGTCTGGATCAGGCCTAGGTTTAAATGTCTGATCCAGCACTTGGCTGGTGGCTTTTGGGTAAGCAACCTTCCTCCCAGCCTCAAATTTCTCACCTAGAGAATAGGGGTAATAATACCTGCCCTGAGTTGTTGTTGGAAAGATCCGAGGTAAAGTGGGACCACCCCCAGCACCCAGAAGCTACCCGATAACTTCAGATATTAGTATTTGCTTGGCTTGAGCACAGTCTCAACTAAAAGTCAGGTACACCTGTCCTCAGACCATGGGCTTTTTGAACCTTAATGCAGGATTTCACATCAGTCATGATGGGTACCCAGGAAATACTCATTGAATGAAATCACCAAAGACCAAGAAGCAGCAGCTAAAATGTAGAGGTGAGAGGATAAAGAAGAAAGAAAGGAGAAACAGTGGAGGATGTACAAAGAGAAGGGGGTAGGAAGAGGATCCCTTTAGCCTTGCTTGAAATCTTGCTAGAGTTGGGAGGGGAGGGACAAAAGCTGCTGGGAAACAGCTAAAAACGGAACGAATCCCTAGGGCCAGTGCCCAGCCCAAGTCTGTCTTCTCTCCCTCTCCACCCCTCAGGGTCAGGAGCAGCTGCAGGCAGCCAGCAGCTCCAAAATAACCATCCCATCAGTGAGCCCAGCTGTGTCGAAGCCCTGAAATAGATGAAACTCGAGACACAGGAGCTGGTTAGAACACCCTCCGCAGAAGGGACGGCAAAGGTCACAGTTGAGTGAGCTGATACCAAGTTAGAGGTCAGGGCAGTGTTTGGGGCCCCAAGCCATGGGAGAACACCATGGGACCAACCTCGGCCCAAGACTGCACCACTTGATGGGTAAGGCTTAGAAAAACCAGATGGGCAACCTCTCACCCCAAGCAGTGGGGTGGCCCCACATTCGGAAGCAACAAGTTACATAATCGGTGCCGGGACACGTGCCCACCTGCTTTGGAGGTGTTTATGATGGGAACAGAGATGGCACAAGGCCATGAGGAGAAGCCGCTAAGCTGACTACCCTTGCATGTCCCATCATTCAGGAAAGAACCTGTCAGTCTTCAGCTCTTGCCTGTTCTGGTGCCCGGCAGTGGCTCTACCAACACCCTGGGCCAGAGCAAAAATAAGCAGACCCTGCCAGGGCAGGGAGGTCCCGGCCATGTGTTTCCCCTCCTCTAGGTGGTGCTGGGGGCCCTACTCACTGACCTACTGTGTGCCCAGCCCTGGGCAGGGAGTCTGGGAGAGGGAGGAGCCAGGAACTGGGCCCTGGGAGCCAAGAGTCAGTGGAAGGGGCAAGGCTTAAAGGCAGGACATGTTTTTTTTATTATTATTATTTTTTGATACGGGGTCTCGCTCTGTTCCCCAGGCTGGAGTGCAGTGGCACGATCTAGGCTCACTCACTGCATCCTCTGCCTCCCAGGTTCAAGCGATTCTTGTGCCTCAGCCTCCAAAGTGGCTGGGACTACAGGTGCACACCACCACGCCTGGCTAATTTTTGTATTTTTTGTAGAGACAGGGTTTCACTAGGTTTCCCAGGCTGGTTTCGAACTCCTCAGCTCAAGTGATCTGCTGGCCTCAGCCTCCCAAAGTGCTGAGATTACAGGTGTGAGCCACCATGCCTGCCCCGAAGTCAGGAAAATATTTGAATACAATTCAGTTACCAGAGTCTTAGTATCTAGGATTAGACAGGACTTTCGAGGAACTAAGGTACTAGGAAATCCATTTATCCCTGCCAATCTCTCAGCTAGAGGCTAGAATGGCCCTAGGGTCAGGAAGTTTACCATCTCCCAAGGCTACCTATTCCCCACCTTGGAATAACCATGACTTAGAAAAACTCTCCTGGTGGGAATCCATATGTATCCCAGATACCCTCCTTGGGGCTCCCTCTGAGTCTTCTCTCCTTTACAGTAAATAACCCCTTTAGGATCAAGATCCCCAACTAAGGCTGAAGTCCCCTTCCTGTTTCAGAGTGGGCTAGGGAAGGTATTCTGGACGACACAGGAGTTGACCTGAGCTGAAACACAGGAGGGTTTGGGTTGACAGGTGAGAAAACTGTTAGCAAACACCTGGTGAAGAGCAGGAGTGGGAGCGGGAGGAGACAGACTGAGGAGGGCCCCAGGGCTTGCTGTTGCCCAGAAAGCCACCCGGCCCTGCCATACGCTGCCAGCAGTGCAGGGTAACCAAGGCAGGACCTGGGCGTGGGGGACCTCAGGGCAGGCCGGGGCCTCCTTTGAGGCAGAGCTTGCCGTCAGCCTGAGAGTCCCATTTGTTGACGTTCTCACATCCGGAGCACTGGCTAATCTGTAACCACAGGTCAGCCTGCAGCCGCCTGGCTTGCTAGCAGGTATCTGCTGGCCCCTGTTTGGGAGGCGCTGCCAGCCCTTTACTGTCTCCACAAACATCCTCCTGCTGGTCCGCATCTGGCACGGGGCATGGGAGGGAGCCGGGAAGTGCGGGTGCCTGGCTTAGACAGGCAAGGGGGTTCTCCACCCCTCCCAGCACCCACCTCCACCCTCTCCCTTTAAACCCAACCATGGGAAATTTAGGAGAAACAAACATGCTTTCTGGGGCTCACAGAGGGAAGGGCAGAACATCCTAAAATCACTCACAGTCACAGACTTTAAGATTCAGAGAATCTTCAAGCCACGGGATCTCATAGATTTATAGAATCATCTGGTCTAGTGGGTCTCAAACTTTTTTAAAAAGCAGTGGAATCCTTTTGTCCAACAGAACCCCAAGTTCTGGCTGAAGTCTAGGAGGTGGACCTAGCACCTATCCCCTCACCCTCTCTCTGGCCTTCTCTGCAGCCTCCAAGACACCTCTGTGGAACCCCAGTGTTCCAAGGAACCCAGCTGGAGAAGCACAGATCTTGTTCCAAGGAGCAATTTCGATTGCATGGTTTTCCTTTCAGCCCGATACAGAGACCTGGGTTCAAGGCTCCCTCTTCTAGTTGAAGAGCTGGTTTGAGGGGTTGGCTTTTTTGGCCGTGGAGGGCGGTGTCTTTAAATTAGGTATTCCTTTTTAACCTAAAGACAAAAGCCCTTCTCATTTGTGTAAATGCCTTTCCACATCTGTGAGGTAAGTGGGGTGTGTATAATTATGCCCAAATAATGAGGAGGCTGAAGCACAGAGAAGCTGAGAACTGCCCAGAGCTAATGAGTGGCCAAGTCAAGCCTTGATTCAGTGGGTCTCCTGCATCTTAAATGAAGGCATTGTCCCCAATACTGCAAGGCCCGAGCTCCTCCCTCCACATACACCCCACCCTGAGCCCCACCACTCTCTCCAAGGCCCCAGTACAATCTCTTGGGCCCAAGAGATGCTAGGGGCAAACATGAGATTGCCTTTCTTGTAAGTTAAAAACAGTCCAATACTGGTGATTACATATGGTTCAACTTGATATATATTCATTGTGGTAGAAAACTAGAGTGCACAGGAATAACTGAACCAGACAAAGCCCTCGGGAGCCTCCGGGGAACTATAAGGCAGGCAGACCGACCTTCCCCACTGAATCTGGCATCCTGGGCGCTGCACTGCCCCTCTTCCTTGTACCAGCACTGCTGGGGCCCTGGTGGCCTATCTGTGCCCAACATGTGCAGTTGATCCTTGATGCCTTGAGCTCTTGTAAGCTCGACTCTGGAAGGCACAGGAGGGCCACTGTCCCCGCTCTTGTCGGGTATCCAGACCTAATAGGGAGATCAGATGGACTCACATCTAGAGAAGCTGGAAGGTAATGTAGCCCAAGCTCCTGGGTTCAAATCCCAGCTCCACCAACTGCCAGCTGTGTGACCTTGGGCAGGTTATCAGACCTCTCTCAGCCTCTGTTCCTTATCTACAAAATGGGCACAATAATACCTTCCTTTATATACAAAGAGGATATATGCTGGATCTTTAAAGAGCAGGACAATACATGACTCAAAGCTGCTTATACCACTTAGGTCTCCAAGTGCTTCCGATGGTCAGGAGGAGGAAGGGTCATTTTGAATGAGGGAGGTCTGGGAAAGCTTCCTAATGGAGGGGAGGGTTTGGTGTGGGGCACTGATATAGCTGGCAGAATTTGGGGTAAGCAGAAAGGAAGCACCAGAAAACCCTCTGAAGCAGAAGGAAAAGCAAGATTTTTTTCTTAATCAAAAAGAAATGAAAATCATCAAAGAGGAAGAAATCATGATCGGCAGCCTCAGCTGTTTCCCCCAGCCCAACAGCTGGCTCAGGCTCCTTAAACTAATATTTGCCTCTTGGCCCCTAGCAGCCACAGCTGAGGGTAAATATTGGTTTAGCCTGGGAAGCAGAAGGCCCAGATGGCAGTGTGGTCCTCGGCTGGGGATCACTCATGCTCAGCACCTCCAAGCTGAGGCACACCCTGGATAGGGGACCTGACCTAGGCCCCTATCTCCAGGGGGCCTGGAGAACCCACCCAGCAGCACATGACCCTTGGAAGCCCATCCTGAGAGTCTCCATACAGCTCTCTCCTCAGTAGGCAGGCGTGGGTCTTTTACCAAGACCTGGGAACCTGTGCATGGCAAGGGATGGAATAGAATGCATAAGCCCTCGGGAGCCCCCACCTCATCCCCTCCTAGAACCCTCCCGGACCCAGCCCCACCATTTAGATGTGTTGATAGCCTCCTCCCTCTGACCTTACTCCCAGATCAGCCTGAGAGATCTGGGTTCCAGGCCTGGCCTGGCTGATGAGCAGCTGGGAGAGTTTGGGCAGGCCTCTCCCCATCTCTGGGTCTCATACTTCTCCACTGTCAACCAGCCAGTCCCTCTTACTGAACAACTTGACAGCACAAAAGCTGCTGGAAGCTTTCAGCTCTCATGGCTCTCTCCCCTGTGATGCATACACATACCCACACCTGTGCACACCCCTCACCTCCACAAGTCACCCACTACCTTTCTACCTCATTCCTTCCCCTCCTGGATCTGCTCCCCTACTGACCGCCAATTCCCCACCTCTGCACCTGTGGACACCCCCCTGTCTGACCTAAATTGTTCCTCAACCAATCCATTCTTTTCACCTCACTTAGTTCCTGACTTAAAACTTGTCTCCTACAGGAAGTCCTCCTGGATTGCTCTCTAGCTGCACTCCCCTCCCACACATACACACAGTTTTACTCTTCAGGTCACACTTGATTGCAGAATTGAACTTGGGCCACCTTGCATCAGTTATATGATGTGTCCCCCAGGGAAAACATTATTCCAGGAGAGGGGCTGGGTTTTTGATTCTTCTGTCTCCCACCTGCCCCCGCTTAGTGCCTAGGCAGTGGTAGGCACCAAGGGATGCTCTGGAGCACCCTGTAAGTGGGCTCTTGGCCCGCCAGCCAAGTCCTGCTGGGACTCACAGCTGCTCTTCCTGAATTGACATTTCTGAGAGGAGCAAGGAGACCTTGAGATACTGGGATAGGAGCTTCTTTTTCCATGTATTAATCACCCCATAAAACCTGTGTTTATTTAGTTGCTGGCGGGTCCTTCTCCCTGGAGGAAGGAAGCTGTTATTCTTGACGATACCAGCCTGGGCTTGGGCCAGGGCGCCCCAAAGAAAGAGGTGATCTGCAGAACTCCAGCATAACAGGGAGGAGGGCCTGCTGGGGCTGTGGCATGGGCACCATAACAGGGAGGAGGGCCTGCTGGGGCCATGGCATGGGCACCATTGTGGGCTTGGATTCTGGCCAGGGCAGGGAGGACCGTCCACTGGGGAGAGACACCAGCCCCTGCCTCCACTCTGTCTGGGGACACAACCCATCCATGGCCTGACCTGCTTACCTACTATGTGCCAGCTACCCTGGGAAGCCTCTGGTCTAAGGAACAAACACAGAGCAGGTAAGATTGGGAGGGCTTTGACCACAGGCTTCAGACAAAGGGGGCAGGGGCAGGCCTGGCAGAAAATCCCCAAAGATCAGACATTGGTTTGGGGGACAGTCACCCCAGGAAAGACTGGCCCAGCCTCAGAGCCACCAAGATGGACAGCGACTTTCTTCAGAAGAGAGACAGCAGCGGGGAGAAGGACACCAAGACCAGGGAAAGCAAGAAGGGTGAGAGGATCTAGGTCAAGGGAGAGAGAAAAGCCCAGAAAGATACAGGTGCAGTAAAGGTGCAGGTGATGGAGAGAGGGAGGGGCGGGAAGTGGGGCGGAGAGGAAAGAGAAGGCAGGGAAGGAAGCTGATCCTGAGGCTACCTGGGGTAGAGGGGAGTATCTCAGAGGACAGGCAGTGAACGAAGGTGGAGAGATCACGCCCACCTCAGGAGATCTCTGGATGAATCTCTGTGTCTCCCTCTCTCTCTTTACCAAAAAAAAAAAAAATTCAGGAAGAATAAATGAAGGGATATCTCAATCTGCCAATTGAATTTAGGGGCCATAATCAGTGTTTGAAAATACCCAGGGATTATGGTGATTTACGGCTGGGACGGAATCCGCTGGGGCCTTAGCCTTATCGGGTGTGCAGAGAGGAGCCTGTCAGGAACTCCAAATGCAACTGAAAACACTGCGTGCAAACCCATTTATAGTCACAGGGGGGATGGGGCTGGACCAGGTCAGGCCACCTGGGCTCTGGCCCAGGATGGGCCCTTCAGATTATTCTCCAAGCCCTCCTCAGCCCCTGAGGGTGGGAAGCCCGTCTGTCGTGTTCCACTTCATTCCCATGTGCCAGGGCCCTCCTGGAACTTGTAGGCCCAGCCCAAGTCTTCTCTTCCAAGAAGCCCTCCTGGCCTCCATCCTCCCCCACTGACCTCAGCCTCCTCTGACTTCCTGCCTCCTTTTATGTTTAAACCAGCTGGAGGGTAATGGGAAAGGTGTTGCTTTTGGCATCAGAACACCCAGTTCAAGTCCCAGCTCTGCCACATCCCTACATGGGCAAGCCAGGCCTTGCGTGGGCCTCAGTTATCTCCCTGCCAAATGGGGATAAAAAACACTCCCTGTGGGGCCTGCTTCAGAGGGGTTAAATGAGATAACTGGATAGAAACCATCTCGGCAGATGGAAGGCATCCCATGACCACAGCGGTTAGTGATTTACTGGCTTCTCTTGGGTTGTGCCCTGAGCGCTTGCATCGTCTGGAGTGTTTGCTTCATCTCCCTAACTTCCCAATGAGCCTGGGTTATCTGTGGGCAGGGCTGGGTTGCCCTTGGCCCCCACCCACCTGCCGTTTTCTTCATCTAACAACGCATCTGCCCTCCCATTCGTCCCCCACCCTGCCCCTGACTACTCTCCCCTACCTACCCTGCAAATATTCCTCCACGTCCTCTGCAGGTCAGGCAGAAGCCTCCACTCTGGAGAGCAGCCCGACTGAGTGAGACGTGGATTCTTCCCCATCTTGCAGGGAAGTGGACGTATGGACGGACCAAGGCTCTGCGATGCTCAGTACTGAGAGAAGCACCAGCACCACTTGGTGGCACACAAAGATGGAGAGAAGAATTCCGCCCAGGAAGGTTTCAGGGAGGGAGGGGGCTTTGGGACTGGCCTTGAAGCCAGAGTGGGGACTGTGAGGGAGGCCACTTTTTGCTTAGGGAAAAGCAAGAATGTTGCCCCACTGCCCTCACCTGCCCACCCCTCAACAAGACTGTGGCTTTCTCAGGAGCAGAGACTTTGTCTTCCACCATGTGGTTAAGTCCTGGGCTAAGTCAAAGCCTTCACAACCATTATACAGGTGGGAAGCCTGAGGCTCAGGCAGAAGTGGTCAGGTTAGAGCTCAAACTCAAGCGCTGGGACTCCAGTGCCTTGAAGTGTGGGGCCCTGAGGATACCAGAGCAGCACCAAGGCATTCACTTGAGCCCTGAGTGAAGAACTGTCCTCCCCAGAATGGGTGGGGACAAATGACAGCCACTGACCCCCTACTGTGCATCAGCTGCTCCTCAAAGAACCCCGAGAAAGCATTTAGCCCCACGTTACAGATGAAGAAACTGAGGCCCCACAACTAGTACAGCGTGAGGCTAGGATCTGCCGGTCTCTGTAGCTCAGGGACATGAACGCTGCCCTTTCTGCCCCCGGCTGCAGGCACACCCCTTTTACAGAGAAAATGCAAAGCACCTGGGCTCCCTTCTTCAGTCGCTGAGACCCAGAACTGCCCAGTTCCAGGCTCTTAACATGTCATTGTGAGTGCAGAAACACTTTTGTTGAGGTGAAAAACAGAAAGTTCCCAAACTACTAGCTAATAAAAACAGCTTCCTGATGTTTGGAACTCAACAAACAGGCTTCTGACTCATTTCTTTGTTTTTACTATCACTGACTTTTTGCTCAAAAGTGTTGTGGACAGAAGAACTTCACTGTTTCTAGGCTCTGAAGTCAGAAAGGGAAAAAAAAAAAAGGTTTTCAACCACCTTCATGGCCTCTTTCTCTGCAGGGAGAGGCGGGTAGAGATGGGAGACGAAGGAAAAAGTGTTGCTTGAGCATATACTTGGTACCCGAGACTGTGCTGGGCACTTTACTCACAGCCTCCCTGATGGAACTTAATCTTCCCACCAACCCATTTCACAGCTGAGGAAGCTGAGGCTTGCATAGCCTCTGCCTGGAGACAAAGCCAGTTTGCCGATGGCCTGATTTGTACCCAGAGTCTATGTGTGCGCACATGCACTTGAGTGCCTGTGCACAAGGAGAGCCAGGTGGGAAGGATCCTGGGCTGGGAGTCAGGTGACCTGAGTTCTAGTCCTACCTTAACCACCAACTTACTGTGTGACCCTAGGAAGTCGGAGATTCTCCTGTCCTCTTCCGGCCCCAGTACTTGTGCCATTGCAGGGAAGCCTGGCCCCTGAGCATGCCAGGCTGCTTCCCGAGGCTCCTCCTCCTTGCTCTCTCACTGTCCTCAAAGAGCCTAACTTACGCTGGGGGCCAGGGAGCAGCCAAGAGTCTTAGCTCCCCCAGTGCCTTCTGCTCCTGGATCCTACCCTTTTATCCAACATCCCTGCAAAAGGCACTGGGGTGGGCTTGGAACCCCGTCTCCTGGAAGGCTGCAAAGCCCAGGGGCTGACAGCTGGCTTTAGAGCTGGAGACTCAGGGCTGGCTCTACCCCTCAACGGCCATGGCTCCTGGGACCATGATGTAATCTCCCTGGACTTGAGTTTCTGCCCAATGAAGGGGTCTCCCTCCCAGGGTTGCTATGAGAACAGGCAAGAATCAAGTGCCTTGCACATAGTAAGTGTTCTATGAACTGTGGTTGTGATGATTAATTTAATTACTTCCTGGGGTGGTGGTCTTTGAGGTCACCATTTATGATTGTGAAGGTTGCATACTGCCCAAGGCACCACCTGAGAGGCTGCAGAGAGCAGAAATCACACCCAGGTTCCACTGCAAAGCCACGGGCCTGGAGGAAAGGAGATCTCTGCAGTTCATGCCAAGGTTCCCAGGGCTGCCCCGGTTCCCCTTGGCACCAGTCAGAGAGGGGTCCCTACGCCTGATGGGATTGAACAGTGCCAGGCTGCAGTGCCCAGAGGCTGAGGGGTGTCCCCTGCACCAAGGGGCCGGAGGGGCAGGCACTCACCAAGCAGCTGGACGCCCCGCGTGAGGCCGTAGACGTCCACCAGGGCCCAGAGCGGGTCGGCCGTGCGGACCCCGCTGAAGAACAGCATAACAGCCGAGTCGTTGATGCGGTGGAAGACACGGCCCTTCTTGTCCACCCAGAATGCGATGATGTTGCCCTCATTGGCAAACTCCTCAGGCAGCGCCTTGGCCCAGAAGCCACTCTGGGACACCAGGTCGGGGCAGGCGTACTTGGGCAGCGAGTCAGGGTGGATGCGGGACGGGTCCTTGCTGGTGAAGCCCAGCCGCAGGGCCCCGCTCCAGCAGCACTGCTTCTTGGTGATCTGGGTGGCAGGGGGTGGCCTCAGCCCACCCTCTCCCACTTGGTCAATCAGACCAAGGGCAGCCTCCCTGCGGTGGACTCCCTGGAGCATCCCACAGCAGCCTGCCCACCATTCCAGCACAGTTCCCTCCCAGGAGCCCTCCCTGCTGGGAAGACAGCAAGGGGTTCCCACGGCCACCGCCCTCCCGGTTCCTTCCTTGTCACACAGGGAGGTTGAGAAAGGCATAAGGAAGAGGGAAGAGGGTCACCAGAGAGGAAAGGCAGGGGCAGGGTGTGGTGCTGGGGGTGGCAGCAGGCAGCGGCTGAGGGGCAGAGTCCAGAGGCCCAGGGGATGCCATGAGGGGAGCAGGAAGCAGGAGGCGGGGGCGGGGGCAGGGGGCAGGCCCACCTTCAGCCTGACTTGCTCGTAGATGAGGACCGGGCGGTTGCTGAAGGTGATGGCGTTGCAGAAGCTGGCCTGCCTCTTGACAGCCTTGTGGCTGAGGTCCATGAGGATCTGGGAGCCCTTGGTGTGCGGGTGGAAGAGCAGCGGCGTGGCTGGGAGCCCCCCGCTGGGCAGCACTGCCGGACAGTGCTTCTGCTTGTGGTGGCATCGGTGAGAAGTGACGGGGAAGGGGCCCCCGATAGAGTCTGCAAAGGAACAGGCCACGGTGTCAGAGAACTTGGCGGGTCCAAGAGCCAGACCAGAGTCCCCTAGGGAAGGGCAGAGGCTGGGCATGACCAGAAGTCACCCAGAGCCCAGTTCTTTCACCACTGCCGCCACCCCTTGCCACCATCCTTCTGCCACCATCTCTCACCATCTCCCACTCCACCATCTGCCACCATGCTCTACTGGTTCACTATCCACCACTTCTCACCTCGGCATTCTCCATCACCTCCCACCCCCACCCTCTCCCACCTCCTCTCCCCACTAGTATTTACCACCCTCTGCCTCTCACCACCTACCATGGTAGCACATCACCTTTACTACCACCCTCTACCACCACTCACTGGCACTCCACCATCCTTGGTTTGTTTATTTTATTCAATAAATATTTATGACATATCTGCTGAATACCAAGCTCTGTCCTGAGCACTGGAGACACAGACATGAAACATACATGGATCCTGTCCTCGGGGCTGTCACTAACTGGCTCTGTGACCTTGGGGAAGACAACACTTCCCTCTCTGGCACAATGGGCGGCCTCTACTCTGTGGCTCCAAGACAAGTCTCAGCAGCACAGGCAGCATTAATTAATACACAGCCTCAGGGGCTGGGGACTCTGGTGGGGCCCCCAAGATCCATGCCCAAGTAGAGCCCGCCCATCCTGTCATCGTGGGGAAACAGAACCGTGAAGAATGGAGAAGAGGGTGGAGCCGTAGAAAGCCACAAAATGTGACAGAGGCCTTCTGGGATGTTTCAAATTTTGGTCCTCCAAGGCAGGAATTTAATGATGCAAAGAGCTCGGCATTGGGCCTGCCTCCCCAGACCCTTTCACTCCCTAGAGGAGGAGGAGCAGCTTCCAGGAAGGAGATGGAAGACAGGAAGAAAAGGGAGAGGGAGAGGCCCAGCCCTCTGTGTTGGCTTTGGTCTGCATCCCTCTGTACCACTTTGCATCTCCAATCCCCGCTTCTCCAGAGGCCCCAGACAGCAGTCTCCGAAGCCCCAGGCCAGCCAGACACCCTGTGCATGAGCCCCCGGGTCTCTCTAGAGCAGCTTCCTGCCTGCCAGGCTCACTAGGAGAGGGTGGCATGAGGAGGAGTTCACCTTGTCCTCACCAAGGAGACAAGACGGGAATGGCTGGGCAGCGCAAGAGCTTTGGAAGCGGTCAGGCTATGAGGGCTGGAAATGCTCAGAAGAGCCCCAGACAGTCTGGAAAGGCTGCCTGGAAGAAGCTGAATGGCCTCTGGATAGTGCAGAGGAGGGGAAGCCATTTCAGGGAAGGGGACAGTTGGGGCAAAGGGCAGAGAGTGGCACTGGCTACAGGTGCCCTGCCTGGAAAAGATGCCCACTGGGCTCAGGCCAGCCTCAGACACAGCTTGACTCTTGGTTTCATAAAATATGTGCTGGTGAAAGGCTAGCTGTTGAGGTTCACATCTAGAGGTAGAAATGGAAGCATAAGAGAAAAATCACCCCTGCTGTGTGGGTGGCTAACACACCGTGGTGCATCTCCTCAACGGAATACTACTCGGCAGTAAAGCACAATGAACTACCGATATGAATAACAACATAGATGAATTTCAAAATAACGATGTGAGTGAAATTAGCCTGTTAAAAACAAAGCAATACAGGATTCATGGAGCAACTGCAGGGCTTCCATTCCCTTCAAAACCCTTCCTCTCCTTCCATTTTTTATCAAATTCTAGAAAGTGCAAATGAAGCTGTAGTGATCAAAAGCAGATAAGTGGCCCAGGCACCATGGCTCACGCCTGTAATCTCAGCACTTTGGGAGGCCAAAGAGGGTGGATTACCTGAGGTCAGGAGTTCGAGACCAGCCTGGGCAATATGGTGAAACCCCATCTCTACTAAAAATACAAAAATTAGCTGGGCGTGGTGGCAGGCACCTGTAGTCCCAGCTACTCGGGAGGCTGAGGCAGGAGAATCACTTGAACCCAGAAGGTGGAGGTTGCAGTGAGCCAAGATCGTTCCACTGCATTCCAGGCTGGGCGACAGAGCAAGACTCCGTCTCAAAACAAAAACAAAAACAAAAAACAAAACAAGACAAAAAAACAAAAACAGATAAGTGAATGCCTGCGATGGTGTGGGGAGAGAGGCAGGATTACCAAGGAGCACAAGGTGACATTTGGCAGTGTGGCTGTGTTCCTTATCTTTTTTTTTAAATGGTGGTTTTCAGTGGTCTGTGTGTTCCTTATCTTGATGTGGTAATGATTTCATGGGGGTACACTATGTCAAAACTCATCAAATTGGACACTTTAAACATGTGCAATTTAGTGTATGTCAATTACACCTCCACGAAGCAGTTTTTAAAACCCTGCTGAGCCCAGCTGCTGATGACAGCCTTTCCTTTGGGGTTCCCCCTCCCCAGCCTCTACTCAGAATCCACGGAGCAACTGCAGGGCCACCAATCCCTTCAAAATGCTTCCTCTTCTTCCCACCCATCCTGCTTGACGTCCTGGGGCCCTGGGTAACGGCACAGAAAACACTGACTCTGGGCAAATACAGTGGAGACAAAGGGGCCAGAGACCCAGCTCCTGGAAGGACATTCCCCAAGGCCTCCCTTCCAGAGAGGACCCCTGCCAATCCCAGTGTTGGGTAGGGGGTTGAGGGTGGGGCTGGGGCAGCACAGGCCCAGCACCCTGGCTGGCAGCACAACAGACAAAGGAGGTGGGGCCAGGAGGACTCTGGTCCAGGGGCACCATGTGCACCCAGGCATGTGGGCTCCAAAAGACACACTCACGGGCATACACGTACACCTGTGAGCATGCGAAAGTAATCCCAACCCTAGGCCGTTCATCCTCTCCCGTATCCCTGAGACCAGGAACCACACACTTACACACACACGTAGTCATGTACACATGGATGTGAAAAACAATACATACAAAACACATGCCTATCACACATGGGTCATATGCATCAAATAATAGTGGCAGTCATTTGCCAAGCTCTGAACTAGTTTTACATACACTTACTGGTTTCACTCTTACGGCAAACTTATTATCAACCAATTTACAGGTGACAAATATGTGCCTCAGGGAGATTAAGTGGCTTGCCCAGGGTCACAGAACCAGTAAGAAAGGGACGTAAGAGCCACACCCAGCAATCTGACTGCAAGGCCTTTGTTATTGGCCATTAAGCATTAAGAGGCCAGGTGCAGTGGCTCACACCTGTAATCCCAGCACTTTGGGAGGCCAAGGCAGGAGGATCACTTGAGACCTAGGAGTTGGAGACCGGCTTGGGGAACAAAAGCAAGACCTCATCTCTACAAAAAATTTAAAAATTAGCTGAATGTGGTGGTGCTTGCCTGTACTGAGTCCCAGTAGTCCCAGCTACTCAGGAGGCTGAGGCAGGAGGATCCTTGAGCCCAGGGGCTGAAAGCTGCAGTGAGTCATGATCATGCCACTTCATTCCAACCTGGGTGAGAGTGAGACCTTGTCTCAAAAAAATTAAAAGGCATTAATAGCCAAGAATTCATGGATTTGGTGTGCTGGATAAATTTTTAAAATGCAAATTAAAAAATACTCATAACCTATAAACGAAGAAAAAAAAAGGTTCCTTCAGGCTGGGCACAGTGGCTCACACCTGTAATCTCAGCACTTTGGGAGGCTGAGGCAGGCGGATCACTTGAGGTCAGGAGTTCGAGACCAGCCTGGCCAACACGGTGAAACCCTGTCTCTACTAAAAATACAAAAATTACCCGGGCAGGGTGGCACATACCTGTAATCCCAGCCACTTGGGAGGCTGAGGCACAAGGATTGCTTAAACCCAGGAGGCGGAGGGTTGCAGTGAGCCGAGACAGCACCACTGCACTCCAGCCTGGGCAACAGAGCAAGACTCTGTCTCAAACAAAAAAAAAAAAAAGAAAGAAAGAAAAGAAACAAAGTTTCCTTTATGTACCACCCAAAACCATCTCATGTAGCACACAGGGCAATACATGGCATTCTATTATGTTGTCTCTATGATACATATATGTATATGTATGCCACCAAAACACAGAAATGTAAACCATGTCCTCAGCCCTCCTACATTCCTGTTGGGACACGACACAACCTGGAAAGCCAGTGTTGAGAATGGTTTGGCAGTTTCTCATGAAGTGAAAAATGCCTAACATATGTCCCAGCATCACACTTCCAGGCATTTCCCCACAAGAAATGAAAACATGTCCACACAATGACCTGTACACAAACGTACAGCAGCTTTATTCATAATAACCCTGAACTAGAAACAACTCAAACGTCCTTCAGCTGGTGAGCAGTTAAAAATGTGGCAGCTCCATGCAATCACTACTCTGCAATAAAAAGGAACATAACCACTGATATACACTAAAAAAATGGCTCTCAAAAGTATGCTATGTGAAAGAAGCCAGATGCAAAGGGCTGTATGCTGTACGATTCCATCCGTATGATATTTTGGAAAAGGCAAAACTAGAGAGAGACAGAGATCAGTAGGTATCAGAGAAGGAGAGTAGGGGAGAGATTTGACTACAAAGAGGCAGGAAGGAAGTTTTTATGGCGATAGAAATGTTCCATATCTTAGCCTGGACAACACCGTGAGACCTCATCTCGTTGTACAGATAAAAATAAAAAATTAGCCAGGCATGGTGTCTCGCACCTGTAATCCCAGCTACTTGGGAGGCTGAAGCGCAAGGATGGCTTGAGCCCAGGAATTTGAGATTGCAGTGAGCTATGATAGCACCACTGCACTTCAGCCTGGGTGACAGAGCATGATTCTGTCTCTAAAAAAAAAAGAAAAGAAAGAAATAATGTTCCATATCTTGAGACTGGGGTAGTGGTTACACAACTTGTACATTGTAAAAACTCACAAAACTGTACACTCGAAAAGGACGAGTTTTACTATATACATATTATACCTCAATTTAAAAGCTACAACTGGCTGGGTGCGGTGGCTCAGGTCTGTAATCCCAGCACTTTGGGAGGCCAAGGCAGGCTGATCACATGAGCCCAGGAGTTCGAGACCAGCCTGGGCAACATGGCAAAACCCCTTCTCTACAAAAAAACTACAAAACTTAGCCAGACATGGTGGTGTACACCTGCAGTCCCAGCTGCTCAGGTGACTAAGGCGGGAGGATCACTTGAGCCTGGAAAGTTGCAGGGAGCCGTGAGAGCACCATTGCACTCTATCCTGGGCAATAGAGCAAGACCCTGTCTCAAACAAAAAATTAAATTTAAAAGTAAAATCTATAATACAACTAACAAGTCACATCTTCATTCAGACGGAGAGAAGAGAGGCTGCACTTTCTCACCACCACGGCACCCCCATCAGCTCACCCTGGGCAGTGCCTAGGATGTGGCCATCTACCAGAAGAGCCCCAGTGCTTAGTTGGGCCTGTCACCCTAACCCTTAAGTTCCTTCCACAGCTGTGAAACAGAACGGGGGTTCCCTGCCCCAGGTATGGAGAGAGAGCACTTCATAGCTGCAAAGCCCCACCCACTGATTACCGTGCCTGTCTTCTGCCAGGCCCGGCCCGGCCTGAGCAGCTGTCCTCAGCCCCTTCTGTCTGTACTCAGCTCGCTGTGTGATCATCACCCACTGAGCCACCTCTGGGGAGACCACTTGAAAAGCCTCTCTGGTGTGCTGGGCATCTCCTGCCATGGACTGTGGGCTCCTGTCACGTGGCAGGCCCCAGCTGCCCTCCTGACCTGCCCCTCCCTGTTCCTGGCTCCAGGGGAGCCCCTGAGCACCCCTCACCCCATCTACCAATCCTGCCTCAGGAATAAGCACCCCTGGGTTCTGTCCTCTCCTGTCCACCCTGCGGCTACAGCCCTAACTCAGGCCTCGCCACTCTTCTAAACCAGGGCTGGGGCCGCGATGCGCTGTGCCCAGCACTCCTCTAGGGGGCGCTGTTCTCATGGACTATGAGTGTCCAATGTGCAGCCTTCATCAGGGTGACCCCCCTCCTACCCCACTGCAGTGTCCCTGCTCCTGCTACCCCCTCCTCCATCCTGGCATTAAAATCTTGGAGGCAGGGAGTGGGGTGGCAAGCAGAAAGCAAAATGAGAATGAACTTTGGACATAGCTCTGATGCCAAGGGTCCAGAGGGGACAGCTGGAGGTGGGGCTTCCCCCCTACACTATGTAACAGGGTCCCTCCCAGCACTGGGACTATGACCCTTTAAGGTCCCTATTCTACGAATGAAGGAGTTGGATTCGGAATGGTTAAGCAACTCACTTGTGGTCACACAGCAGTTATGTGGCAGAACTGGGACTTGAACCCTGGTCTTCCAAAGCCATGTCTGGGGACCTTTACCCTACTCAGCCTGTGGTACTAGAGCTCCTTTTCCCCACGAGTCCAAGACAGCAGGCAATTCGGGGAAGGCTGTGTGCAGGAGGGGCTGGGCAGCCCAGGCTAGGGGAGCAGCTGCAGCAAAGTGCCTCAAAATGGGGGGGGCGTGTGGGCTGCACAACTGCTCTACAGAGGCACACACAACTGGATGGAGCCCCAGTTGTGCCACGTGGCTCTCAGCAGAGCTCCCAGGGAGGGCCCTCAAGTGACAGGTTTACAGGCTTCTTGGGAGCCCCAGTGGGGGCACCCTCCTCAGGCGAGGCTGCTGCTGACATGGTGGAAACTCCCCCGACAGCCCCATTCCTCCTGGGCATTTATGAGCTGCCAGACACAAGCCTGGCCAGCTCTCCGGGTGACCCTCAGCTGGCAGACCACATTCCTGCCTCTCAGCGGGGTCCCAGGGCAGACGCCTTGACACACATACCCTCCGGAGTGACCTCCCCATGGCCCCCACCAAGCTCTGCCCCAGAACCACTGGCAGAGACCCAGATGCCCTAGGCTGGGCTCAGCTGGGCTGCCAAGGAGAGATGGGGGGGAGCTCACCACCCCAGCCAAGAGCAGAGGCACTGATACTGATGACAGTGCCCAGCCTCTCATGGCTTCAAGGGCAGTGTCTTGATTTATGCCCCCAATGCCACTCTGGCACAGATCCTCTGAAGTTAGGTTTACACATTGAGTGAGGAGCCCAGATCTGAACCCAGGGCTGGCTGCCTCCAAACCTAGCAGCTCTGTCACTAACTGTAAGACCTTGGGAGCCTCACTTTCCTCATCTGTAAAATGGGGTCATGGCAGGCCTTCATGGGATTCTTGTGAGGATTAAAATAGATGGTGTTTGTAAAACTCAGTAGGTAGTTGCTATTATTATTATTATTACTATTTATATCATTCTGCTTTCCTATCCCCACACCTTTGCTCAAGCCATTCCCTCTGCCTCATCTGCGCCTCTCCAAACCCCACCCATCTTTCAAGGCCCAGCTGAAGCCCACTGCATCCAAGATCATCTTGTTCTGAATCTGTGGTCCTGAATACCAGTGCTGGCATCATCATCTTCATCCAAGAGACAGTCTCGTCTCACTTTCTGGGCGGTGGGGCGAGGCACAGAGAATGAGTATTGGAGGCAAGAGGCCGTGGGTTCAAACCCTGACCAGGCCACAGACTTGCTGTGTGACTTTGGACAAGTTGCTTCACCTCTCTGGACCTTGATTTATTTCTCTGTAAAATGAAGCTCATCATAGCTGCCCTGCCCACCTCTCTAGGCTGTAGTGAGGCCCCGGTAAGTTTATAGATGTGAAAGAATTTTGCAAACTTTAACACTTGATCGCAACATAAGGTCTTTTTTAAAAATATAAAAGCAAACATAACTACTGCAGGAAATGATCGGCTCATTTCAGTCCAATGGGAGACTAGGAACTTCAGTCTTATTTTACCCCAAACGTCCTAATCTCAGATTGCCAGGGTGGTCCTGATATGGACTCGTTTAACTGCATTAACTGAACAGGGCTCCCTCTGGGGGAAAGGATTTAGGAGAATGGTTGGAAAGCTGGGGATGCCTGACTCCTGGTGGGAGAAGGACAGGTGGGGATGGAACTTGGGGGACAGAGATGATTGTAAAACTGG
Organism: Homo sapiens; assembly: GCF_000001405.40. NCBI lineage: Eukaryota > Metazoa > Chordata > Mammalia > Primates > Hominidae > Homo > Homo sapiens. The sequence goes on along the minus strand of NC_000010.11, from coordinate 103,562,923 downwards.
GCAGAATTAAACTTCTTTGGGTTCCCTAAAGGGGCCTCCACCTCCCACACCTGTCTTTGATTTCCAGGCTTGGCCCAGGCCCATTTCTGTGCTGGGAACATTTCCTTCCTCCTTCCCACCTATATATCTGCCTTTCTCATGCATCCTTCGGACGTAGATTTTTCCCAGAAGTCTCTCTGACCCCCAGACTAGGTTAGGGGCCTTACTATGGACCTTTGAGGACCCCATCAGCCCCCTAACAGAGGACGCATCACCAAGCAGCCTTTCCCAATCCTGGTTCTTACACAAGATTAAGCCCAGATACCCCGAGGCACTTGTTGTATGCAATGCATTGACTTGTCTCTTCTGCATCCAGAATGATTTTGGTTCTATGCCATCCTCAGGAGAGTTGAGAAGTCACTCCCATCAGCTTCTGTGTTCTGCAGAGTAGCACTGCACTGGGAAAGGCTGCAAGGTTATTTGTGCCTGTCTTTCCCCCTGATGGACTGTGAGCCTCCCTAGGGCAGAGACCACTTTCTTTTTTTGTTTGTTTGTTTGCTTTGAGACGGAGTCTGGCTCGGTCACCCAGGGTGGAGAGTCGTGGCGTGATCTTGGCTCACTGCAACCTCCGCCTCCCAGGTTCAAGTGATTCTCCTGCCTCGGCCTCCTGAGTAGCTGGGATTACAGGCGCGAGCCACCACGCCTGGCTAATTTTTGTATTTTTAGTAGAGACGGGGTTTTACTATGTTGGTCAGGCTGGTCTCGAACTCCTGACCTCATGATCTGCCCGCCTAGGCCTCCCAAAATGCTGGGATTACAGGCGTAAGCCATGGTGCCCAGAGCCATTGTCTTTTTTACTACTGTATCCCTATAGCCTAGTTCACAGCATATAGCAGGTCCTCAATAAAAGTTACTGAATGAATTGCTAGTGTTTGATTCTTCTATCTACTGATGAATTGGCAGGAGTTCAGGCAGCACCCACTTCGTGCCTTGCCCTTTCTGGTGTCCGGTGGAGAAATTAGAAAAAGAAAGGAATAAAGGGAGCAGCTCCCTTCCCTGCCTAGCATGCCTGACTACAGCCCTGCCTGCTCAAGAACCTTCAATAGCTCCTCACTTGCCAGCAGTAGAAAAGAAGCAGATAAGGAAGGCCATGAGGGTTGATTCTTTCTTGTGTATCAAATGCTGCAGCATTTGCCCTTCATACACAACCTGATCACACCCTCCAATCCCTGCAAGGCAGGTGTCTATGGGAACAGCCTCTAAAATGGCCCCAACAATCCCTGCATCCACCTCTTGGCATTCAGGCCCTTGTGTGACCCCTTCCCCTTAAGCGTGGGTTGGGCCTAACAAGTAGCTTCGAATGAATAGAATACAGAGGAAGTGGCTGGTGCAGTGGCTCATGCCTGTAATCCCAGCACTTTGGGAGGCCAAGGTGGGCAGATCACCTGAGGTCAGGAGATCGAGACCAGCCTGGCCAACATGATAAAACCCCGTCTCTACTAAAAATACAAAAAAATTAGCCAGGTATGGTGGCGGGCACCTGTAATCCCAGCTACTTGGGAGGCTGAGGCAGGAGAATTGCTTGAATCCAGGAGGTGGAGGTTGCAGTGAGCTGAGATCACACCACTGCACTCTAGCCTGGGTGAGAAGAGTGAGACTCTGTCTCGAAAAAAAAAAAAAAAGGAATACAGAGGAAGTAATGGAATGTCACACCCAAGACTGGGTTATAAAAAGACTGTGGCTCCCATCTTGGTTACTCTCTTGCCTCTCCTGAATTGCTCCCTCGGGGGGAAGCCAGCTGCCACGGTGTGGGGCCACCCCATGGAGAAGCCCGTGTGGCAAGGGACCAAGGACTGCCCATAGCCACGTGAGTAAGCTTGGCAAGCCTTGCGAAGCAGCCACAGCCAACAATGTGATTGCAACCTCATGACAGACATGAAGCCGGAGGCACCTAGCTAAACAGTGCAGAGATTCCTGAGCCACAGAAACTGGGAGATCATTAAATGTTTGTTGTTTTAAGCTGCTAAGTTTTGGAATAATTTGTTAAGCAGCAATAGATGACTAAAACAGTATCAATAGTCCCATTTCACAGATAAGGAAACAGAGGCTCTGAGAGGCAATAACTTGCCCAAGGTCACATAGCTGGTAAGTGGCAGAGCTGGGCTCTGAACTCAGATCTGTCGCACTGGTGCAGAGGTTCCTCCACGGGCTCCAGCTAGCTAACTGGCATGCTCAGTCCCCTCTCTCCTCCTAAGTTAGTTTCTCCATGAACACCACAGCCCCTGTGCATGCCCAGGGTGGGGGCCATGTTAGCACCCTGGCACCTCCCACAGAGTTCCTGGCATGCGAACGGCAGGTCCTGCTGCTCCCTGGAAGATGAATGAACTCATCATGACAGGGTGGGTGAAAGAAAGTGGCAGGCAACGGTTAAGACTGGCACCTTCATAGTCAAGTTAATCCCCAACTGAGCCTCCTGCTCTCACTCACTCTGCAACATCCCCATCCTGACATTTCTAGCAGCCAGAGGTTATACAGCTGTGCCTCCCAATTCCTCACTGCTCTGGGAGAAGGACCAGTCCTCCTCCTCTCCCTCTTGTGTCCCACCTCAAGATTCCAGGAGGGGACTCCAAATGTTAATTCTTCAGGGCTCAGCTCCCAATCCCTGCCCCAGTCCTTCCAGCCCCCCAGGCCAGGCCTGGAGAATGAGGGGAAGTGCAGCCCAGTAACATCAGCACCCCTAGCTCCCCATATCAAATCCACAGTCATGCATGTGTACATGCGTGCACACACACAGATGGCACGTGTGCCTCATGGCAGACACAACCAATGTGCAGGGCTGGGGGACAGAGGCAGCAGGTGAGTGTGTATGTGTGTGTGCATGCGTGTATGTGTGTGTGCGTGTGTTTATGTGTGCACTTGTGTGTATGTGTGCATGTGTGCGTGCATTGTGTATATGTGTGCATGTGCATATGTGTATATATGTGCGTGCATGTACGTGTGTGTGCATGTGTGTAATATGTGTGTGCATGTGTGTGTTGTGTGTGTGCATGCATGTGTGTATGTGTGTGCGTATGTGTACATGTACATGTGTGTGTGTGCGCACATATGTGTGTGCATGCACTGGCAAGCACACACAGACCTAGAGGAGCCTCCACAAAAACCTTCATAAAAGCACACTCTGTGGAGTGCTTACTATGTACCAGGTGTACTGCCCTTAGCGTCCACTGGCTCACTTAATCCTTCCTACAACTCTATAAGGTAAAACTTACCCTTCCCAATTTACAGAAGTGGACGCTGAGATGCAGACAGATGAAGGTACTGACCCAAAGTCACACAGCCAGCAAGAGCAGAACAGGATTCAAACTCTCACCGAGAACACCTGCTCCGCCTTCCCTTCCTTTCCAAATACTGCCTGGCCTCACTGCCCAGCCCTGGCCTCACCTCCCTGATGGCTACCCCACCCACCCCTCAGGCCACCTTCAGCTCCAACTGCCCTGCCGTCCAGCAGGCAAGGGCCTCTGTCCACCCCACACTCTTCCCCGCTACCCACTGACCCAGCATCTGCTGGGAGCCACTGTGTGCCAGGCGCCAGGCTGAGGTAAGGGAATGCAGAGCTAGAGTGACCGGATGCCCACCTTCCTGGAGCCCACAGGCACGAGCCAGGTGTGGGGATGTGCACCTTCAAGCTCCGGAGCTCCCCTTGGTCTAAGCCCCCAGAGCTGCTGCCGGGAGATAGGTAGCTCCCTCTGCTAATCTTGGGTTTCACAAGGCCACTGGATGCCTTCTCCGCTGCTGCCTGCTTGAGGATTAAGGAACCCAAGAACGGTAAGTGGGGGACCGGCTGCAGAAGGAACAAGTCCTGGCTTCCCCACTGAGGCGCCAGCTGTGTGGCCTCAGTTAGCCATTTCCCTTTCCTGGCCACAGCATCTCCCTCTGTGACAGGAGGGGGTGGGAGCCAATGTCTCGGGTCCCTGTACGCCAGCATCCTCTGACACTCAGGCTTGTTAAATCCAGAGACTAACCTGAGGGTGACATGAATGTCTGGGTGCAGGTGCGTGTGTCACCCACACATCAGCCGTCAGCAAGGGGTCCCTTCCTTGCCCTGAGGGAGCATTGAAGGGAGGTGAAGGAGGAAGTGGGGGGAAAGGAAGAAGAGAGGACGGCAGAGGCGAGAGGAGGGGGACCTCCCAGTGTCACTGCTGCCTCCCTCTTCGCACTACCCTTCCCGCCCCTGTCAGCCTGCTCTCAAGACCAGGAGCAGCTCTGGAAACCTACCGAATGGAAGAGATCAAGCGTGTAACCGCTTAAACCATTTTCCAAATGGGAATTCATTTCCCCATGGGTCTCCTGCCAGGCTGGTCCCAGAGGAGCCCGACTCCTCACCACCAGCCCCACTACACACACACACACACACACACACACACACACACACACACACACAGGCATGGCACAGGCACAGAGTACCACAGATGTGGCTGCCCCCGCATGGAAACACAGGCCCGGCAACACACAGTCGCTTCAATCCACAGTTAGAGACACATCACACAGGTACACAGAGATCTAAAACACAGATACACATCTGTTGACATCAGAAGCTCAGAGAGCCAAAACACGTCCACAAACAAAACACACAATTAGATGACCCCCGACACACATACAGAGTCCTGGGTCCTCCTGTCACCCTCCCCTCACTCACTTTAACGCAGCAATCCAAAATGTTTGGCCCGAATCAAGCCGAAAGTCCAAGGCCCTAAAGAAAATACAATCAGCCAAGCGCGGTGGCTCACACCTGTAAACCCAGCACTTTGGGAGGCCGACACAGGTGGATCACGAGGTCAGGAATTCAAGACCAGCCTGACCAACATGGTGAAACCCCGTCTCTACTAAAAATACAAAAAATTAGCCGGGCATGGTGGTGGGTGCCTGTGATCCCAGCTACTCGGGAGGCTGAGGCAGAGAATTGCTTGAACTCAGGAGGCAGAGTTTGCAGTGAGCTGAGATCATGCCACTGCACTCCAATCTGGGTGGCAGAGAGAGACTACGTCTCAAAAAAAAAGAAAAGAAAAGAAAAGATAATACAATCAAGGACCATTTCAATGTGTCTTCAGGAGCCCAGCTACAGGCTACGGCACCCCTAGGAAGGAGCAAACCCCTGCGTCTCCCGCTGGCCCCAGCTCATTTCCCAGAAGAAGGTGAAACCAGAGCCGCTGGGGCAGCTAGGGCGTGTGTACAGGTGTGGGCACACATGGGCGTGGATGCATGAGGACGCATATGCAAGGGTTCTGATGGGGGTGGAGGTTGGCTGTGTGGACACAGGCAAACACTCCCTCTCCAGACCTTCCAACTCCTGTCCCCTCTGCTTGTGCAATGGCAAAGGCCCAGGGCCAGCTTAAGGGAGGCCCCGCCTGGGAGGGCGGTCCTGGCAAAAGGGTGGAGGTCAAGGCAGATGTGGCATTTGATGAGCGCTCACTGATGGCCACCTAGCCTGGATGCCCAATTCCTAGAGTTCTTAGAGCACCGCAAGTGATCCTCCTGCCCCCAGGGAAATGGGACAAATGAGAGGGAGGGAATATGACCTTGGGCCCAGGTTGCCTTTCCAAGCCCTCTTGATTTTCCCCATGTTGAGTTCTCTGCTCACATGATTCATGTAATCCTCACAATAATCTTGTTTTCTTTTTTTCTTGAGACGAGGTCTCACTATATTATCCAGGCTGGTCTCGAACTCCTGGGCTCAAGCAATCCTCCCACCTCAGCCTCCAAGGTGTCTGGGATTGCAGGCGTGAACCATCGGGCCTGGCCTGCACAGCAATCTTAGAAGGAGGGTGCTATTACTAGCCTCATTGACAGGTGAGAAAACTGAGGCTCGGGAAGACATTTGCCTTCCTTACAAAACATATCTACCCACTCCCAGAGCATGAGCTAAGGTGGTCTCACCCTCTAGGGAGCCTGTGCTCCAGGCAGCTGGAGGACAGTGTACTATGTCCTGAGTCTGCTCTGAGAGCCTCTCTGTCCTTCCCAGACCACAGGCTTGCCCAAGTCTGACTCCAGTGGAAAATGCCAGTCGGCTCCAGACCCTCTGCCAACAGGCCCCGCCGGGGCCAGCAAGCCCTGAGAAGAGCCCCCACCCCACAGACGGGCAAGGCCAGGCTCAGGTCAGCCCAATCCAACTCTCCGGCCAAGGCCCAGGCCACTGGCAGTGCCCCTGGCCTGGCTCCGGATTATGTGTCTTCCAGGGCCTTCCATCTGTCACTTAGCCCTCCAAACCCAGGACGGAATTCATTTCCTTTTAAGAGAGCCAATGATTTGCTTTTCCTACATCTTTCCCTGTCTTTTTTCTTTTTTAATTAGAAATTACTCTCCCAAAGTCCAGAGCCTGGAAGGGAGAAGCCACCTGGTCACCAGTTCCGGCTGCGGCTGCCCATGCGCTCCTGCCACCACCCTCCTTCCTTCCTGAGCCTCTCCCAGGCTCCTCAGTGCCCACTGGACTCGGCAGATGGACACTGTCCCACCTCCTAATACCCCATCCAAGCAGGGAGCAGGGTACATAGGGGAGTGCGTCAGGGACTCCCCAAGGTCAGCCTATTCTGTTCTGGCTGGTTTGTAAAGGACCCCAGTTCCCAGGGCCCAGGGAAGACACACAAGTCCCTAGGAAGGCTTCTCCGGGTCTGCTGCCACATCGGCCATGGCGCTCCCAAGACCACAGTACTAGAGCTAGGGGAACAAGAGGACAGGGTTTGGAGCAAGCAGGAGCTCTGCAAATGGGGAGCCAGCCAGTGGCCCCCTCTCTTTAACCCCTCCAGCTCCAGGCTGTGGGTCTGTCTGACTGTGGACGTGACCTGCAGGGCTCAGAAGTTCTCTGGCCTCCCCCACAGAGCACACACTTGGAGAAGCGAGGTCAGGCGCTGTGGGGTGCTGTCACTTGCACACCCGTGTGCTTAGGCACAAGCCGGCACAGGTGCACACCCACGGGCACCTTCAGTGCCTACTCACGAGCACAGACACACATGCACACTCAGCACACATGTGGGTGCCCACATGTCTTTGCGGGGCTCCAGCATAGAACACAGCACCATCTCCAAGGCCCACATCCCAGAGCCGACAAGCAGGTCCCCTCAGCTGTCTAACTAACTGTGGCTGCCTCCGTCCCGGGAGAGGTGGGTAGGGAAACCCAGGACCTCGCATCCCACTTGGGGACTAGTCAGCACCTTGGTAAGAGGACAAGGAGGTAAGAGGACAAGGAGGTAAGAGGACAAGGAGACTTTGTGGGGAGCCTCAGCTGCCTGACCTCCCACCATCAGTGGGAGGGCGCCACTGTCAGGGAAGGCACCCCTCTTCCTGCTCTACCCAGCTCCCTTGCTGCCCCCACCCCAGTGCCCACCACCAAAAGGTGCCCCCACACAGCCCCAGACCCCTCCATGGAGTGAGAAGTAGGGGCATGACCAAGCCCTCAGCCCCAGCGCCCCTCCGCCCGGCCTCCCCAGGCGGTCTCGGGCTGGGGTGGGCGGGCCCGCAGGCATCCGCGGGGCCTTACCGTGGAGAGTGCTCCGGGTGATCTGTCCCCCCATCTCCGGCGACGGGCAGTGCAGCCACCTCTGCTGGGCCGGCCGGCTGGTCACCGAGTCGCCCCGGCCGGCTGCTCCCCTCCTCCTCCCCCGTCTCCTCCCCCGCGGGCGGAGACCGGCATGGCAGGGCCGAGGCCCCTCCCGCGCCCCCACGCGCCCCCACGCGCCCCCTCCGGCACACGCGCACGCCGCCCGCCCGCGGCCAGCCGGCCACACGCGCACGCAGCACGCACACCCCTCCGGCCGCCGCCTCCCCGCTCCCACCCACTCCAGCCTCCCCACCTCCCGCGCTGGTACAGCCGATGGGATCTGTCATGTTTATTTACATAAGGAGGAGGAGACTGGAGGCTTCCTGAAATAGCAGCGAGCTCCAGAAAGCGAGCAGAGGCGCGCACACGCACACACATCCCCATCACACACAGCCCCATCTCAGGGATGTAGTGACACACACAGCCCTCCCTGAACGCCCAGGCCGACAGCCATTCATTCACTAGCCTCATGCACCTACTACATGCAGAGGTCCTGCTAGGTGAGAGGGGACCCCCTGGGAAGCAAAACAGACATCGTCCCTGCCCTCAAGAGGTTCACAATCAAGCTGATGGAGCTGTTAACCAAGTGCTAACACCGTTTCTGTCTTCTTCCAGGCTCTGTTCCAAGGGCTTTGCAAGTATTAACTCCTTTGGTCCTCACAGGCTGAATGATGAGGTCAGTATTACAGTCATTATCAACAGATCAACAGGTACCATCTCTAAGATGATGATGATGGTCTTACAGATGAGAAAACTGAGACAAAGAGAGGCTGCTCACCTAAAAGGTGGCAAGGCTGGAATGCAAACCCAGGCAGTGCAGCACCAGAATCCAGGCTTTTCCCCCCCACACCAACCTATCCCTTTAACCATGCACATACACACACACCACACACCCCAACACAGACCTGCACTATTCTTCTGCATCATGTCACACAAATGTGCATATACATGGGCTCATAAGCACTTGGGAGCATTCACCACTGAGCGCACTCAGCCATCTACTGACCACCAGACATGTACTCACATGGTTACATGCACACCTCTCAATGTCCACAGTCAACATACGCCTGCTTCCACAGACTCGCAAAGTTTCTAGAGAAATCTTAAGGTGGACACTGGCACCCCACACTCAGGGAAGAGGGAAAGGTGGGAACAGAGGGGGAAGAGGGAGGCTGGGATGGCAGGCCCCTCCAGCCCTGGGCAGGCATGCCGGGAGCCCAGATCATCATCAAGAGAGCAGCTGCCATGCAATGAGCATGCACCGTGCACCAGGAACTGTGTGGGTGGCAGTGGCTATGATGATATCTGTTTTACAGAGAAGAAAGTGGAGGTTCTGAGAGGCTAAGGAGCTTGCGTGAGGTTACCCAGCAGGTCACAGGCAGGACCAGGACTCAGGCCATGTCTGAGGGACAATGTCACCATCCAACACAAGCTCAGGGGCCTCTACCAGGACAACAGGACAGCACCATCCTCCCTGGCCCTGGCCTGGACACCAGCCCCTGTCCTCAAGGTCTGGGATCTTGGACCCCAGGGAAAGGGCTGGGTGGGAAGAGAAAGCCAGCGGGCAGGTGGGAGGACAGAGGGGTAGGGGCTGAGGAAGGGGCCACGGGAAAGGTGGAGGCTGTCCCACAGCAGATGGAACTCAGAGGCCTGGGCCCTGTAAGGGACTGGACTGGGTCCTGAGCCCGCAGCTCAAGACCCTGCTGCTCCCACTTCTGAGTGGGTCTGGGGAAGCGGTTAGGAGGGACATTCAGGCCTGACCTAGAGTCATCAGCAGAGGGCTGGGCGGGATCTGGGGGAGAGCAAGCCCAGTCGGCCGATGCTCCCCTGAGCCAGAGGCATGCCCACGACTTCCGGGAGAAGCCACGACACCCGAGTCCGCACAAGGCAGCCCACTTTCCACAGGCACATACCGGCTCATAGCTGTGCAGTCACACGTACACACACGCACACACTTCCTGGCACACATACCCAGTTCCCATGGGGGCGGGAAGCTAAGTCAGTCTGACAAGGAGAAAGTAAGCCAAACTCCTTTTGTCGGATAATGATCATAATAACAGCAAACACGAGGTCTTACTGCATGATCCACACTGCCCTGAGCGTGTGACGCATTTAACTTGCTCAATCCTCACGACAACCCTAAGAGATCAGTGTATGTGTATGCCCATTTTACAGATGAGGAAATTGAGGCCAAAAGAAGATGCTTTGGAGGCTGTTCCTGTAGCAGCAGAGTCACCCTCCACACCCTGCCTGCCTTTTAACACACTCAGCTGGCCCCTTGCCCACCAATCCCTCGCACATGCCAGCCTGGCCTTCCTATGGCCCCACACCCAGACATCAGCCTCCCTCTCACCTTGGTTCCTGCCTTCTCCTCACTTGGAATGCCCCCTTCCCATCACCCAGCACTGGGAACACTTCTTCTGGGAAGCCTCCCTAGGGCCCTAGGTAAGAGTAAGTCCCTGTTCTTGGCACTTATATTTCCTCTGAGCTCCTGAGCTGGGCATCTCCTAACACTTACCCTACTCGGTCCTATACAGAGAGAGCCATGGCCTGGCTGGGGCCCTATCTGCTTGCCCCAGCTTCTCCTGGGTGCACCTCAACCATTTAATTCAACTCTACCCACATTTATTGATCCCCTACTATGTGTCAGACACTAAGGATGCAAGGGTGGCCCTCAGTGGCAGGTCCTAGCTCTCGCGGACTTCCAGTCCAGAAGGAAACAGACATTTATCCAGTAGTCTCACTAAGGAGTATATCATCACAACCTGAGAAAAAGGGTCTGAAAGAAAGGAGCAAGGTTCTGGGAGGCTCAGGACAGGCTTTCCTGAAAAGCAACAGTGAAGGCAAGATCTGAAGGCTAATGGCCCTGTGCTGTGGAGGTGGCTTAGGGGAGAGAGTGAGTACAACATAGGCAAAGGCCCTGTGGCTGGAGAGAGCTGGTGTGTTCCAGAAGCAAGGTTGGTATGGAGCAGGGTGAGCAGGAGGAGCCTCAGGAAACGCTCCATTGCCGAGCCAGGATGGGTCAGGGATACACCAGGAGGGTCTTGAGGAGAAGGGCGAAGACTCTGGCCTTCTTCCTGAGAGCAATAGGGAAGTCCTGCAGCAGGGAGGCAACAGACCAGACCCACATTTCAGAAAGTCACTGTCCTATCTGGTTGTGAAGGGTGAGGGAGGAGGCAGGAGGCTCAAGGGGAGGGAGCAGCAGCAGCAACATCCCGCATCCTGCACCCCACAGGGTGAGCCTTGCCTGACTTAGCCTCACTCCCCTCGGGCTTCACATCACTCCTGCCCCTGCCCGGAGCAGGCACTCAGAAAACATCTCACAAACAGACCTGAAATCATGTAATTTTCAGACACAGGACTGTGGGAAAGCAGCCAAGTGGTAAGCAAGCAGGGATGGGGCAGGTTTGGGGCTCCACGAGCTGGAAGTCCTTCAGATGAGCAGCAGCCCCAACTCTGGCCACTTGAGTGAAACAGAACAGAGAACTGGGAGGTGGCCCGAGTGGCCCCCAGGCCTTTGACACTGCAGTCTAAAAGGGTTTTCCCACAGACGTATGAGCCTGTTTCCCACAATCACTTCCCCAAATAGGATGTGGCAATCAATGTCCTGTGTCTGAGGCTTCCCTCTCCTGTCACTTCCTCAGGCAGTGTCCAGGACCTCTAGAGGGAGAGGCAGCCCCGGGATATGGCAGAAGAGCTGCACCCCTTCTCTGTTTTATTCACTGGGGCATCCCATAAAATTTCATTTGGGGCCGGGCACAGTGGCTTACACCTGTAATCCCAGCACTTTGGGAGGCTGAGACGGGTGGATCACTTGAGGTCAGGAGTTCAAGACCAGCCTTGCCAACATGGTGAAACCCCATCTCTACCAAAAATATAAAAAGTTAGCCAGGCGTGGTGGCACACGCCTGTAATCCCAGCTACTGGGGAGGCTGAGGCAGGAGAATCGTGTGAACCCAGGAGGTGGAGGTTGCAGTGAGCCAAGATTGTGCCACTGCAGTCCAGCCTGGGCGACAGAGCGAGACTCCATCTCAAAAAAAAAAAAAAAAAAAAAAATTCATTTGACCAAAGGATTCTGTTACTAAAAGGGTGAGAAAATCACTAACATACATCATTCATTCACTTATTCATTCATCAACCATTCACTGAGTGCCCACTATACACCAACTGGTGAGCAGGACCCAATGCCCACCCTGCAGAAGCCAGGGGTGTAAAACGGGCATGGACGGGGTAACAGGCAGTTCCAGATCCCAGCAGAAGCCAGGCAGGGATTGAGGAATCAGGTTCTTTCAGCTCTGGCTAAATGATCTGTGTTCCATTCTATAGCCGCACTTTGGAAACGATGTGAAAGGGGAATGGAGAGGCTATAAGTAAATATATAGCAGAAGCTATAAATGCTACCATTTATTGATCGCTTACTGTGTGCCAGGCACTGTGCTAAGTATCTTATGTATCAGCCAATCCCAAAACTTCCCTTCAGGAGTTATAATCACCCCCATTTTCGGGCTATAAAACTGAGGCTTAGAGAGGTTATTCTGAAGGCAAGACAAACGAGGCTTCAAACCCAGACCTGCCTGACATCAAAACTCATGCTCCATCCAGGAAAGGGCAACGGGCAGGGGCCCCTCTTGCTTAGAGGAGAGAAGACAAGGGGACAGTGGACCGTCTCCTTAAGGAAGCAGAAGGGTTCTGTATGGCAGCAGAGCCTAGACGTTTTCCAGAAGACAGAAGGTGACATTCCAGGGATGAAGCCTAAATGCAGGTGGAGAACAGGCAGTAAGGCTGGACTTCTCATCCGCTAACAGGTGACCCAGACAGACACTGGAGATGTCATCCTGGAAATTGTGAAGAACACAGACCCATATATGACCTGGGTGGGGACTTAATACCTCAAAGCCTGCAGGCAGGAAGCAGGGCTGGCAGTGCCCCTGGGGGCCTGGTCTGACAGAATCCCCAGCTGCATCTGTCCTCTCATGCCATCTAGGGAACCTTAGGCCCCTTGGCTCTCTGAACCCATTCAGCTCCCAAGGCCCTCCCCACTACTATAGCTGTCCCTCTTTTCCCTGCCATCTCCTGTCCCCTGACCCCTTTCAGACAGCTCCTCTTCCCTTGGGTGCCATCTTGGTTTCCATGATGGTCTACCTAGCTCAAGGCTTTCCTCACCAAGTCCTCTCTCATCCAGGTTCCCCAAGGCCTAGCACCTCATTCCCAGCCTAAACCTGCCCTCTCAGAACTCAAAGTCTAAGGCAGAGCCAGCAACTCCAGAATAAAACATGGAACAAATTCACTGGGGAATAGAAACCATCACAGTCACAGTCACCAAGCTCTCTAATGGGGAAGAGCCTCCAGAGAGCACTGGGGCCAGCCCCTACCTTCAAGCAGGCAAAGAAGTTCTGGGCCCATTTTACAGGTGTAGCAAAGAAGGCCCAATAAATGATAGAGACTTTGCCAAGGCCACACAGTGGGTGGAAGGCAAGGAGGACTGGGACCCAGGAGTAATGTCTTCTGCTGCTATGCCTAATATGACATATAAATCCAGGCATCAGGAGGTATAGAAGACAACACTGGACAAGGGAGGGGGTAACTTCTTTTTATGAAGTAGGGGGAAGTGACTAGGGTCTGGGGAGGCCAGGAAGAGGAGGTGACCCTGCTGTGGAGGAGCTGGGAGGCAGCCCCTTGCTGCTATAGTGTTTCCTTCATCAAGAACAAGGGATAATTTGATTGAGTTGATGAGCCGCCTCATCAGCATTTGAGGCTTATGGCCATCCTGCCAGGGCCCCATCCTCTCTACTCATTAGGCTGGGCCTGGCAGTAGAGAATAGGAAGCAGGGAACCCCAGCTGAAAGCTTCCTTCTATGCCCAGAGCCAGGACAAGAGTGGAGGCTGCTGCCTCGAGTCTGGAAGAGTGAGAGATGAGGAGGGAGAGGAGAGCAAAAGTACTCAGAGATGGAGAGTGCAAGCCAAGTGCTGCAGAGAAACTGGAGCCAGGGAGCCCAGAGGGCGTCCTCGGGGGTTGGGACAGGTGCCCCAGCCGTGACAGCTGCCAGCCGCCCAGGAGGATGGGAACACAACAGGTGCAGAGGAGGGGTGGAGACTGAAAGGGAATCTGAGCAAACAGAACCTGGATGGAGTTGAGGTCCCTCCCTGCCAAGGCCCACTGCCAAGCAGCCCTTTCTCGGCCTCTCCAAGACACAAACACACCTGCTCGTGCTCCCCAGTTCCAGGCCTCAGGGCCAGCATGGCCAGCGTAGACTGGACAGAAGGATCACCATCCATGCCAGGCAGAAAGGATGGAACAAGGAAGAAACCAGGTTTCTATTCCCAGGACAGAGTGTGCCAGACAAAGCCCACACCCACTGAGTCCCTAGCTGGAGGCAAACATTTGCCTATGATAAGATCTGTGTCACAGGTCAGGAAGGGTGGATGGATGTGCCCACCCCACCCACATGGAGGGTGGGAGCTCTGGTCTTCAGGTTGGACAGGCAAGCTACTGAGCTTCTCTGAGGCTCCACCATCTCTTCTCCATGGTGGAGATCACATGGCCCAGAAACTTGTGAGAACTGAATAACATAACACCTGTGACGGCCGCTGCCTGGCTCCATCCATAACAGCAACGCTTGAGAGTCAGAGAACTCGGGAATCCACGTAGAACTGGAAGGACTAAAGTCTCTGTCCCAGCCTTGGAGAAGAGTGACTTGGGATGCAGGATATGCATATAGCACTAAGAATACAGCCAGGCGTGGTGGCTCACACCTGTAATCCCAGCACTTTGGGAGGCCGAGGCGGGCAGATCACCTGAGGTCAGGAGTTCGAGACCATCCTGGCCAACATGATGAAACCCTGTCTCTACTAAAAATACAAAAATTAGCCAGGCGTGGTGGCACACCCCTGTAATCCCAGCTGCTCGGGAGGCCGAGGCAGGAGAATCAATTGAACCCGGGAGGTGGAGGTTGCAGTGAGCCGAGATTGTGCCATTGCACTCCAGCCTGGGTGACAAGAGTGAAAACTATCTCAAAAAAAAAGAAAAATACATATTACCCCAAGGAGGAGAAATAGAAGACCTGCTTTAATAAGAAACATTTACTCGGTACCCGCTTACTCTGCATCAGGCACATTCTAAGCTTTGCATGTATGATTGCATGGGTGCCTCACATGCAAATGCCATTTCAGAGCACTGGGTAGCAGTCAGTTCTTCTAAGGAAGTAGATTAAACAGTCCCTTATCACCTGGTTAGTGCTGCATTTTTGTTCAGGAATAGAATGAATTTTAAACTGGAAGCTAGCCTTTGTCCCAGCAATCACAAGTGATAAATTAGCAGGGTCTGAATACATAAGATTTGCTCCCTACACCAGAACCTGGATGGGGAGGGTGAGGAAGGGCAGGCAACGAGACTTTATGGGGAGAAGAGACGCAGAGAAATGAGGAGACCCAGGGTGTCGCAGGAGACAGGATGAGCGCGGGATGTGCTGGAACAAGACATGGGCCTCGTCCATCCGAGATGCGGAAACACACTCTGCTGATCCCTGATGGGCCTGCCTGGATTATGAGAAAAGCTGGCAGCTGATAACAGGAGGTTAAATCCCTCCTCCACAGGCAGAGATCCTCCTCAATCCATCCCTCCCTTCACCTCCACCCCACGCACACACTCACACTCACATTCACATATACAACTTTAGCCCCACGGCTCAGCCTACGCTCCTGGTGCCCACTCCTTCTTGTGTCAGGCCCCCAGCTAGCTGAAGCCACCCCAAAGCTGGGAGGCCCCCCTCCTTCCTCTGGGGATTCTGCTTCCTCTGGCTCTTGCCTGCTTCCTGCCTCTCCCAGGTCCAGCTTACAGAGGGATGGCCAAGCCCAGGACCAGCTGACTTGGCCTCCACTTCTGCTCCCATGCCCTGGCCCTGCCCCTGCCTGCTACCCCTCCTGGGGCCTCTGACTCCAACCTTTGGGCTCAGATACTGGGTGTCAGTAGCTACAACAAAGTGACAGTACAGGACCCCACAGGGGCTCAGGCCCTTGGCTGGGGTACTCCCAGTATGGCCACTGGCAGCTGGATCCCAGTGCTGTGACACAGCAAATACTACTCAGTGCCACCAGTGTTGTCTACACTAGGGGCTTCACAGTAGAGGTGGCAATTAAGAGTAGGCTCCAGAGTCAAACTTCCCGGGTTCAAACCTTGGTTCTAACATCTACTAAGTGTCCATTTCCTCTTCTGAAAAATTGGGTTGATAGTAATAGTGCCTAGCTCCTACGGCTACTGGGTAGATGAAATGAGCTCATGCATGTCGTGTGCTCAGAACAATGTGGGGTGCATGGGAAGCGCTAGTATGTGGTAGCACTGTAGATGAGCTACTCCTGACCTCTATACAGAGGCCCTGACCTTACCCTTCCTTACAAATGAGGAAACCAGGACACAGAGGTGGGAAATGGCAGAGTCGGGATTTGATCTCAAGTCAGTCTGCCCAGAGCTGTTCTATCTGGGGGCTTCTTCCTCTCAAAGCTCTTTAGCCCCAAAAGGCCTAGTGGCCTGGTCTCCCCCCACCTCTGACCTGGCTCCCCTGAAGGGGCTTTAGCCCATCAGTAGGGGGTCCTGGCACCTCTTCCTCTGAAAAAACTAGGCAGGAACTTGACAAATAAGTACCCAAATCAATTCAGAAAATTACATCTGCTGCCAGCATCTTGAAACATCTGCTCTGGGCCCCCAGAAGGGGAGGAACTCAGCACCCTAGATGGGAACATTGAGGCTTGGGGACACTGAATACTTTGCCCAGGTCACACAGCTAATGCTCAGCTAAGCTGGGATTTAGAAACACACCTACTGGACATCAGAGCCCAACACCTGCCCCTCTGCCACGTGGCCTCTCAGAATGACCCAGCTCTTAAAAGCTATGAAACAATGTCACCAGTATCTTACTGGATCTGCAAAAGTACCCTATCAGGTACCACAGGACAGATGCTCATCCCTTTGTACAGAAAGAGAAAAACAGAGGCTCAAGGAGGTGGAAATTAATTGTTAAAGCTATAAAGTGCCAGAGCTGGGCCAGAACCCAGATTTCAGACTCAAGAGTGCAGGCCCCAGGGCTTTGTCTACTGCAGAGTGCTGCCCCTGAGAACAGCCACCTTCGGTTAAATAAACACAGCATCAATCAGAGGGACCCAGGGCCACTGCACCCACAAATGTAAAATTTGAGCTGGGCACAGTGGCAAACGTCTGTCATCCCAGAGCTTTGGGAGGCCAAGGCAGGAGGATCACTTGAGCCCAGGAGTTTGAGGTTACAGTGAGCTATGATTACACTCCTGCACCTGGCCTAGCTGACAGAGTGAGACCTTGTCTCTAAAAAAAGAAAAGTGAAATTTGATCCCAATGTGGACTGCCCTGGACTTTGGCTGTAGTGTGCCCACAGTCACCATCCTACTTTGCCAGAGTCCCCGTCATGCACCTAGGCACCCACCTGCAGGCCTTGCCCCAGCCAGGCTCTGGGCCACTCCCACACTAGGGGTCAGAGCTTCAGCACCACACACGTCTCCAAAAGAGAAAGTGGGGACTGAGGCAGGGGGTGCCAGCTCTCACAGGTTGCAAGGCATAAACCTGAAAATGCTCCAGAAAGAAAAAGGGTGTGGCAGTCCCTTGCAGGAGCAGAGGGCTTGGCTTGGCTCAAAAAATAGGAACTGCTGTTCTCATACAGCAAAGGTGAGAGATGACTTGAGTCCAGCCACTGCACTATGCCAGCTCTGTGCCTACCACTATGGGCCATGACCTAGAGCCCAGAGGACACCGGCCATGCCAGCTGCTGGGCCACAGGCAAGATCCCCAGGCACAGAGGTACCTGTGAGTAATGGGGTCCATGCAGTGCCTCTCAGGAAAGGCCAGTGGCTCTCATCCCCACTGAGTCCAGGAAGGAACTCTGTCCCCTGCTACTACACCTCCAGTCCTAGCCCTAGACTGAGTCCCTGACCCCAACCCCAGACAACCTCACATCTCATAGCCCCACAAACAGGGGCTTTTAGTCCCTAAAGACCTGGGGACCATGGGCATGTGGCTGGCTCAGGGCTGGCTGCCCCACCCTCCTGAGCCAGAGTTCAGGTGTGGCCACCAAAGGTGGCTGTCAGGACTGTGGTATTCCTGCACAAAGGACAGCCCAAGGAGGGGAGCCACCACAGGGTGACTGCAATGACAGAAACCCACCGCTCTAGCTCCTAGCTGTTCCCTGCAGCTGCCCCATCTCACAATTTGCACATTCATCCGTGGCTCATTGCCGCCGCCTTCCTTTCTTCCCTTTCCAGTAACTTCTCTCAGGCTCCTGTCCCCCGACACCTCCCTCTTCGGGATTACTTCCTTCAGAGACCCCAGGACTGTGCAGGGTCATCATTGAGAAAGCAAAGCCTTCCCTGGCAGTCAGAACTCCTGAGTTCCAGGCAGGCCCTGAGGCTCTGGAATTTAGGGAGGGCAGCCCCTTTTAATGTCTCCGTGGCTTCTCCCTCCTGGTGGCGGTGGTGGCAGTCAGGGCTCCAGAATGTGGGCAGCAAATGCAGCTCCTGGGTTGGGCTCCACCAGCAGGCAAATAGGGGCAGGAGGTCTCTTCCCTGGGAACCCCTCCCTTCTCTAAAACAAATGCTGCACCCCTCACAACCTCAACCCTGCTTAGCCAAGCCCAATTCCCTCTGGGGAAGAGAGCTCTTTGTTCTCAGGGCAAGTGAAGGAGGTGGGCTACATTAGACTTTGTTTGGGGGTCCTTTTTTACTAACCATGACACTGCCTGCCATAATTCACTGTGTGACCTTGGGCAAGTCAGTCCCCTCTCGGGACACAGTTTTCACACCTGTAAAATAGAGGCTTTGGACTGGTTCACTTTATCTCTGAACCAGGAGTTCCCTGAATCAGGAATGTGGGATGGGGATCATTTGGGGGGAGGCAATCAAGAATTTCTAAACTGTCTGAAGAAGCAGCTCCTTCTCCCATTCCCCCTTCCACCAGGGTCTGGTGGGAAACCCAGGATGGGCCAGCGGCACATTCTTCACTGGAAGTGACTGCTTCTCAGTCCTCCTCCTGGCCCCACCCAACATGGGCACCCCCAAGGTTCCAGGGCCCAGTTTATCCCTTGAGTTCTGTTATCCAGGCCGGAAATCTGGTGTCAGCCCAGATTCCCCATCCAAGAGGTCACCGTGTCCTTCTCAAATCCATCCCCTCCTTCCCTCCCCTGGCTCTGCCCATGGTTCAGGCCCCCAGCATCATCCTGCTCTGGACAATCATTCCAGCCTCCGTCCCCCTCTGCAGGGCTGCCAGGCGGGCATCTCTGCCCGACTCAGCCCTCTACCTCCTGTGGCTCCCGAGCATCAGGATAAACTCGACCCCCACTTTGGGGATTATTCAAGGTCCTCTGTGAACTGACCCCAGCCCATGTGTCTGGCCTCACCTTCCATGACCCCCCCTACCCCACCCCATGTACCTATGCTCCATGCACACGAGCCAGTTGTGTTCTAGAACATGGCACATCACTTGTCTGTTGCTTTTTGAACACTGTCCCTCTCCTTGGAGTGCCCCTCCCTGGCACTGGTCCCACAAACACTCCCACCTCACCTTCAGCCCCCAGCTCAGAAGAGCCTTTCCTCTGAGATCATCCCAATGCCCTGGGATGGAATAGACCAGACTATCCCTCTCCAAGGCTGTCCAGCCAGTCCTCTGTGCAGCCCCAGCCCTGCAGCCATGGCAGGAGGCCCTTCCCATACTGGGAGCACCCTGAAGGTAGAAAGGTATCTTTTTATCTCTAGATCCTTAGCATCTGACAAGGTGGTCACTCCATAATGCTCAAAGTAGATTTCATGAAGAAAGGAAGAAAAGAGGAAGAGGAGGAGGAGGGAGGGAAGATGAAAGCCTGGAGCCGATGGTGCGGGCTCTTTACTCTTCCCCCTTCTGCTCCTCTCCAGTGCCCCAGGTCCCTGTGGACCCAGTGAGACCCAAAGGTGACAGATTGCCTGGCCGTGACCTCGCAGCACCAGTGGGGGCCCTCCTTGTTCCTGCAGTACTATTGGCAGCACTAGCCTGTGCTCACTCGAGCAGAAAGAGCCAAGAAGCCACGCAGCCAGGTGTGTCCTGGAACATGGGGGAGCCAGAGTGCAGAGCCTTATCTGACCATCTTCCCTGGAGGCAGCAGAAGAGCATCTGCCTGCCCCCAGCCACCCCACTGCAGGACTACAGGGAGGAGGGGCGGAAAACCTTGTGCCTGGCTCCCTCCCAGCTTCTCCCGGATTAAAGCGGCAGGGGACAGAGCGCCTCCAGCTCATTTGCATAAACCATTTATAGCAGCGCCTTCAAACCCACGCCTTCCAAGAAGAAAAAAGCCCACTGCAATTGCCTGTGGCTTCCCAGTCTGTCGTTTTCCCTTCTCTTTCGTTTTTTTGTTTTAATGACAGGAAGCTGTGCTCAAGAGAAATCTCTGCCCTGGCTGTTCTTGGCAGCAGAGGGAGCTGTGCTTTCCCTCCAAATTGAATAAGAATGATAAGCAGCCAGCCCCCGGGTGTCAGTGACTTACAGTTTGCAAAGCCTACGAGCACTCACGAACTGTTTCAGTCTTCCCAGGAAGCACAGGAGGTAACTATTGCCAGACCCCATTTTACAGATGAGAAAACCAAAGCTGAAAGAGGGTAAGTGACTTGTCTAAGCCACAAAAAACTAGTAAGTGACTGTAATGGACATGGTGGCTGATGCCCAACATCTACACCACCCCAAGACAACAGCAGTTCTCAGCCCTGGTTGCACATCAGCATCACCTAGGAGGTAATAAAATTACTGGTAGAGCCAAGTGTGGTGGCTCACACCTGTAATCCTAGCACTTTGGGAGGCTGACGCAGGAGGATCACTAGAGCCCAGGAGTTTGAGACCAGCCTGGGTAACATAGCAAGACCCTGTCCCTACAAAAAAATAAATAAAAATTAGCTGGGCATGGTGGTGTGTGTCTGTAGTCTCAGTTACTTGGAAGGCTGAGATGAGAGGGTCGCTTTAGCTCAGGAGGTCAAAGCTGAAGTGAGCAGAGATCACGCCACTGTACTCCAGCCTGGGCAAGAGAGAGACTCTGTCTCAAAAAAACCAAAAACAAAAACAATTACTGATGCCCAGTATCCACGCTAGACCAATTCATAGAGAAATCTGAAGTGTGGGGCCCAGCTCCCCAAGCAATTCTCACATACAGCCAGCGTGCCATACCCTGGCAATAAGCCAATCACAATGGTTTCATTCCCCTTCTCAGTGACATGGTCAAGAATGGCCAGGTGACCCACTTCTGGCCAATGAGGCATAGATTTCCCAGCAGTGGGAAATGTGCTGGAACCCCTCTGAGAAAGGGATCCTTGCTCCACAGAACATAGGGGTCGTTCTCCTTTCTCCAGATATCACTGTGTCCTGCTGCAATTCCTGGGACCACCATGGCCATGTCACTACTGGTCTAGAAGGAAACCAACCCAAGGATGGCAGAGTAGAGAGATGGGAAGTACTTCATCCTACAGCCTTGACTCAGCCAACCCTGAAAGCCACCCACCTTGGGACATCCGGTTTTCTGCATAGTACAGCTCCTTACTGCTTAAGTCAGTGCAGGCCAGCATTTGTTATTGCAATAGATAGGCCTGAGACAACAGCAGTCACCTTCTCATGTCCCTCACCCCAGTCATCCCCATGTCATCCAGGAAAATGGGCCTCTGGATCTTCCACTGCAGGGTGGACGCTTGACTGATGGCCCCAGCTGTGGAGCTCTGAAGTCCATCCCCATGTTTGCTCCAAGGCAATGCTTCCCACAGCTCACCCCAGCTAGTGATGCGTGTGGCAGGGATATTAAGGCAGGACCATTCCTGGGAGATGTGGGGCTCCACTGGCCAGGGACTGTGGCTCTGGCTGAAGGATACTCCAAGGTCTTGCAGAACTTTTCTTAGAATTGCACTATAGTCTGATATGCTCCCACCAAACTTCCTTCCTTTCTTACCCCTCTCCTTCACTCAGGGTCCCACTTGCACTGAGGTCTGATGGCTCCCCCAGACTCCCCCAGCTTCCTCCTTATTTTTCTTCACACAGGCATTTCCCCTGATTATGTATGTATGTAGGCATGTATGTATGTATGTTTAATCCTCTCTTGATGTCTACTTAACCCATGACCTGCCTAACACACGACCTGCATCACCTCATGCCTGGACTACTACTACCCAGTTGTGTGTCCCTTCCACCCCATCCCTAATCCTTCCTACACAAACCATGCTACTCCCCAACTCAAGACCCTCCAACAGTTTCTTATTTCTTACATTATCGAGTTCAGTTACTTCTGCCTTTCTTTATAAGCAGTACTGACCCTGACCTGCCCTACCAGCCAACTCTGGCAGAAGACTGAAATCCATCCCTGTTGTTTCACTTACATGCCTAGAGGGCATCCCCATGTGGGAGCAACCCTGGCCATTGGCAGCACAGAAATGACTGATGTGGCCCATGACCAATGAATATTGAAGCTGTCCTAAGTCTGAGTACCAATTCCACCCCTTTCCACAGACGTTCCTCAATGACAAAGGCTCCCTCGGCCTCCCCTCACTTCGCCCCAATGGAATATTTAATTTAAAAAAATACATTTTATACACAAATCACCCTCCATCAACAAGAAGAGAATCCTCTAAAGATGGTTATGGTAACGAAAATGATTCTTATTCATAATGATAATGACATTAAGCACAAGATGATAAAGTTGAAGATGGTGATGGTACTGGAGAAAAAAGTAGTGATAAAAATAAGTGTGAAGGCTGGGCGTGGTGGTTCGCACCTGTAATCCCAGCACTTTGGGAGGCTGAGGTGAGCAGATCACTTGAGGACAGGAGTTCGAGACCAGCCTGGCCGACATGGTGAAACCCTGTCTGTACTAAAAATACAAAAATTAGCCAGGTGTGGTGGCACACGGCTATAGTCCTAGCTACTCAGGAGGCTGAGGCAGGAGAATCACTTGAACTCGGGAGGTAGAGGTTGCAGTGAGCTGAGATCAGGCCACTGCGCTCCAGCCTGGGTGAAAGAGCAAGACTCCATCTCAAAAAATTTAAAAAAAAAGTCTGAAAATAAAAGAAAATTTTAAAAGCAGAAAAGCAGGGGTTAAAATGTTCTCACATTATGATCTCAATGATATAAGCATATATGCAATACAGCTGACTTCCTCCTGATGCACTGCTATGTTAACCAGCTGTGTCTGTGAGGAATTGCATTTGGTTGCTAGTAATAAAAAACAGAAATAACATTGCTTTTAAAATATATTAAGTGTTTTCTTTAACATAGGAAGTCTGCAGGTACACAGACATAGCTAGTGTGGCAGCTCTGTAATTATCAGGGACCTGGGCTTCTTTCATCTTTCTACGCCATCTTCCACATAACATTGCAAGGTTGCTTCATAGTCTGAAATAGAAGCTGAAGCTCCAGCCAGCTTGCCCACATTCCAGGCAAGAAACAGAAAGAACACAGAAAACCAAAACCAAAGGACATATATTAGCTACCTGCCCCTCTTTAAAGGAGCCTTATTCAAAGTCCACCCAACAATTCTAATTTGCATCTCATTGACCAGAATGTAGTCACATGCCTACACCAAGCTGGACAAGAAGCTGAAATGTGTGGTCTTTTCATTGGACACATTGCACGCTCAAGTTAAAAACAGGGTCCTCAGCCATAAGATGAGTTCCATTTCCTCTGGAGAACATTCTGATTGATGCCCTTAGTACATGGAAACTTCAAAGCTGGGAGTGTCTTCCCTGGTGTCCCCACACACCCCTTTGCTCCCTCCAGCTGAACTGCCACCCATAATGAGAAGCCGTGTTGTCCCTAAACTTGATGACAGGTTGGTATGCCAGAAAACTGTGTGATTTATTTAAATAGGACATAAAAAGTATGAAAAGTCTCTTTTAAGAGAATGAAAAGATTAGCCACAGACAGGGAGAAATTCATTGCAAAGCACATATCTAATAGAGAATCCAGAATATATAAACAACTCTTAAAACTCAAAAATAAGAAAACGACCTAATGAAAAATAATGGGCAAAAATTTAAACAGACACTTCACCAAAGTAAATATATAACTGGCAAATAAGCACATGAAAAAATGCTCATTGGCTGGGTGCAGTGGCTCATGCCTTAATCCCAGCAATTTGGGAGGCCAAGGTGAGAGGACTGCTTGAACCCAGGAGTTCAAGACCAGCCTGGGCAACATCACAAAACCCTGTCTCTACAAAAAGCTCAAAAATCAGCCAAGTATGGTGGTGTATGCCTGTAGTCCCAGCTTCTCAGGAGGCTGAGGTGGGAGAATTGCTTGAGCCTGGGAGGTCGAGGCTACAGTGAGCCATGATTGTACCACTGCACTCCAGCCTGGGTAACAGCGAAATACCCTGTCTGAAAAAGAAAAAAAAAAAAAAACGGGTGCGGTGGCTCATGCCTGTAATCCCAGCACTTTGGGAGGCCAAGGCAGGTGGATCACCTGAGGTCTGGAGTTCAAGACCAGCCTGACCAATACGGTGAAACCCCTCCTCTACTAAAATTACGAAAATTAGCGGGGCAAGGTGGCATGCCCCTGTAGTCCCAGCTACTCAGGAGGCTGAGGCAGGAGAATCACTTGAACTCGGGAGGCGGAGGTTGCAGTGAGCCGAGATCGTGCCACTGCACTCCAGCCTGGGCGTCAGAGCGAGACACCATCTCAAAAAAAAAAAAAGGAAGAAAGAAAATAAACAAAAAAGAAAAAATGCTCATCAGTGGGTAGCAGGTGGTTGGAAAAAAAAGTTTGGTTTGTTTTGAGACGGAGTCTCACTCTGTCTTTCAGGCTGGAGTGCAGTGGCACTATCTCTACTCACTGCAACCTCTGCCTCCCGGGCTCAAGTGATTCTCCTGCCTCAGCCTCCTGAGTAGCTAGGATTACAGGCACATGCCACCATGCCCAGCTAGTTTTTGCGTTTTTAGTAGAAACGGGGTTTCACCATGCTGTCCACGCTGGTCTTGAACTCCTGACCTCAGGTGATCCGCCTGCCTTGGCCTCCCAAAGTGCTGGAACTACAGGCGTGAGCCACCGTGCTCAGCCTAATCCAGGGTAAATCTGTGCCTAAATTAAGCCCGGCGTGGTAGCTCACACCTGTAGTCCCAACTACTCAGGAGGCTGAGGCACGACAATCACTTGAACCCAGGAGGTGGAGGTTGCAGTGAGCTGAGATCATGCCACTGCACTCCAGCCTAGGCGACAGAGAGAGACTCTGTCTCAAATAAATAAATAAATAAATAAATGGATTATTGATATACACCATAGCATGCATGAATCTCAAACTAATTATGCTGAGTGAAAGAAGCTAGAGAAAAAAAGAGACCATACTGTATCATTCCCATTACATAGAACTCTAAAAACTGTAAACTAATCTATAGTGACGGAAAGCAGCTGGCGGTTACTTGATTATGGCAGAGGCGGGGGGTGCAGCAGGGAGGAGTAGGAGAGGGGATTATTTAAGGCACAAGGGAACTTGTGAGGGTGACGGAAATGTCCACTAAGTTCATGGTGCTGATGATTTCACAGGTATATGCATATGTCAAAACACATCAACTGTGCATTTTAAATATGTGCAGTATATTTTTGTCAGTTATACTTTAATAAAGCTGTATTTTAAAACCTATTAAATGTAAGCGTAAGCCAGCCGCGGTGGCTCACGCCTGTAATCCCAGCACTTTGGGAGGCTGAGGTGGGCGGATCGCTTGAACTCAGGAGTTCAAGACCACTCTGGGCAACATGGTGAAGTCCCATCTCTACAAAAATTACAAAAATTAGCCGGGCATGGTGGTGTGCACCTGTGGTCCCAGCTACTCCGGAGGCTGAGGTAGGAAGATCACCTGAGCCCAGGAGGTTGCAGTGAGCCATGATCACACCACTGCACTCCAGCCTGGGTGACACAGTGAGACCCTGTCTCAAAAAATATATATAAGAGTGCGAGAGGAGGGAGTAGGGGGAAAAAAGTGTTACTTCTATAAAAACTAAGATGAATCAGTTCCTCAAAAAATTAAAAATAGAATTACCATATGATCCAGCAATTCCACTCTGGGTGCATACCCAAAAGAATGGAAAGCAGGGACTTGGACTTGAACAGAATTCATAAACCCATGTTCATAGCAGCATTATTCACAATGACCAAAACATGGAAGCAACCCAAGTGTTCATTGACTGATGAATGGATAAACAAAATGTGGCACATACATACAATGGAATATAATTCAACCTTAGAAAGGAAAGAAATTCTAATATATGCTAAAACAAGAATGAATTTTGAGGACATTATGCTAAGTGAAATAAGCACTCACAAAAAAACCAAATACTGTATGATTCCACTTATCTGAGATACCTAGAGTACTCAAATTCACAGAGACAGAAAGTAGAATGGTGCTTGCCTGGGGTTGAGGGCACTGGGAAATGGGAAGCTAGTGTTTAATGGGTACAGGGTTCCAGTTTGGGAAAATGAACAAAGTTCTGGAGATGGATGGTGCAAAATAACACATGTACTTAATACCACTGAACTGTACACTTAAATGGTTAAGATGGTTAAATTAAATGTTTAAATTTTATGTTATGTGTATTTTACCATAATTTTTTTAAGTACAGAAACAAAAACTAAGTTGAAAGCTTTGGAAAGATGCCCTAAAGGATTGTCCATTAAAAATGCTATCACACTCGGGAGGAGAACAAGACTGGAACCCGCTAGTGCTCCTCCCCATCATAAAGATAGCCAAAACAATGAATAAACAATGATATAGGTATATAGATAGATAGATAGGTAGAGAGAGAGAGAGACATGCAGTTTCGCTCTTGTCACCCAGGCTGGAGTGCAATGGTGCAATCTCGGCTCACTGCAACCTCTGCCTCCTGGGTTCAAGAGATTCTCCTGCCTCAGCCTCCCAAGTAGCTGGAACTACAGGTGCCCACCCCCACGCCCAGCTAATTTTTGGATTTTTAGTAGGGAAGGGGTTTCACCATGTTGGCCAGGCTGGTCTCAAACTCCTGACCTCAGGTGATCCACCCGCCTCAGCCTCCCAAAGCGCTGGGATTAAAGGCCTGAGCCACAGCGCCCGGTCAACATTGTTATTTTAACAAAAATAACTGAGGGAGAGTGCCAGAGTTCATCAGATGGGTGACAGAAACTTGAGATGGCTACACAGAGAACAGAAGAAAATGCTGGGACTCTACCATTCCATCCCCCCACCAGGATCAGCTGGAAACCAGGAGGTAAGCAAGAGGGTGCAAGCAACCCCCATCAACACCTTGGCCACCTACAGACCTCACCACTGGAGTCCCTGCAATTCTCACAGGCACCAAGCTCAGCTAAGGAAGCTGCCTGGAGTCCACACAGCAGTGCTCCTCCAAAGAAGAAGCCAATGCTGTGCCATGCCCCCTGTGCCCACATGGCTACTCTGCTATGCCATCTTGGAATTGGAACAACAGCTGGAGCGCATCTTGCTCCCGGGGTGAGTTGCCATGGGTCCCCTTCATCCCTGGAGCTAAGCCACCCTCCACCCCAGCCCAGTGGCCCAACATCCCCAAGCCAAGCTGCCAGCAGCTGTTGCACCCTTCCCTGCAGGGCCCAGCAGAGGTAGAGCCACTCCATCTACCCCTCCTTCTGCCCCCTTGGGCCAGAGCCTAACTGATTTCCTAGGTACCCTGCCTCCTAAACACAGTACCTTGGCTGCTCAGGACAGTCACACCTCTCTGGTGCCTAAGTTGAAGGAGTGCCTTACATCCCAGAAAACAGTACCTTGGCTACCTGGAGCAGTCACTCACCCCAGTGCCTAAGCTAAAGTGGTGCTCTGCATCTCAGGGAAATAGTTCCTGGGCTGCCGAGGACAGTCATGTCCCCTATCACCCCCAAGCATGAGCTGAAGCAGCACACCAGCTCCTGGGGAATCAGTGCCCTGGCCAAGCTGAGCAACTGTGCATCCCAGAACTGAGCTGACCTAGTACCCCATGTCCCAGGGAAATAGAGCTGTGAATGAACTGAGACATCCTGCCCTACAGGCCAAACAACCCTAGTACTCTGTTGCCCCAGAGCTGGGCTAGCCCTCTAGAGTCTGAGCCGCTGACATACCCCTCTCCCTGGGGAGTAAAGTCATCACTGTGCTGTTTCTTGCCCCCTCAGTGCCCAAACAACAGCTGTGCCCCACCTTTCTGGGATACTTGCTGCTGCTGCACCTGGCATCACACAGTCAGGATTATTGCCAAGCCCCACAATCCCTTGTTCTAGAGTCACACTACACAATGCCTCATCCCCTGGGATCTGAGTTGCTGCTGAACCCTATTGGCTCAAGTTCCTGAATTGCAGCCATGCCTTGTCTCCCAGGCCCAAATCTTTAGAGCACTTCTTCCCAGGAGTCAGGCCAGTACTGTGCCCTCTCCCTCCCAGCAGTAGAATCACAGGTACAACCCAGCCTATGGGGCTGAGCTGATAGCGGGTGCTTCAGAGTCACAGATGCTGGCTCTGTGGGCAACATATATCCAACCCTGCCACTGACAGCAAAGTTGCACCCCATGACCCAGGTGGCATAATACGCTTGCAAGACCCTCAGCCTAGGACCCCAGCCCCACAGCCACTCTAAGCACCTGCACCTGGAACTCAGGGCTGCTGCAGCTGCTTGTAGGCCATGTCAGACTTGATACCAAGAGAGATACCCTTGGCTAAGTCTTCCCCTTGTGGGTTAAATGAGAATAGGAGGACCTCAAGAGCCCTCAACACTGAGGACATTAACAACCTATGATGCCAGTGTACAAACATCTACAGCCTAGGCCACGGGGGTGCTCACAGTTATTGCTGATGTCCAGTGCAGCTGAAGAAGCTGCATAGAGACTATACCATTGCACCTATCCAGAAACAGAGTCATCACACTCTTTCCAACTGGCACACTACAACCCAACTGCAGATGAAAACCTTTCTCTACAAAAGCCATTCTAAAATGGAAGAGGTGATTGATCCACTAGATGTACAGACATCAATGTGAGGATGTGGGGACAAAAGAAACTCAAAAGTCAAGAAAATATGACACCACCAAAGGAACATAATAACTCACTAGTAAGAGACCCAAATGGGAAGGAAATCCACAAATTTCAAGAAAAGGAATTCAAAAAGAGATCTTAAGGAAATCAACAAGATACAAAAAAAAAAAAATACAGATAGACAATCTGATAAAAATCAAGAAAACAATTCACGATGTGAAAGACAAATTCAACAAAG
Source organism: Homo sapiens (assembly GCF_000001405.40). Taxonomy (NCBI): domain Eukaryota; kingdom Metazoa; phylum Chordata; class Mammalia; order Primates; family Hominidae; genus Homo; species Homo sapiens. The sequence goes on along the minus strand of NC_000010.11, from coordinate 103,534,114 downwards.
AGATAGAAACAATTTTAAAAGAAACAAACAGAAGTCCTGCAGCCAAAAAGTTCAATGAATGAAATAAAAAATGCAATAGAGAGCTTCAACAGCGCTTGATCAAGCAGAAGAAAGATTCTCTGAACTTGAAAGGTAGGTCATTTGAGCTAGGCGCGGTGGTTCACGCCTGTAATCCCAGCACTTAGGGAGGCCAAGGCGGGTGGATCACCAGAGGTCAGAAGTTCAAGACCAGCCTGACCAACATGGAGAAACCCCATCTCTACTAAAAATACAAAATTAGGCCGGGAGCGGTGGCTCAAGCCTGTAATCCCAGCACTTTGGGAGGCCAAGGCGGGCGGATCAGAAGGTCAGCAGATCGAGACCATCCTGGCTAACACGGTGAAACCCCGTCTCTACTAAAAATACAAAAAATTAGCCGGGTGTGATGGCGGGCGCCTGTAGTCCCAGCTACTCAGGAGGCTGAGGCAGGAGAATGGTGTGAACCCAGGAGGCAGAGCTTGCAGTGAGCCAAGATCGCGCCACTGCACTCCAGCCTGGGCGACAGAGTGAGACTCCATCTCAAAAAAAAAAATACAAAATTAGTCCGGCATCGTGGCTTATGCCTGTAATCCCAGCTACTCAGGAGGCTGAGGCAGGAGAATCACTTGAACCTAGGAGGCAGAGGTTGCAGTGAGCTGAGATCACGCCATTCCACTCCAGCCTGGGCAACAAGAGTGAAACTCCATCTCAAAAAAAAAAAGAAAAGAAAAAAGAAAGGTCATTTGAAATTACCCAGTCAGAGAAAAAAATAAATAAGAACAAAAAAGTCAAGAAAAATTACAAGACTTATGAGACATAATAAAGCAATCAAATATTTGTATTACAGTAGTTTTAAAAGGAGAAGAGAAGGGCCAGGCACAGTGGCTCAAGCTTGTAATCCCAGCACCTTGAGAGGCCAAGGCGGGTGGATCATGAGGTCAGGAGATGGACACCATCCTGGCTAACATGATGAAACCCCGTCTCTACTAAAAATACAAAAAAAATAGCCAGGCATGGTGGTGGGTGCCTGTGGTCCCAGCTACTCGGGAGGCTGAGGCAGGAGAATGGCGTGAAGCCAGGAGGCAGAGCTTGCAGTGAGCCAAGATCACGCCACTGCACTCCAGCCTAGGTGACAGAGCAAGACTCCATCTCAAAAAAAAAAAAAAAAAAAAAAAAGGAGAAGAGAAGGAAAAAGGTGTAGAAAACCTATTTAATGAAATAATAGCTGAAAACTTCTTAAGTCTGGGGAAAGATGTGGACATCCAGATCAAGGAAGCTCAAAGATTCCCAAATAGATTTAACCCAAAAAGGCCCTCCCTGAGGCCATTATAGTCAAATTGTAAAAAGTCAAAGATACAGAAAGTTCACAGAGAAAGCCTCCAAAAAAAGGAAAAAAAAAAGAGAATTCTAAAAACAGCAAGAGAAAAGCATTGAGTCACATATAAAGGAATATCTATTAGACTAAGAGCAGATTTCTCCACAGAATCCTTACAGGCCAGTAGAGAATGGGATGATACAGTCAAAGTGCTAAAAGAAAATAATCATCAGCCAATAATACCATATCCAGCAAAGCTATCCTTCAGAAATTAGGGAGAAATAGTCTTTCCCACACAAGCAAAAACTGAAAGAATTCATCACCACTGGACTAGCCTTACAAGAAATGCTCAATGGAATCCTACATCTGGAAGCAAAAAAGACAATCATCACTATCATGAAAACACATAAAAGTGTAAAACTCACTGGTAGAGCAAATACACAAAGGAGAAAAAGAATCAAACCTTATCACTACCAAAAAAACAAAAACCCAAACCACAATCATAAACAATAAGAAAGAAAGGATACACAAAACAATCAGAAAACAATTAATGAATTGACAGGGGCAAGTCCTCACCTATCAACAATAACCTTGAATGTAAACAGATTAAATTCCTCCATTTAAAAGACATACACTGCCTGAACGGATAAGAAAATAAATGACCTAACTATATGCTACCTACAGGAAACTCACTTCACCTGTAAAGACACATATAGACTGAAAATGAAGGGATGGATAAAGATATTCCATGCAAACAGAAACCAAAATTGGCAGGAAAAGCTATGCTTAACATCAGATAAAGCAGGCTTTAAGTCAAAATGGTAAATAGAGACAAGGTCATTATATAATGATAAAGGGATCAATTCAGCAAGAGGACATAACAATCATAAATTATATGTGCCAAACAATGGAGCATCCAGATATATAAAGCATAAATTATTAGATCTAAAGGGAGAGACAGAGGCCAGGCACAGTGGCTCATGCCTGTAATCCCAGCACTTTGGGAGACTGAGGCAGAAGGGTTATTTGAGGCCAGAAGTTCAAGACCAGCCTGGGCAACATAGTGAGACTTCATCTCTACTAAAAAAAAAAAAGAAAAAGCCAGGAATGGTAGTATGCACTTAGGAGGCTGAGGCAGGAGGATCACTTGAGCCCAAGGAGTTTGAGGATGCAGTGAGCTATGACCATGCTACTGCACTTCACTCTGGGCAATAAAGTGAGACCCTGTCTCAAAAAAAGTGGGGGCCAGACATGGTGCTCACATCTGTAATCCCAGCACTTTGGAAGGCCACAGCAGGAGGGTAGCTTGAGGCCAGGAGTTCAAGACCAGCCTGGGCAACATAGCAAGACTCCACCTCTAATAAATAAAAAAAATAAAAATGTTTCAAAAAGTAGAGACAGAACCCAATATAATAATGGTTAGGGACTTCAACACCTTACTCTTGGCATTGGATAGATCATCTAGATAGGAAATCAACAAAGAAACATTAAATTTAAACTGCACTATGTAAAGACATTTACAAAACATTTCATCAAACAGCTCTAGAACACATTTTTTTTTTGAGACAGGGTCTTGCTTTGTTGCCCAGGCTGGAGTGCAGTGGTACAATCTTGGCTCACTGCAACCTCCGCCTCCTGGGTTCAAGCAATTCTCCTGCCTCAGCCTCCCAAGTAGCTGGGATTACACGCACACACCACCACACCTGGCTAATTTTTGTATTTTTAGTAGAGACAGGGTGTCACCATATTGACCAAGCTGGTCTTGAACTCCTGACCTCTTGATCCACCTGCTCAGCCTCCCAAAGTGCTGGGATTATAGGCATAAGCCACCACGCCCAGGCAAATACATATTATTTTTATCAGCACATAGAACATTGTCCAGGATAGACCACATTTTAGGCCACAAAACAAGTCTCAACAATTCTAAAAGAACCGAAATCATGGCCAGGTGTGGTGGCTCATCCTGTAATCCCAGAACTTTGGGAGGCTGAGGCAGGTGGATCACCTGAGGTCGGGAGTTACAGACCAGCCTGGCCAACACAGTGAAACCCCGTCTCTACTAATAACACAAAAATTAGCTGGCTGTGGTGGCGCACACCTGTAATCTCTGCTAGCCAGGAGGCTGAAGCAGGAGAATTGTTTGAACCTGGGAGGCAGAGGTTGCAGTGAGCCCAAATCGTGCCACTGCACTCCAGCCTGGGTGACAGAGAAAAAAAAAAAAAAGAATTGAAATCATATCAACTATCATTTCTGACCATAATTAAACAAAACTAGAAATCAGTAACAACAATTTGTGAAATTGTACAAATACATAGAAATTAAATAACATGATCCTGAACAATCAATGGGTCAATACAGAAATTAAGAAGAAAATTTAAAAATGTCTTGAAACATATAAAAATAGAAACACAACAAAGCAAAACCTATAGGATACAGCAAAAGCAGTATTATGAGGAAAGTTTATAGGAATAAATGAATACAGTAAAAAAAAAAATCTAGTGAAGTATCTCAAGGCACTAGAAAAGAAAGAACAAACAAAACACAAAGTTAGTAGTGGGAAAGGTATAGTAAAGACCAGAGTAGAAATAAAATAAATTGAGACTAAAGAAAACACAAAAGATTGACAAAAAAAGTTGGTTTTTTTTGAGAGAATAAACATAATTGACAAGCCATTAGCTAGACTAACCAAGAAAAAAAGATAAAAGACCCAAATACATAAAATCAGAAATCAAAACAGAGACATTACAACTGATACCACAGAGGCTGCTCTGGCTGTGGAGTAGCCACTCTTTTGTTTCTTTACTTCTCTAATAGACTTGCTTTCACTTTACTCTGTGGACTCACCCCAAATTTTTTCTTGCATAAGATCCAAGAACCCTCTCTTGGGGTCTGAATTGTGACCGCTTTCCAGTAACATCTTCCATGGTGAATCACAAAGGGATGATACTGAAGAGACCCCTGACCCAAAGAAAATAGATTGCAGCATCAATTGGCCAACTTTGGAGTCAAGAAAACTTTTCAATTATTTACAGCTTTTAGCAATTGAGTAAAGAATCCTCCTGTAAGCAAAACTTGGAGCATATTTCTTTCTCTCTATTTGATTTCTCCAGAATTTGGAAACTATTTGTGAGTATTCTTAACTTATGGCAATATAGTTATTTACATAAGTGCAAAAAGCAACTGTTTTCTTTTGTAACAGAACACAGTTGGAGACTGGTTCTTTTACCAAGGCTTTGACTGGAATGGCATTCTTTCAGATATAAACAGATTCCTTTAAGGAATAAAAGCCCCTTGGGAAAACTGGCCTCATATCTTGTCTACACAGTCCCTGTACAGGGTTCCTCACCTGTGGTAAGTATAGAATGTCATTTTCTGGCAGGCTTAGGAGCCCCAAGTTATCTTGGGACCTCGAGAGGAGAGAAATTTACCCAGCTCATACAGGTATTTGCAGTCACAAACCCATGGCTCGGCTCAAGGCTTTAAAAAGTCTAATCCATGATTCCTTATCGAACAAAGATCCATCAAAGGCAATTTTAAAAGGTGCCTATATGGCAAATAATTATTCTTGCTGCACTTCTACAAACAATCAAGACAATTATAATAAGACTAAAGCTTATTTTGCAAATGAAACCATGATTTGGTTTTAATAAAAATGAAGACTGGAGAGAGAAAATTTGTATTTCAAAAACTATGGTACACCTGTTATTAGAGTCTAGTCTTATTTGCTGTTTTTTAGTTTTTTTCTGCAATTTAGATTGACCCTGCTTATTTCTGTGAATCAGTTAGTGATTTCTGGCTGCTGCTCAGAAGAAACAAGAGAAATAGGTAATATAAAAATCTGGATCAGTCTTCTAATTATGGGCATATACTGGAATTGGGTAGCAACCCCAAATCAGCTTGGTTCCAACACTTGCCCAGTTCCTTGGTTCCAACACTTGCCCAGTTCCAGTTCCTGGGAAGTTCCCAGTTCTTTCCAGGAACTGGGCAAGTCACAGTCAAATACCTGTGACTGCAAACTAAACTTATCATTTAGTTTGGTTGGAATGCTTTTACTTATATTGATTTACTGTTGTGAAACATATTGCTGTTGTACTCTTTGTGCAGGAATGCAGGATAAGCTTACTCAACAATTTCTTAAATTGAACACTTATTCTTCTTCCTGATATCACCTTTTGTCAGAAGTCAGAGTTATGAATGACCCTCACCATACCAACATTTTCTTTTTCTTTTCTTTTTTTTTTTTTTTTGAGACGGAGTCACGCTCTATTGCCCAGGCTGGAGTGCAGTGGCACTACCTCAGCTCACTGCAACCTCCGCCTCCCGGGTTCAAGCGATTCTCCTGTCTCAGCCTCCTAAATAGCTGGGACTATAGGCACACACCACCACACCTGGCTAATTTTTGTATTTTTTTTTCTTTCTGTTCTTTTGAGACAGAGTTTCACTCTGTTGCCCAGGCTGGAGTGCAATGGTGCAATCTTAGCTCACTGCAACATCCGCCTACCGGGTTCAGGTGATTCTCCTGCCTCAGCCTTTGAGTAGCTGGGATTACAGGCACCTGCCACCACGCCCAGCTAATTTTTGTATTTTTAGTAGAGATGGGGTTTCACCAGGTTGGCCAGGCTGGTCTCAAATTCCTGACCTCAGGTGATCCACCCACCTCAGCCTCCCAAAGTACTGGGATTACAGGCATGAGCCAACGTGCCTGGCCTAATTTTTGTATTTTTACTAGTGACAGGGTTTCACCATGTTGGCCAGGCTGGTCTCAAACTCCTGACCTGAGATGATTGGTCCACCTCGGCCTCCCAAAGTGCTGGGATTACAGGCGTGAGCCATTGTGCCCGGCCTTTATACCAATGTTTTCTGACTGAGCTCCTCTCTACTCTAAATACAAGAGACCCTAATAGATAGAAATATCATCACCCCTATTCAGCCAGCAGAAGTTAGAGAAGATAGATATTCATCCCTCTACAACCCATAGGATTAAGGGTCCCCTTGTAAAATGGAGGGAGAAATATGTCAGAGGTGTTCAAACCAGAGCCACTCCATCTTCAACAGGGCCTGGGTAAAATGAGACTGAGATATGCTGGGCTGCATTCCCAGGAGGTTAGGCATTCTTAGTCACAGGATGAGATAGGGAATCACAAGATACAAGTCACGAAGACCCTGCTGATGAAACGAGATACAATAGGCCAGGTGCAGTGACTCATGCCTGTAATCCCAGCACTTTGGGAGGCCAAGGTGGGCAGATCACCTGAGGTCAGGAGTTCAAGACCAGCCTGGCCAACATGGTGAAACCCCATCTCTGCTACAAATATAAAAATTAGCCTGGCATGGTTGTGCATGCCTGTAATCCCAGCTACTTGGAAGGCTGAAGCAGGAGAATCGCTTGAACCTGGGAGGTAGAGGTTGCTGTGAGCCAAGATTGTGTCAGGGCACTCCAGCCTGGGCAACAGAGCGAGACTCTGCCTCAAAAAAAAAAAACCAAAAAAAAAAGAAAAAAAGTGCAATAAAAAAATCCAGCCAGTCAAAACCTACCAAAACCAAGATAGCAATGAAAGTGCCAATAGCATACTAAAAAGACACTCCCACCAGTGCCATAACAGTTTACAAATGCCATGGCAACATCCCTAAGTTACCCTATATGGTCTAAAGGGAGGAGGAACTCTCAGTTCCAGGCATTGTCTGCCCCTTTCCTGGAAAACTCGAATAATCCACCCCTAATTTAGCATATGATAAGAAATAACCATAAAAATAGCCAACCAGGAGCCCTCAGGGCTGCTCTGTCTATGCAGTAGCCATTCTTTTGTTTCTTTACTTCTCTAATAAACTTGCTTTTACTTAAAAAAAAAAAAAGATGATACCACAGAAATACAAAGGATCATTAGAGACTATTACAAACAACTATACACAAACAAATTAGAAAGCCTAGTCGCTATAACCTGGCATTCATATGCAGAAAAATAAAAGAAAACCAGCCAGCGTGGTGGCTCATGCCTGTAATCCCAGCACCTTGGGAGGCCAAGGCAGGTGGATCATGACGTCAGGAGTTCAAGACCAGCCTGACCAACATGGTGAAACCCCATCTCTACTAAAAATACAAAAATTACCCGGGCATGGTGGTACGCACCTGTAATCCCAGCTCCTTGGGAGGCTGAGGCCGGAGAATCACTTGAAACCAGGAGGCAGAGGTTGCAGTGAGCTGACATCGTGCCACTGCACTCCAGCCTGAGTGACAGAGTGAGACTGTCTCAAAAAAAAAAGAAAAGAAAAGAAAAGAAAACCTAGCAGAAATTGAGAAATTCCTGGACACATGAAATCTACCAAGATTGAACCAAGAAGAAATATAAAACCAGAACAGACCAGTTCCAAGTAACAATATTGAATCTATAATAAGTCTTCCATCAAAGAAAAGCACAGGACCTGATGGCCTCGCTGCTGAATTCTACCAAACATCTGAAGAAAAACTAATGCCAATTCTTCTCAAACTCTTCCAGAAAATTAAGGGGGAAAGAATTCTTCTAAACTTATTCAATGAGGCCAGCATTACCCTATACCAAAACCAAACAAGTACACAACAAAAAAAAGAAAGCTACAGGCCAATATCTCTGGTAAATATAGAAGCAAAAAATCCTCAACAAAATACTGGTCAACCAAATTTAGCAGCACATCAAAAAGATGATTCACCATGATCAAGCAGAATTTATCTCAGGGATACAACATACACAAGTCAATAAACACAATATATCACATCAACAGAATGAAGGACAAAAACCATATGCTCCTCTCAATAGATGCACAAAAAGTACTTGATAAAATTCAACATCCCTTCATGATAAAAACTCTCAACAAGTTAGGTATAGAAGGAGTATATCTCAACACAGTAAAGGCCACATAGCACAAAATCATAGCCAACATCATACTGAAAGGGGATAAGTTGAAAGCTTTTTCTCCAAGATCCAAAACAAGACAAGAAAGCCCACTATTACCACTTTTATTCACCACAGTAGTGGAAGTACTAGCCAGAGCAATTAAGGAAGAGAAAAAAATAAAGAGCATCCATATTAGACAACAGGAAGTCAGATTGTCCCTATTTGCATATAAACTATCATATATAGAAAAACAAAAGACTTACAGTCACGATGGCTCACACCTGTAATCCCAGCACTTTGGGAGGAGGAGGCTGGTGGATCACTTGAGGTCAAGAGTTGGAGACCAGCCTGGCCAACATGGTGAAACTCCATATCTACTAAAAATACAAAAAGTGGCCCAGCATTGTAGCGCACACCTGTAATCCCAGCTACTTGGGTTGCTGAGGCAGGAGAATGGCTTGAACCCAGGAGGAGGAGGTTGTAGTGGGCCGAGGTGATGCCACTGCACTCCAGCCTGGGCAACAGAGTGAAAGTCTGTCTCAAAAAAAAAAAAAGAAAAAAGAAAGAAAGAAAGAAAAAAAACTCCACCAAAAAAACTCTGAGAACTAATAAATGAATTCAGTAAAATTTCAGAATACAAAATCAACATACAAAAATCAGTAGCATTTCTATACACCAACAACAAACTAGCAGAAAAAGAAACACAGCAATCCCATTTACAATAACTACAAAAAAAAAATCTAGGAATAAATTCAACCAAAGAAGTGAAAGATCTCTACAATAAGAACTGTTAAACACTGATGAAAAAAATTGAAGAGGACATAAAAAAACTGAAAGACATCCATGTTTATGGATTAAAAGAATTAATATTGTGAACATTACCATACCACCCAAAGCAATCTACAGATTCAATGCAACTCACAACAAAATACCAAAGACATTCTTCACAGAAATAGAAAAAACAATCCTAAAAATTCTATGGACCCCACCCCCCATATAGCCAAAGCAATCCTGAGCAAAAAGGACAAAGCTAGACATATCACACTACCAGACCTCAAAATATATTAAAAAGACCAAAACAACATGGCACTGGCATAAAAACAGACACATAGACCAATGGAACAGAATAGGAAATCCAGACATAAACCCATGTATTTATAGCAAAACTGATTTTCAATAAAGGTGACAAGAACATTCACTGGGGATGGAACAGTCTTTTCAACAAATGATGCTAGGAAAACTGGATATCCATATGCAGAAAAATGAAACTAGAGCCGTATCTCTCACCATATATAAAAATCAACTTAAAATTGGCTAAAGACTTAAATGTAAGACCCAAAACCATAAAACTACTAGAAGAAAACATAGAAGAAATGCTTCAGGACATTGGTCTGGGCAAAGATTTTATAAAGAAAACCTCAAAGCACGGGCAACAAAAGCAAAAGTAGACAAATGAAATTATATCAAACTAAAATGTTTCTGCACAGCAAGGGAAATAATCAAGAGAATGAAGAGATCACCTGCAGAATAGGAGAAAATATTTGCAAACTATTCATCTGACAAGGGGTTAATATCCAGAATATACAAGGGACTCAAACAACTCAACAGCAAAAAACAAACAAAAATCCTCCAATTAAAAAACAGGCAGATGAGCTGAATAGATATCTCTCAAAAGAATGCAGACAAAACCAACAAGTATATATTTTTAAATGTTCAACATCACTAACCATCAGGGATATGCAAATCAAAATGACAATGAAATATCATTGCACCCCAGTTATAGTGGCCATTATCAAAATAAACAAAAAATTACAAATGCTGGCAAGGAGGCAGAGAAAGGGGAACTCTTTCTGCAGGCGGGAATGTAAATTAGTACAGCCATTATGGAAAACAGTATCAAGGTTCCTCAGAAAAACTAAAAACAGAACTGCCATATGACCCAGCAATCCTTCTACTAGGTATATATCCAAAGGAAAGGAAATCATTATGTCAAAGAGCTGCACGCCCATGTTTATTGCAGCACTCTTCATAATAGCCAAGATATGAAATCAACCTAAGTGTCGATCAACAAGTAAATGGATAAAGACAATGTGGTATATATACACAATGGAATACTATTTAGCCATTTAAAAAATGAAATTCTGTCATTCATGGCAATATGAATGAGCTCAGAGGACATTACGATATTGAAATAAGCCAGGTACAGAAAGATAAATAGCAAATGTTCTCATTCATATGTGGAAGTGAAAAAAGTTGTTCTCATAGAGGTAGAGAACAGAATAGTAACCAGAGGCAGGGAAAAGGAAGGGGGAGAGGGATAACCAAAGGTTGGTTTACAGATTCAGAAGCACAGCTAGATAGAAGGGATAAGTGCTAGTGTTCTATAGCACTATAGGGTGACTATAACTAACAACAATTTATTGTACTTTTTTTTCTTTTTCTTTTCTTTTTTTTTTTGAGACAAGGTCTTGTTATGTCACCCAGGCTGGAGTGCAGTGGTGCCATCATCTCTCACTGCAGCCTTAAACTCTTGGACTCAAGTGATCCTTCCACCTTAGCCTCCAGAGTAGCTGGGACTACAGGCATGTGCCAACCTTCCTGGCAATTTTTTTTATTTTTTGTAAAGATGGGGGTCTCACTATGTTGCCCATGCTGGTCTCAAACCCCTAGCCTCAAGCGATCCTCCTGCCTCAGCTTCCCAAAGTGTTGGGATTACAAGCTTGAGCCACCAAGCCTGGCTCTGTATATTTTCAAATAGCTAGGAGAGTGGATTTGAATGTTCCCAGCACAAAGAAATGATAAGTGTTTGAGTTGATACACATGTTAATTACCCTGATTTGATTATAACACATTGACTATATATATCAAAATATCACTGTACCCCATAAAATGTATAATTATTATGTGACAATTAAAAATAATAAAGGCTAAAAAATACTGTCAAATTATATACAGGCAAGACAACTATAAAATCCTCAGTAAAAAAAAAACTAGAAGGATTTTGCCCCTAAAAAATTCAAAAGCATCTTTAGGCTCCTGTTGCACTTCAAAGCAGCCAAAACTGACTACTGGAGAGCGTGCCTTAGGAGGGTTCCTACAAGAGGTACTCAGGGAATTCCAACCAGCGGATCATGGCTCTGCATCAAGACACCAACTAGTAAATGCAAATTCGTGTGTTTTGGTGAAAATATTTATGTATGTATTATTTTATACTACTATTCCCTACATTGATGTTTTACCTAACAAACCAATAAGGTTTCATTCTGATTGCATGAGACAAAGACGACTTCTTTTTTTTTTTTTTTTTTTTGAAATGGAGTTTTGCTCTTGTTGCCCAGGCTGGAGTGCAATGGCGTGATCTTGGCTCACCGCAACCTCCACCTCCCGGGTTCAAGTGACTCTCCCGAGTAGCTGGGATTACAGGCATGTGCCACCACACCCGGCTAATTTTTTTTTTTTGTATTATTAGTAGAGATGGGGTTTCTTCACGTTGGTCAGGCTGGTCTCGAACTCCCAACCTCAGGTGACCCGCTCACCTCGGCTTCCCAAGGTTCTGGGATTACAGGCGTGAGCCACCATCCCTGGCAAGAGGACTTTTAAGAACATAAAAATGAAGACCCAGAAAAAAAAACGCATCAAAATGCTGACTGTCAGGCCTCTGAGCCCAAGCCAAGCCATCATATCCCCTGTGACCTGCACGTAAACATCCGGATGGCCTGAAGCAAGTGAAGAATCACAAAAGAAGTCAAAATGGCCAGTTCTTGCCTTAACTGATGACATTCCACCATTGTGATTTGTTCCTGCCCCACCTTAACCGAGTGATTAACCTTGTGAAATTCCTCCTCCTGGCTCAGAAGCTCCCCCACTGAGCACCTTGTGACCCCTGCCCCTGCCCACAAGAGAAAAACCCCCTTTGACTGTAATATTCCACCACCCACCCAAATCCTATAAAACGGCCCCAACCCTATCTCTTCACTGACTCTCTTTTCTGACTCAACCCGCCTGCACCCAGGTGAAATAAACAGCCTTGTTGCTCACACAAAGCCTGTTTGGTGGTCTCTTCACATGGACACACATGACATTTGGTGCCGAAACCCGGGCAGCTAGCATTCCAACTTCTGTCCCTTATGGCCAGTTTTTCTCCTTCTCATCGATCACTCCCACCTACTCTCCCAATGAAACTTCCGCCTATCAATCTCTTCCCACACAAGGCAAATGGTTCTTGGACCAAGGAGAATATCTCCTTCCAGCCTCACGGGCCCATTCTATTCTATCATCATTTCATAACCTCTTCTAGGTTGGTTACAAGCCACTAGCCCACCTGTTAGAACCTCTCATTTCCTTTCCATCATGGAAATCTATCCTTAAGGAAATCACTTCTCAGTGTTCCATCTGCTGTTCTGCTACTCGTCAGGGATTGTTCAGGCCCCCTCCCTTCCCTACACATCAAGCTCGGGGATTTGCCCCCGCCCAGGACTGGCAAATTGACTTTACTCACATGTCTCGAGTCAGGAAACTAAAATACCTCTTGGTCTAGGTAGACACTTTCACTGGATGGGTAGAGGCCTTTCCCACAGGGTCTGAGAAGGCCACTGCGGTCATTTCTTCCCTTCTGTCAGACATAATTCCTCGGTTTGGCCTTCCCACCTCTATACAGTCCAATAACGGACCGGCCCTTTATTAGTCAAATCACCCAAGCAGTTTCTCGGGCTTTGGGTATTCAGTAGAACCTTCATACCCCTTTCTGTCCTCAATCTTTAGGAAAGGTAGAACGGACTAATGGTCTTTTAAAAACACACCTCACGAAGCTCAGCCTCCAACTTAAAAAGGAGGACTCTGTCCAGGATAGAGCCCAAAAACTCACCAACCAAGCAAGTAATTACACTGAACCCCTTGGGCACTCTCTAATTGGATGTCCTGGGTCCTCCCAATTCTTAGTCCTTTAATACCTGTTTTTTTCCTTCTCTTATTCAGACCTTGTGTCTTCCGTTTAGTTTCTCAATTCATCCAAAACCGTATCCAGGCCATCACCAATCATTCTATAAGACAAATCCTCCTTCTAACAACCCCACAATATCACCCCTTACCACAGAATCTTCCGTCAGCTTAATCTCTCCCACTGTAGGTTCCCACGCCAACCCTAATCCCGCTGGAAGCAGCCCTGAGAAACATCACCCATTATCTCTCCATACCACCCCCCAAAATTTTCCCTGCCCCAACACTTCGACACTATTTTATGTTATTTTTCTTATTAATATAAGAAGACAGGAATGTCAGGCCTCTGAGCTCAAGCCAAGCCATCATATCCCCTGTGACCTGCACGTAAACATCCAGATGGCCTGAAGCAAGTGAAGAATCACAAAAGAAGTCAAAATGGTCGGTTCCTGCCTTAACTGATGACATTCCACCATTGTGATTTGTTCCTGCCCCACCTTAACTGAGTGATTAACCTTGTGAAATTCCTTCTCCTGGCTCAGAAGCTCCCCCACTGAGCACCTTGTGACCCTCGCCCCTGCCTGCAAGAGAAAAACCCCCCTTGACTGTAATTTTCCACTACCCACCCAAATCCTATAAAATGGCCCCACCCGTATCTCCCTTCACTGACTCTCTTTTCAGACTCAGCCCGCCTGCACCCAGGTGAAATATACAGCTTTATTGCTCACACAAAGCCTGTTTGGTGGTCTCTTCACACGGACGTACGTGACACTGACTTTAATCATTTATAAGTGAGTTCTTATTTTTTCCTTCATATGTTCTTGGATTTTCCTAAAAGTATATGTTACCTTTATAAAAATTTAAGCAATAAACTGTTTTTAAAGCAACTATCTGGGCCAGGAGCAGTGGCTTACACCTGTTATCCCAGCACTCTGGGAGGCTGAAGCAGGAGGATTGCTTGAGGCTAGGAGTGTGAGACCAGCCTGGACAACATAGTAAGACCCATCTCTAAAAAAAATTTAAAAATTAGCCAGAGTATGCTGGTACATGCCTGTAGTCTCGGCTACTCAGAGGCTAAAGTGGGAGAATTGCTTGAGCCCCGGGGGGTCAAGGCTGCAATAAACCATTATCACGCCACTGTACTCCAGCCTAGACAACAAAGCAAGACCCTGTCTCGAAAAAAAAAAAGAAACAACAACAACAACAAAAAACTATTGCTGGTGATGGTAGTAGAGTTTAAAATGGTGACAAAAGTGATGACGATGGTGTAATGTGATGTCCAGGACAGGTGGCCCAAAACAACAGGCTCAAGGGAGATTTGGCATCTTCTGGATAAGCCCTTAAGGGGTTCCTTAATCTCTATGGAGGGAACTAGACCCGACCAGCCCTCAGATGCATACGATGTGGAGCCCAGGCACTGACTCCCAGGGACTTGCACCAAGGCAGGTGAGCCCAGGACTCCACTGTGGTTATATTATGCACTTCTGGATACCTAGCCCTGCCTGGGCACTGAGGGGAAGAATATGAGAAGGAAACAAAATTTAACCTTTTCTAGACATAGGCACAACCACTGGCAATCACGTATCAATTATCTCATTTATTCCTTGATACCACTGGTCAAAGCAGCAAGACGACTCTGCTGACCATACTCTCTTTTGGGAGGGGACAGGGCTATAAAAGTTCATTTTTTAAAAAAGTGTTTTTTTCTTTCTTTCTTTCTTTCTTTTTTTTGAGACAGAGTCTTGCTCTGTTGCCTAGGCTGGAGTGTGATGGCACGATCTCGGCTCACTGCAACCTCCATCTTCCAGGTTCAAGCAATTCTCCTGCCTTAGCCTCCCGAGTAGCTGGGATTACAGGCACCCGCCACCATGCCCAGCTAATTTTTTTGTGTTTTTAGTAGAGACAGGGTTTCACCATGTTGCCCAGGCTGATTTTGAACTTCTAACCTCAAGCGATCCACCCGCCTCAGCCTCCCAAAGTGCTGGGATTATAGGCATGAGACACTGCGCCTATAAAAGTTTAAACTGTAAAAGCAATATGTGCTTATTGTTAAAAATAAATAAATATAACAGTACTGATTTGTGTGGAGTAAAAGCATCCCGTTCCCCAACACTACTCAACCCCAGCCAATTCTCCAGAGGTAGCCCCTGGTAACAGTTGGGTGGGTATCCACTCAGCCTTGGTCTGTGTGTGTACAAACAAACAAAGTAAATATGTCTGAGTGATAACTAGATGCACAGGTAGATATCAAGGTATGGAACCACAGAATAGAGTTGTTCCCCAAGATACCTGCACTGCTCACTCCCTCACCTCCTGCAAATGCCATCAGGTCTTCTCTGGCCCAACCTATTCAAAGTGCTGTTCCCCAGACCCCCCAACTCATAATCCCTGTATCTGCCTCACTCATGGTTTCTTTCTCTCCAGGGCATTTTTCATCATCTGACATCCATATGTCATGTTTTTGGGTTTTAAAAATCTGTCTCTCTTCATAAGAATATAATTCCATGAGACAGAGGACTTGTTCCCTGCTGTATCCTAGTACTTAGAACAGTGCCTGGCACACAGTAGGCATTGACTAAATACTGGTTGAAAGAAAGGAATGAAAGAAAAGAGGGAGAGAGAGGGAGGGAAGGGAAGGGAGAGGAAGAGGGGGAAGGAAAAATGTAGCACTCTAAATGCAAACAGGCCCATACTATACATATTACACAATTTGCTCTTTTAATAATATAGTAGACTTTTTTTTTAAATCATGGTACCTCATTAATGTGTAAAGCTGCAAGGTATTCCTGTGAATAGACGTCATCATTTACTTAACCCACTGCTTCCTTCCTGAAACTGTGTGGGCAGTAAGTGGAGAAAGGGGCAAAATAAGGTACTCCCAGTCCATGGCTCTTGGCAATAAGCTTTCCCAAATTTCAGTCTAGGAAATTGACTGTTCATGGATCAGGGCATGCAAAGTTACCCTCAAGAGACATAAAGGATACCTGGCTGGAGGTGAAGAAAAGATGTGTTCATTGGATGCCAAAGATCGGTGAAAAGGGGATGTCACTGAGGCACACTGCGGTGAGGCCCACGGGAGCAGAGCCAGGGAGATGGTGGCCTGCCAGGCCCAAGTGTTGGGTCCTCCTGGCAGGCATTTCCCTGTTGGTGAAGTGGCCTGGGCAAGGCTCAGAGCCCATAGGCATTGAACTCTCAGACTGTGTTCTCAACTTGCCAGGCCTAGAGCAAGTTCACCCAGCACTCAAAGAGCTGCTGCAGGGGAGAAGGTGCCAGGAAGTCCATCTGACAGAAAATTTCTCTTTGGGAAACAGTACATTGACTTCTGATTTGACTCATGAACCTTTGTGGACTTGATTACAGACAGCCAGGGGCTTCCAGTCCTATCAACTCAGAGGAGACACAGAGGAGATGAAATTTGGGGCCAGCTCAGGCAAAGGCCAGATGTGGGCAGGAGAGGACTCACTACGGAAACCAGCCCCTCAGGCTGACCCACCTAGCTCCTAGCTCACAAAGCCATTGTGTTGAGTAAATGAGGTCAGAGCTGTGGGTCTTGGGGCTCAGGGCCTGGTACACAGTAGGAGGTCATTAAACAGTAGGTATTTCTTGTTTATTATTAGAAGTTTGAAGAAGGTGAGTAATGGTATAGGGCAGGTCACACAATGGTGACTCACACCTGTAATCCCAACACTTTGGGAGGCCAAGGCAGGAGGATCGCTTGAGCCTAGGAGTTCAAGACCAGCCTCAGCAATATAGTGAGACCTCATCTCTACAAAAAGTTTAAAAATCAACTGAGCGTGGTAGCACATGCTGGTAGTCCCAGCTACTCAGGAGGCTGAGGTGGGAGGATCCCTTGAGCCCAGGAGGTGGAGGCTGCAGTAAGACGAGATCACGCCACTGTACTCCAGCCTGGGTGACAGAGTAGGACCCTGTCTCAAAAAAGAAAAAAGAAAAGGGAGGGAGGGAGGGAGGAAGGATGGAGGGAAGGAAGGAAGAAAGGAAGGGAGGGAGGGAGGAAAAGGAAAGGAAATAAATCAGGAAGTGTAAGTATTCCAGGTTTTTCTTCCAAAGAAGGAAGGAAGGAAGGAAGAGAGGGAGGGAGGGAGGGAGGAAGGAAGAAAGGAGAAAGGAGAAAGGAAAGTAAATAAATCAGGAAGTGTAAGTCCTCCAGGTTTTTCTTTCTTCCAGAATCGTACTGGTTATTCCAGGTCCCCTGAGGAGGAATCTACATTTTTCCAAGCTCTCCAGGCAATTCGTAGGCCCTTAGAGAACCACTGCACTGTGCCATATCATACCTCTAAACTCTGCTCCCTTGGCCTCTCTGGCCCTCTGACCTTTCCTGATTCTCCTTGTACCTCTCCCACACCTTCTTCATGGTTTCATTCTGTCCACCCTGTGATATTTCAACCACTCTCATGGTTTAAGTGACACCCACTGCTGACAACTCATTGTGGCCCTGATCTCTCTTCTGAGATTCAAGCTCACACATGGAGTTGCCAACCCAGCGTCTCCCCCAGGATATCTCAGGGCTCTTCTGACACACCCTGGCCAAAACTCAACCTATCATCTTTCCCTCCAACCCCCGCCTTCTGCTTGGGGTCCTGATGGGATCACCATTCTCCCAGTCACCTGAAAACCTGGCACCAGGAATAATCTTGGATTATTCCCTCACTCTCACCGCCTGCATCATTCAGTTATCAGTGCTGCCAAACACAACCTTTTATTTTTTTCTTTTCTTTTTTTTTTTTTTTTTGAGATGGGGTCTCACTCTATCACCCAGGCTGGAGTGCAGTCGTGCAGTCTCAGCTCACTGCAACCTTCACCTCCCAGGCTCAAATGATCCTCCCACCTCAGCCTCCCAAGTAGCTGGGACTACAGGCGCACACCACCACACTCGGCTAATTTTTTATATTTTTGTAGAAATGGTGTTTTGCAATGTTGCTCAGGCTGGTCTCAAACTCCTGGACTCAAGTGATCCACCTGCCTTGGCCTCCCAAAGTGCTGGGATTACAGGCATGAGCCACCGCACTCGGCCAAAGCACACCTCTTAAATATGTTTCAAACGTGTTCCTTCCTCTCTTGGACCACATCTGTAGTTCAGGCTTCAGCATCCCTCCCCTAGACAACTTCACTTCCTTCATAAGTGGTCTTCCAACTTGTCCCTCTTAACTCCATCCTCCACAGGGTAGCCAGCACGATCTTTCCAAAAAGCAAATCTAAAACTTTCAATAGCTCCTACTGCCCAGAGACACCTAGGGTCTGTGTGGACACTAGTTCATTCGTCATCTGGTTTCACTTTCATGGCTGAGCTAAATGTTTCACTAGGTGGTGATTTGTTCTTGGCAACAAGATGATCTTTTGCAAATGAGAGTCTCACTGACCTTGCAGAAGTGAAAGTTTACTATACCTTTATAAACAGCCTTGGCTAATGTACTAGCATGACTGCTAAAAGAGCAGTGACTGGAATTTTCATAGTAAACAATGCAGCATCTCCTACCCTAATTTCCCCAGCACCAGGGGCCTTCTAGTTAGGATTCCCCAGGCCCACACTTTCTAACATCTCTCTTTCCTTTTCCAGTCCCACACTGGTCAGTTACAGCCTCCTACGTCCCAGCTGTGCGTTTCCTGTGAAAAGAATAAGTGAGTAAATGAGAAGTTATTTTAAAGGATGTGAAGTGGGGAACTTCCTCTGGAAAGAATATCTAAACACACACTTGATGTTTCTTTTTTTTTTTTTTTTTTTTTTTTTTTTTGAGACAGAGTCTTGCTCTGTCGCCCAGACTGGAGTACGGCGGCGTGATCTCAGCTCACTGCAACCTCCGCCTCCCAGGCTCAAGCGATTCTCCTGCCTCAGCCTCCCGAATAGCTGGGATTACAGGTGCCCATCACCACACCTGGCTAATTTTTGTATTTTTAGTACAGACAGAGTTTCACCATGTTGGCCAGGCCAGTCTCAAACTCCTGACCTCAGGTGATCCACCTGCCTCGGCCTCCCAAAGTACTGGGATTACAGCCATGAGCCACCTGCCCAGCCTGATGTTTCTTGAGTAGACTGAGATAGAACTAAGGCCACAGGGTGGTGAGGTGGATGGGGAGAGGGGGCTGTCCAGAGAGAGCCCCAAGGCTGGCCTGAGGCACCTAGAGTTGAGCACACCCCTGTCGGTGGCCCTGGGCATGCATGCTTCCTGCCCCACTCCCTATCCTACGTATGGGGCCCTTAGGGTCCCTGGGTTTTGAAGTAGCTGCCCCAAATTAATAGCCTAGTTAATAAGTGTCAGAGTCAAGGTTTGAACCCAAGATCTGCCTGTCAATCTCACTCCCTTGCCACAGTGCCAGGGGCTACTCCCTCTGTTCTCCACCAGCCCTGCCCTCTCTGCAGGGCTGGGGGTCTGAGCAGGAGGACTTCCCCAGACAAACTTTTGGGTCTGAGGGGCCAGACCCTGCAGACTCAGGAGTCTAGAGTGAAGAGAAGCCCAGGGGCAGATGGCCCAGGCTGGGGCAGGAGGGGTCAGAGAGCAGAGGCCTCAAGGAGAGTCCACACTCCACTTGACAAGGAAAGGAGCCTGGGCACAGAGAGGGATAGTAACCAGCCCGGGGACGCGGTCCATGGCAGGTAAGAAACACTCCCTTTGGAAGGCCGAGGTGGGCAGATCACAAGGTCAAGAGATCGAGACCATCCTGACCAACATGGTGAAACCCCATCTCTACTAAAAATACAAAAAAAATTAGCTGGGCTTGGTGGCGCATGCTGTAGTCCCAGCTACTTGGGAGGCTGAGGTAGGAGAATTGCTTGAACCCCAGGAGGCGGAGGTTGCAGTGAGCCAAGATCGTGCCACTACACTCCAGCAAGACTCTGTCTCAAAAAAAAGAAAAAAAAAGAAAAAGAAACATCCCCAACTCAGTTCATCCAGGAGACCTCCTGGGAGAGGTGCAAAAAGAAAGAGAAAAAGTAAAAAGACTGAGCCTCTGGGACAGATGGGGGAAACCAAGGCTAAAGTCACACTGACAACAGCGGGGTCAGGGCCGGATCCAGCTCCCCCAGCCTCTTGGACACCTCTCCCTCTCCTCTCACCTCCCCTTCCTCCTCTCCCACAGCCCTCCCCCGGCCTCACTGCCCCAGGCCTCACACTAGCCTGCCCCAGAGGCCTTGGGGGATTCCCAAGCTGCAGACCACTCCAGCCAGATTCATCCGCACCCCTGTCCTCCCACCCCCCACCCTCACCAGCTCCTAGGCCAGAGGCACCCTGGCCCCACAGTATAGAGGTCTGAGAACCAGAGGACCAGGGGCCCTGGGTTCTAGACCTCCACCTGCTTCAACTTGCCCTGTGAGTCTGGGTAGGTCCCTGCTCCTCTGTGAGCCTCAGTTTCTCCTCTGTGAACTGACAGAGTTGGACATGACCCCAGACACTCTCCATTCCTGAGGCACTAGGCGTGGCTCGCGGCTGTCCGCAGTCTGTGAACCTGGCAGGGGCTGAGGTATCCCAGGGCTAGCCTCTGTGGCACAGGCACCTCAGTGAGCCTTGGAGAGGCCACTCAGGCCACACCCTGGGGCAGGGCCCAGTGGGGCCTCCCCAAAGCCCCCAATACCTCCCAGTGAAAAACAATGAATTTCATTCCAAATAAGGGAACTACAGCAAAGTTCCCTGCCACGGCCCAGTTCCGGCTGGTTTATGTTAGCTGGACAAGACTAAACAGACCTTCACATTCCCAGTAGTAAGCACTAAAAATGAAAATGTGCCTGCTTGTCTCTGGAGCACTGGGGCAAGGGAGAGGCCAGTGCTCCCCTGAGGCCTCCCGAGAGGCTCAGCAGACCTGGGGGCTGCCAGGGAGGGCTGCTGGGGAGCGAGCAAGACTTCAGCAGGCAGCAAAGCCGGGTGGGCACCGGGTGATGGTGGCCATGGTGGCCTGGGGGGGTGTCAATGGAGAGGGGCAGGGGGTCCTTTATGTCGTAGAGGTGGGAATGTGACAGGGAACCAGAAATGAGAAGGTAGAGGGAGAGAGAAAGACGGGGAAGGAGTGAGGCAGCCAGAGACGAGAAGACCCTAGGGGCCCCCACCACCTGCCTTGACTGGGAGGCCAGGAGGGAGGGAAGAGGGGAGAGAAGGGACCCAGCCACTTCCTGGACAACACAGCACCTTGTTCCCAGTCCCCCTCCTGCCTCCCTCAGTGTGGACACAACTAGCTTAAGATAAGAATTTAATTATTTACAAAACAGAGACACCTGAAGCCCTCCCCTTTCCCACACAAGCCTCCCTCCACACATACCTGCCCTTGAGCCCAGCCCAACCCTGCGGGCGCTGGGGAAACTGCCGAGCAGCACAGCTCCCGTCCTTTTTATGTTTGTTTGGTAGAGATGGGGTTTCTCCATGTCACCCAGGCTGGTCTTGAACTCCTGGGCTCAAGCAATCCACCCACTTCAGCCTTCCAAAGTGCTGGGATTCCAAGCATGAACCACCTCACCCAGCCAGTTCCCATCTTAGAAATGACTAAACTACTTGGAGGGACAGAGAAGTGCCCTGCCCAAGGTCACCTATCTGTGGCTGGCAGAGCCAGGACCAATGGTCCCCACAGCTTTTGAGTCCTGTGGGTTGGCTGCACAGCCTCAGGCCACACTGTCACTGGTCAGCCTTGCCTCATGGCTACACATAGGTGGCTCCATCTCCTCCATCAGCTCCTTGCCCACTCCCAAGAGAAAGCCCCTCTCTGTCCATCTAAACTTCTCCACCATTCTTCAAAGCAAACCCCTTCTCCTGGAAGTTCTCCCTGATTCCATTCAGCCTAACTGACCACTCTCTCCTCTGACTTCTGACCTCCCTCTGCCCAAGTGATCAGCAGCACAAGTTCTATAAGGGCAGAACCATGTCTGTCTCCAGAGCCTGGCACAAGGCCTGACACCTAAAGAGCACCCAAAGAACATCTGTGCCATCAATGAATGAATGAATGAATGAAGCAATGGTTCCATCTTGCTCTTGTCTGGGCTCCAGAGCCTGGTATTCAGAAAATGTCATTTCAGCAGAGAACTAACTGGATGTGGCTGCGGCAGCCCTGAAGAGCCCATAGAAGAAAAGTTTGAATTCCCCAGAATCAGCCCATTCTTGCATTAATTTCAAAACATAGTTGAGTGCCTACTGTGTGTGCCAGGCACTGGTGGTGGTGATACAGCAGTAAGCAAGAGAGACAGTAAAAAATACAGACAAGCAAACAGGCCTGGCAGCTAGTGTGATCAGTGCGAGGATGGTGAAGCCCAGGGCAGCCAGAGAGGGACAGCAGAAGCCATCTAACCCACCCGGTGGTCAGGGAAAGCTTCCTAGAGTAGGCGAAGCTAAGCCAAGACCTGAAGGATGAGCCCAACGATGGCAACCATAGCTAATATTTATTATGCTTTTATTACTAGTCAAGCATTACCTCAAATAAGGAATTAGGACATGGAGAAGTTAAGCTTTGAGGCCCAGGGAGCCAAGACAAAGTCCAATTCCAGAGTCTATGCCTTGGCTACAGTGCATTCTATCCTGCCTACCTTTCCTCTTCCCTCCTTGCACCCCAGGTCCCCTCAGATGCTGCTGGAGAATTCCAGAGGCCTGCTGGGCTGCACCAGCGTCAGCATGTGGGTTGGGTTTCCATAGCCCAGTGGGACCCCCAGGCCTCTCAGCCTCTCAGGTTCCATGGCCAGGCCAAGAGAGGGGGCCTGGGGGTCCCTGCAGACCCAGAGCTCCCCCTGTGTCCCTGGGACAGACTGGCTGGTGGAGAAAGTTCCCCCTCTTCTCAAGTGCCTGAGTTTCCTGCACTTCAGGGAAAGGACTCTATCCCAAAGATGTCCTTTCAGAGCACAGAAGAGATTGCCCTAGACCTGGAAAGCATGTCCCCCACTCACTCCTATCCTGTCGCCTGTTTTGGTAAAACAAAGGAGGGCCTCTGAGATGGGGAAGTCCACCTGCAGCAGGGTGGATGCGGGCTAAGAGGCCAAGTCAGGAGCCCCCCCATTCAAGGCCCACTGGCAATGGTGTGACCTGGGCAGTGGAAATGGGAAACAGCGGCGGGGGGTGGCCTGGAAACATCCAGGAAATAAGGCCAAGACCGCCTGCCTGAGAAACTTCTAGGGGGGTCTTGAGCAACACCTGGGAAGGAAGAGGGCTTCCCAGAGCTCAAAGCCCAGGACAAATGGAATGGAACTTTTTCTTCCCAGCAACTTTAGCTCTCCAAGAGAAGGATCCACATTGGAGGTAGCAAGAGAGAAACAGAGGAGGGGTGTGGGTGGCAGTCCTATATAGACACAGATGTTTCTCAGGCAGGGGTCAGCCCAGCCAGGGGTGAAGAACAGCCCCTCTGGGTCTCAGCCCCTCAGCACAGCACAAGGGAGACAGCTGGGCCCCTTCAGAACCTGGCTTGCCACATGTCTTTGCCCACTGCCTGGCCTAGGTAAGAGCTGGCCTACAAGGAGGGGGGCTGTTGGCCCAACCTGGCCCATCTCCCGCCCCACAGAGCCACATGCCAAGCCCCAGGGACCCAGATTTAACATGTCCCACTCGATGTGTGCTCACTCTCCCCAGGGGCCGCTCAGCACACGTTAAGATCCAATTGGCACTAATTGGACCAAGCTGGCAGTGCCCAGGGCAGCCTGAGTCCTGTCACCATGGATTTGACTCACCAAGCAAAGCAGTGGCCGTGGGTGTCTACGGAGCCCACCATTAGTGTCATTTTGGGAAGCTCAAGTGAACATGGATGGTGCTTTGTGAGTCAACATCACTGTCCGGCCAAAGCTTGCAGCCAGAGACCTAGAGCTTATAAGTGACTTACCCACAAACAGTCTTACACCAAGGCCAGGGCTGGAGCCTGGGCCTCCCAGGTGTCAGCTCAGAGGTTGCTCTACCGGCCCCTTCATCTGCTGATGGCCCCAGGAAGTCTCCTCTAGAAGAGGAAGGAGGTTCTAGCTCTTCCCTTCCTCCCAGGGTACAAGACCTCCACCCTGATCATCAAACCCCACCCAGGGAGAGAATCTCAACCCAATTCCAGAATACTGAGCTCCAAAATGGACTCTTGACCACAAGACTGAAACACAATCACAAATCCTGGACCCTGAAACGGAAACCTGCCCTCCAGGAATGGAACCCTCATCCTCAACCTGGAACCCATACTCCCAAATGGGAGCCTCAAGATCAGCCCAAAATCTTGCCTGCAGAAATAGCACCTTCACCCCAAAATACCACCTCATGCCTCAGGAACTGAGAACCTTAGCACCAGACAGAAAACCTCCACTTTCAGAAAAAGTCCTGAATCTTGGGGAGGGAGCTCTCTCTTCAAAAGCCGATCTGGCCTCTTCTTATACAGAAATGAGCCGCACAATGACATTTCGTTCAATGACAGATCACATATAAGACAGTGATCCCATAAGATTATGACGGAGCTGAAAAATTCCTATCACCCAGTGATGTCGTAGCCATGATAACATCATCGTGCAATGCATTATGTTACCTTTTCTATGGTTAGGTGCATAAATACTTACCCTTGTGTTACCACTGCCTGCGGTATCTAGCACAGTAATGCTATATAGGTTTGTAGCCAAGGAACAATAGGCCACAACACATAGCCTAGATGTGCAGGAGGCTACACCATCTAGGTTTGTGTAAGTGCACTCTGTGCTGTTCCCCTATGACGAAATCGCCTAACAACACAATTCTCAGAATGTGTCCCCATTGTTAAGCCACACACAACTGTATTTGGTTTCTTTCTCTTTTTTTTTTTTTTTTTTGAGACAGAGTCTTGCTCTGTCACCCAGGCTGCTGGAGTGCAGTGGTGCGATCTTGGCTCACTGCAGCCTCTGCCTCCTGGGTTCAAGTGATTCTCCTGCCTCAGCCTCCTGAGTAGCTGGGACTAACAGGTGTGCGCCACCACACCCAGCTAATTGTTTTGTATTTTTAATAGAGATGGGCTTTCGCCATGTTGGCCGGGCTGGTCTCGAACTCCTGACCTCAGGTGATCCACCCGCCTCAGCCTCGTGCTAAGGAGGTGAAGCTAAGCCAAAGCCACCCAAAGTGCTGGGATTACAGACATGAGCCACCGCACCTGACCCTGTATTTGGTTTCTTTAACACAACCTCAACTTGGGGGATCAGATGAGGAAACCCAAGATCCCTAAAACAGCTTCTTTCACATTTTGCTGTGAAGGAGGCAGGACTCCCTCATGCACACAGAGCCCTAGTTTCCTGGCGGGCTGCCCTCTGAGGCCGAAACTTTCATGTGAGTGGCATTCTGCTCCCTCATGACCTATCCCAACCGCTTCCTCCAACCCCTGGGCCCACATCAGGGTCTGCATGTCTGGCTGGTCTCCTCAGTCCCACAGATCTGCAAACGCCAGCCTCAGAAAGGGAAAACCCCTTCTGCCCCTCTCAGGCACTGGCTAAGCCCTCTCAGCCCTCCAAAGAGGGGGTTTCCTGCATGGGACTTGCGGAGGGGTGGGTGAGAAAGTCTGTCCACCCAGACAGGGCTGGCACTCCATTGAGTCCAAGGTCTGCCTTTGTCCCTCGGGGCTGGAAGAGAAGTCAGGGCGCTCAGAGACAGAAAGAGGTCCTAGCTGTATCCTGAGGATGAGAGTCGCAAATGGATGTCACCCTAATGCTAATTCAAAGAGGTCCCATGAAGAGACCCAGGAAGAATCTGAGTGAGATTTGGAAGATCGGACTTTCACAGTCCTGTGGCAATTCGGACTCAGTGTCTCCTCTGTAAAGTGTGCTGTGAATTCTGTCATGGGAGGGGAGAGGGGTTGGTTACATGCTTTTCAAATTCGAGGGACCTGACCCTGTGAGAAGTCCCCAAGCCCAGGGGCGGAGACAAACAGGCGTTTCCTCCTCTCCCCACTTTCCCAGCTGTTGCCTGGTTCTCAGCTGCTCTTCCGCATTCTGTTTTACTACAGGGCCATCCATCCAGTCCCTCTTGCTTGTCCATCCCTTGACAGTTTTATAATTTAATAAGTGCTGAGCCCCAGGGTGGGGGTCTGGGGCTTTGATCTCCACTCTGGGAAAGCCAGAGCAACCTTGGCCTGTCCCGGCTGATTTATGGCCACCTTTCAGGGGCTTGTGTGTGTGTGGCTGGGAACTGGAACCTACAGGGAGGCGAGCCACCTGAGAGAGCCTGGCTGGGGCAGGGCTGCAGGTCCCTGGCAGAAAAGAAGCCAGGTGCACATCACACCGCAGGTGCTGCCTCTGCCCTCCTGGGAGCCACCTGTGACAGGCAGAGAGGACATTAATGATTGATGGTGTCCCAAGGGGTAGGGATGGAACCACAGCTCAGAGCCTGCCCAGCCTGCTCACCTGTCTCTCTTCCTGGCTGTAAAACCTCACACCCACGGCAGGAGCACAGGTCCCAAGTGTGCACACCCTGACCTTCCACAGAGCCCCCAGGTGCATGTTGACCACTGCCACAGATGTCAGGATTCAGAGATGGCACAAGCAGCTCCCCAACAGCTCCCTCTCCTGGACCCACCTCCAGAGCTTCAAGTTGACCTTCTAAAGTATCTCCCGAGTCAATCTGCTCGCCTGCCCAACTCTGACAGAAGCCACACCTCTCTCCTTGCATAAAGGACTGCAGTGGACTCCTGCCTGGCCCCTCTCCACCCCTCCCCATCTCTTGCCCCAAGAGCCTACTAGCACATCTAAGTGATCCTGTCACTCTTCTGTTTAAGGCTCTTCAGTGACTCCCCTCAGGCGTCACACTCTAAGCAGAGGAGCATCTGCATCACATTTAGGGCCAGCACTTGTCCCCCTCAGGTGTTCCTCTGGAGTCAGCTTCCAGCAGCTCCTAAGAGCATCATCCTGCAAGGTCAGAGCCTGGGGATCTTGTTACTGCTTGGTCCAATCCAGCTGTATGACCTTGGGCAGGTCACTTTCCCACTCTGGGGCCAAGGGGACCTGAGATGAGAAAGCAGGTAGGGCAAAACAATCTCCATGATACACTTGGGTTCTGATGTTTGAATCAGTGGCCACCAGCCCTTCCACCAGGAACCAAGCACAGGCCTGACTTTGTGCCTGTGCTTGGTACCTGCCAGACCTTCTCCCTTCGGGAAGAATGTGTTTAAAGGAACATTAGCTGGAAAGAGCAGGGCAAGAAAAGGAAAAGAAAGCAGAAGTGGGCCGGGCACAGCGGCACACACCTGTAATCCCCCGTACTTTGGGAGGCCGAGGCAGGCAGATCACTTGAGGTCAGGAGTTCAAGACCAGCCTGGCCAACATGGTGAAACCCTGTCTCTACTAAAAATACAAAAATTAGCTGGGCGTGGTGGTGCACACCTGTAGTCTCAGCTATTTGGGAGGCTGAGGCATGAGAATCGCTTGAACCCGGGAGGTGGAGGCTGCAGTGAGCCAAGACTGCACCACTATACTCCAGCCTGGGCGACAGAGTGAGACTCCGTCTCAAAAAAAAAAAAAGCAGACAGCAGACGTGAAGGAGGAGGAGGAGGAGGAAGAAGGGAGGACCCTCCTGCCAATAAGGACCGACTGAATTGGACAAGGCAGGGCCCTGAGTATGTCAGGGCAGAGACCATGCCCAGTACTCACCTCTCAATTCTCCATACCCAGCACCATGCCTAGCTCAGAGCAGGCACCAATACATGAAATGAATCAGCTAGAATATCCTTACAGCCTCATTCTACCCTGATTGGGCCAGAGTGCCTCCTCCCCTCCCTCTCAGGGGCACCTGGACACCCATACTTGGACACACATACTCTGGACTGCCCCATGCCCTGGAGAACATCAGCCTCTCAGCAGACACCAGGCAGGGGCTGGGGCAAGCCAAGTGGGAAGGATGAAGGTGAAAGCCAAGAGCATGTGGACCTGCCATCATCTTAATCCTAGCAACCTCGCCTGTCAACGTTCTCCCTTTTCCGTCCTTACCCCAACCGCTGGAGCAGCCAGGATGGCATTCTAGGGCAACAAGGCTAAAGAAGGCCATCTGGGTAAGCCAGCAGACATACTTCCCTCTTCTGTCCCCCCATCCCAAGAAGGGCCCTCTCTCCTCCTCCTCCTCCCCTGTCCCCACACAGTCTGTGATCAGCAATGTACTTCCACGGACAGAATGAGTGAGAAGCGGGTGGGACACCTCTGAGAGGCAAGGAAGCAGCTACTTAATGATTTTCTGCTGAAAGTTCCTTGGCCAGGAGGGCTGGGGTGACTCTGGCCAGGGCTCAGCCCTGCTGTACCCGGCAGCAGCTCTGAGCCAGTCCTGAGCTCCTTCTCCTAAGAACACCCTTCATGTGGCCTCCATACCCAGCTCAACTGGGGTAGTACTGCCCCGTCTAGGGTGCTTTTTAAGATACAGAAGAGCTGGCTGGCTGGACATGGTGGCTCATGCCTGTAAACCCAACACGTTAGGAGGCTAAGGTGGGAGGATCACTTGAGGCCAGGAGTTTGAGACCAGCCTGGGCAACATAGTGACATCCTGTCTCTACAAAAATTAAAAAATTAGCCAGGGCTGAGAGCAATGGCTGAAGCCTGTAATACCAACATTTTGGGAGGCCAAGGTGGACAGATCACCTGAGGTCAGGAGTTCAAGACCAGCCTGGCCAACATGGCAAAACCTTGTTTCTACTAAAAAATACAAAAATTAGCCAGGTGTGGTGGTAGGTGCCTGTAATCCCAGCTATTCGGGAGGCTGAGGCAGAGAGAATTGCTTGAACCCAGACATGGAGGTTGCAGTGAGCTGAGATCGCACCAGTGCACTCCAACCTGGGCAGCAGAGCAAGACTCCGTCTACCAAAAAAAAAAAAAAAAAAATTAGCTGGGCTTGGTATTGTGTGCCTGTAGACCCAGCTACTCAGGAGGCTGAGGTGGGAGGATTGCTTGAGCCCAGAAGGTTGAGGCTGCAGCAAGCCAAGGTCACAACCACCACACTCCAGAGCCTGGATAACAAGGCAAGACTTTGTTTCTTTAAAAAAAAAAAAAAAAAGATACAGGAGAGCTATTATTTTTTTAATGGCACATTGGCATTTGGAGCGGCCAGTGGCATTTAATCGGCAGAGGCCAAGGATGAGAAATGAACAGTTCTCGCCTAACGTGCTAGTAGCTTCCCATCTAGGAACTGAGGCCAACCCCTACTCATTTTCAGGTCACTTCCTAGAGAAACCTTCCCTGATCCCCAAGACCAAGTCAAGTTCCCCCCTTATAGCTCCCTAGTTTCTCCTTCAAAGCCTTTACCCAGAGATAATTGTTTGGGTAAGAAATTAAAGAAGTAGTGGAGAAGAACTGTTAAAGATAGCGGGGCCTCTGGCCTCCAGGAGGTGGAACGTAAACACCCACCCCTGTGGAGCGTAACCCCCCCACCGCTTAAGTGTGGGCTGCACACAGTGACTTCCTTCCAAAGAATGCAATAGAAAGGGAGGAAAGTGTAACTTTAACTGCACAATGGAGAGACCTGACAAGCACTCCCTCAGCCAGGCGCTCAAGGTCAACATCAACAGCAATGAGTCATGTTGACAGCATGTGCCGTTGATATGATGGGAAATGGCACTTTACCTCTGTGGTCTTTCACTCCAAAACCTAAAACCGCAATCTAATCATGAGAAGAACACCACAAAAATCCCAATAGAGAGACAGTCTACAAATACGTAACCAGTAATCCTCAAAACTGTCAAGGTCATCAAAAGCAAGGAAAGTGTGAGAAATTGTCACAACCAAGAGGAGGGAGACTAAGAAAACATGACAACAGGCCAGGCACAGTGGCTCCCGCCTGTAATCCCAGCACTCTGGGAGGCCGAGGAGGGCAGATCACAAGTTCAGGGGTTCAAGACCAGCCTGACCAACATGGTGAAACCCCAGCTCTCTAAAAATACAAAAATTAGCCGGGCGTGGTGGTGTGTGCCTGTAATCCCAGCTACTCAGGAGGCTGAGGCAGAAGAATACCTTGAACCTGGAAGGCAGATGTTGCAGTGAGCTGAGATGGCGCCACTGCACTCCAGCCTGGGCGACAGAGTGAAATTCTGTCTCCAAAAAGATAAATAAATAAATAAATAAATAAATAAATAAATAAATAAATAAAATACTAGCCAGGCATGATGGTGCACACCTGTAGTCTTAGCTACTCAGGAGGCTGTGGAGGGAGGATCCATTGAGCCCGGGGGGTGAGGCTGCAGTGAGCTGTGATCACGCCACTGCACTCCAACCTGGGCAGCAGAACAAGACCCTGTCTCAAAAAAAAAAAAAAAAAAAAGCCAGGGGGAGCACAGCATGAGCTCTAGCACATATATGTTAGCAATTGTGATCTCCAGATTCATTTTTATGCATTTGTCATTTTTGTTCCCATCTGCCTTCCCACTAAAGGGTAAGCTGGAAGTGGTGAGCACTCACCTATTGCATTTCTCACCGTATCGGCGTGCCCAGGAAGGTGTCTAGCCCACGGCTGATGGCCCTCAGCTGATGCTTAGTTTAACAATGAAATGAGCTCTCCCACCTACCTCTTACCGTCCCCATCAGTGCATCCCACAAACCCCAACTCTCATCCTCAGAGAACTTCAGTTCCCAAGCCCAGTGCCAGAGCCCCACCTCCCCTTGGAACTGTCACTAGAGCAGAGAAAAAGCCAAGGCCTCCCACCTGCCTCCCAGTGACTCCTGCTTATTCCTCCTCCTCTTCTCTTAGCCCTTCTTTTTCTCTAAGTTCTGCCCTCTTACCCCCTACAAGTGTCAACACCTGCTCATTTCCCAAAGCCATCCGGGGGATGACTCCTGATAAGCATCTTTTAATAAACTCTGGAGCTGGATCTGTCATCCAGAAGCTATATTCTCCCTCTCCCCAGCCCCTCACCACCTCCCACTTCCTGGGCTGGCCCATTAGCGCCTCTGGTCTGGCCAGGCGGGACCCACAGGCTCCACAGGGCCTTTGGACTCTGGCTTGCTGGAAATGGCCAAAAGGCAGCCCAGGCTATTTGGGAAGCTGGCCCTCCTATCGGCCAGCTTGTCTCAGCAGCCAGGGCCAGTTCTGCCTGTGCCACCGAGCCTGATGCTGGCCAGTTCACTTCCCTCCATCCCTGAGGCAGGTTTCCCAGGCGTTACCAAGGAGACCACTTGCATCCTGCCCAGGGTTGCCAAAGCAACCGGCTCAGCGTGAAGCAGCCCCTCAGTTCTAGCCCCTGGGTGTGCAGGTCCAGGAATGAGACAGGCACAAACTAACAGGAAACAGGCGGCCCTGGCACACCCTGGGCAGTGCCCAGCTCCCACCCTCCTTCCTATCCTCACTCTTCCTCCTTTTCTTACTGCTTTTGCTCGTCCTGCCTCCATCTTGGGCTCTGTGATTTAGAACCAATGCCTGTGCCTCACTGTGCACACCTTGGAAGTGAGCACATGCCATCTGCTATGGACTGAATTTTACCCGCCCCCTCAATATTCATATATTGAAACCCTAATGCCCAATATGACTATATTTGGAGATAGGGTCTTTAGGAGGTAATTAAGTTAAATGAGGTCAGAGGGGTGAGGTCCTGATCTGATAGGATTAGCGGCTTTATAATAAGAGGAAGAGAGAAAGATCGTTCTCGCTCCATATGCACACACCAAGGACAGGCCATGTGAGGCCACAGCAAGAAGGAGCCACCTGAAAGCCAGGAAGAGGGCCCTCAATGGAACCTGACAGTGCTGGCACCTTGATCTCAGACTTCCAGCCTCCAGGACTCTGAGAAAATGCATTTCCATTGTTTAAGCCATCCAGTCTGTAGTATTTTGTTATGGCAGAACAAGCCGACTAAGACACCATCCCAGAGGGCCCAGGAAAAGAGTCCTAATATGGAGAAATTCCCCCCAAGATCAGTTTCCTCGCTGATCAGCTTTGGTGTCCTGAGTAGAGATCCCAGCCCTGCTCTTTCCTAGCTCAGTGTTTCTGGGCAGCACTCTTCACATCCATTAATCTCAGCTGTCTCGTGTATAAAATGGGAATAATAAGAGCCTGGCACAGTGGTGTGCGCCTGCAGTCCCAGTTACTCAGGAGGCTGAAGCAGGAGGATCGCTTGAGCCCGGGAGTTTGAATCTAGCCTGGGTAACATACAGAGACTCTGTCTCTACAATAAATAAATAATGGCCGGGTGTGGTGGCTCACGCCTATAATCCCAGCACTTTGGGAGGCCGAGACGGGCAGACCTCCTGAGGTCAGGTGTTCGAGACCAGCCTGGCCAACATGGCAAAACTCTGTCTCTACTAACAATACAAAAATTAGCTGGACTTTGGTGGCAGGCGCCTGTAGTCCCAGCTACTCAGGAGGCTGGGGCAGGAGAATCACTTGAACCCGGGAGGCAGAGGTTGCAGTGAGCTGAGATCACGCCATTGCACTCCAGCCTGGGTGACAAGAGGGAAACTCCGTCTCAAAATAATAATAATAATAATAATAATAATAAATAAAGTGGGAATAATACCTACCTCTCCTTTATGGGGAGATTAAATGAATTTATTTACATGAATACACCTAGCATCAGAACTTGGGCTTCTTAAAAATCCTTTCATTGCTGGTTTTTGTTGTTTTTTTTTCCTGCCTATGAGCAGTGGTCCTGCTGCCCATAGCTGTGGGTTGGAAATGCTTTCAGACTTGCCCATGGGAACTCCAGATGAGCAGGTCAGCTTGGCTGTCACGCCCAGCCCTTTCAGCGTGGCCTAGGACAGAAGGCTGACAGCCTCTGTGAACCTCTCAGCAGCTCAAGATGCCTCATCTCCTCCTCTCCCCAGCCTGCCTTCCACCACTGTTGGTGCTGTTGAAATAAAATCACTACATGCATCTTGCTCAAAAGCTGTCCATGGCTCCCAATGCCTACAGGATAAAATCTAACCTCCTCGTCCTAATATCATAGGCCCTCCAAGATATGACCCTAGCCTACCTTCAAAGATTGACCTGTTAACCTCCCCACTGGGGACCCCACATCCAGGCAAGAGGACTGCTCACCATCCCTGAACACATCCTGTGTTTCTCTGCCTCTGTGCCTTTGCTGCCAGCCCACTCACCAAGACACCTTTCTAGCTCCCCTCCAAATCTCCCCCATCCAACTCTGGGCTCTCCTCCTCTGAGGAGCCTGGTCCCACCTCCTCCAAGCATGCAAGAGTAGGACTGTTCTGAGGCCCCAGAGTCACAACAGTTCTCAGATCTTGAGGACCCTGTTAAACACGCAGGTTTGAGGGTCCCATCCCCAATATATTCTGAGTCAGCGGGTCTGAGCTGGGGGCTGGGAACCTGCATGGTATACATGCTTCCAGCTAATGCTGATGCAGGCAGTAGAAAAACCTCACTCTGAGAAACACTGGCCCCAAAGAACCACAAGTTTCCTCCAAAGTGTCTAAAACCCCGAAGAAAGCGTAAGGGGGAGGAGGCTGGGAATTCCAGACTAGCACAGCCCTCCTGATCTTCTGGTTAGCCAAGGGAGAAAGCATCAAGAACCCCATTGTGTGCCCTTTCCCGGCCCTGGGGCTCTGTCCAGAGACGCAAAAATTACTCCCCCATCTCTCTCCCACAATGAAAGACAGAGCCCACCCAAGGCTAAATGCTACAGGGGCAGGATAATACAGCGATCACAATAATAAACTCTAAAGTCTGAGAGCCCTGGCTTTGAATCCCAGCCCCATCAGTTTCTAACTGTGTGGACTGGGATAAGTTACTTAACCTCTCTTAGCCCCTTTTCCCCCATCTGTAAAACAGTGACAATGCTACCTCCTTCTGTAGGTTGTTGGGAGGGTATTAATGGAAATAATCCACATATAAGAACTTGGTACAAAGTAACCACCCAGTGCATGGTAGCTATTGTAAATATTATTATGATAATTAACATAACAGGGTTCAAAGGTAAAACCGAACTGAAAACCAACAGGGCATGCAGGATGGGTGCTCTGGGTTCAACACGGGGCTGACGCAGCCAGTCACTCTGAGGAGGCCACCAGGCACCCCCTAGATCCGTCTGCTGCATTCCCGGGGGTGGAGAGCTGGATGAGCTCACCTAATCTGCAAGCGTCATGACAACCAAGGAAGGAGCCCAGACAAGAGCTGAGGGAAGATCTGTGGGTTGACCAAAGAATGGAGACCTTGAATATCCCATTATGGTGACTGAAGCGGGGAAGGGTATGATGAAGATAGTACTTTGGGAGAATCACTCCGGCAGCATCGAAGGAGGGACCGGAGGCAGAGAAGCCAATTAGGATGGCAGCTGTGGCAATATCTGGGATGAGGACTCAGATAGGGGAAGTAGCAGCGAGAATGTGAATGCAGAAAAATGGCTAGAGGCTGAGCACAGTGGCCCCAGCATTTTGGGAGGCCAAGGCAGGAGGTCTGCTTGAGTCCAGGAGTTCCAGACCATCCTGGGCAACATGGCAAGATGCCATCTCTTAAAAAAAAACCTACAGAAATAAGCCAGGAGTGGTGGCGTGGGCCTGTGGTCCCAGCTACTTGGGAGGCTGAGGCAGGAGGATCACTTGAGCCCAGGAGGTTGAGGCTTCAATGAGCCAAGATCCACCACTGCACTCCAGCTGAAAGAAAAGAAAAGAAAAGAAAAGAAGGAAGGGAAGGAGGAAGGAAGGGAAGGAAAGAAGGAAGGAAGGAAGGAGGGAAGAAGAGAAGGAAGGAAGGAAGGGAGGGAAGGAGGGAGGGAGGGAGAGAAAGAAAAATAGCTAAGACCTTGTCCAAGGATGAGCCTTCCCCTGCCCCTGCTCTCATCCCCAGAGAGTAGTGAGGAAATTCAGGGTCTACAGACACTCTGGCCCACCACAAGAATCAAGACCCTTAGTCAACCTTTGCAGCTTCTCCTTCAGCCCCCCAGCAGCCTCAGCCATCATAGAAAAGAGACTGAAAACAACAGGTGTCTCGCTGGCGTCACACCCAGCCAGAGCTGGAGGGGGACGGCCTTCCTACAACTGTCACAACCAGTGACTTTGTGAAGTATCCAATTCAAGAAGCACCACCTTTTGAAAGATGGGAGGTGTACTCTTAGGTGTATACCCAGAAGAACCGAAAACAGGTGTTCAAACAAAGACTTAGACACAGATGTTCATAGCAGCATTATTCATGAAAACCAAAAGGTAGAAACATCCTAAAGTCCACCAACTGATGAATGGATAAGTGAAATGTGGCATACTCTTACAATAGAATATTATTCAACCACAAAAGGAAAAAAGGTGCACGCTACAACATGGATGAAACTTGAAAAGATTATGCTAAGTAAAAGACGCTTGACACAAAAGGACAAATATTGTATCCTTCCATGTATATTAAACGCCTGGAATAGGCGAGTCCATACAGACAAAGAGTAGATTCGTGGTTTCCAGGGATTCAGGGGAGAGGGTAACAGGAGTGACTGCTTAATGGGCATGGCATTTCCTTTTGGGATGATAAAAATATTCTGGAATTAGGTAGAGGCGGTGGTTGTACAATATTGTAAATGTACTAAATGCCACTGAATTATACATTTTAAAATGGTAAATTTCAGGTTATATAAATTTTACAATAAAAAACAATGGGCCTGGCGCGGTGGCTCACACCTGTAATCCCAGCACTTTGGGAGGCCGAGGCGGGCGGATCACAAGGTCAGGAGATCGAGACCATCCTGGCTAACACGGTGAAACTCCATCTCTACTAAAAATACAAAAAATTAGCCGGGCGCGGTGGCGGGCGCCTGTAGTCCCAGCTACTCGGGAGGCTGAGGCGGGAGAAGGCGTGAACCCGGGAGGCGGAGCTTGCAGTGAGCCGAGATCGCGCCACTGCACTCCAGCCTGGGCGACAGAGCGAGACTCCGTCTCAAAAATAAAAAATAAAAGGAGGTAGCCCATCCAGTCAGGCACTCAGAAAGACCTGGGCAAGGAGGAAAATCTTTATTCTTTGTATTTTTCTCCAAGAGGCATGAACCTCCTGTGCACCCTACCCCAGTCACTCTGTGCCCCTCACTGAAAATATATACATAACTTCCATATACATATACTTTCTATTTCATGTAATATATAGATATACGCTCAAGCCCCTCCAAGCCTTTACTGTCAGTGCCTTTCCCCCTTCTTCCACACCCTAGGACTCTGCTGCATCCCTTGCTTTCTGTCCAGTTCCTGCAGTTCCCTCCATGTCCAGCTCAGATCCTCCCCTGATACCCCTTGTCTGACCTCTGCCCACATATCTGGGTTTCGACAGTACAACCAAGCAAACACTTGATTCCATTCACTCCCTCATCCATGCCTTTTGAGTAGATCTCCAGCCTGGGAAAGCCCAGGGGTGTCTTATCTCTGAGCTGGGCACATGGGAGCTCCTCGGGCACTGCCTGTTGGTTCTAAGCCCAGAGCTACACCGTGGACCTCTCCCCTGAACACTCCTAGACCAACGCTGTTCAGAACCCAGTGGGAATCACCAGCAGCAGAGTGGGGTCAGTGTGTTCCCAGGAAGAAGACCAAAGTCTATCACCCGAGAGGCGATGGTGGGGTCCCATGTCCCATGTCATGTCAGCCTAACAGCCAGACCAATCTTAGATCTCCAATCAGTCCCAGGATCCCCATTATACCAGGTCCCTTCCAGTTGTTTTAATTAAAATGGTGAGGAATCAAGAGACTGAAATTATGTAAGGAGAGAAAAAAATCAAGACAGTCACTCCACCCCTACTCCCAGCAAATTTCTGGATGAGCACTGACAAGAATTAGAGATGAATTCAAGCTGAGTACAGACGCCATCCCAGCAGAACTCTGGCTAGGCAGTTAGCATCACAGCCTATCAGGTCAACACCAACACAATTAGAATGAACTTCTGGCTGACCACTGATATACCAGAGAAGACTCGTAGGTCAATGCTGATACATTTAGAAGAGAATTGGGAATAAACACTAAACAATTACAGAATAAAGGTGATGGCTCTATTAGGGTAGAAAGACGGGAAGAAGTCCTTAGAAGTCAAGCTGAGAAGGAGGATCAGTGGACCTTGGGTGAAGGACAGAGCCAACAACTGGCGGCCTTCATGGGTACCTTCTGTCCTTCATTTCAGGCTTAGTAGGGGCGGGATCAAAATTCCCATGGTCACCTACAGTGGTGTGTGGATGGGGCCCCCACTCCTGCCTTCTGCCAAAGACCCTAGCCACAGAGACCTCAGATCCCCACAATTCCAAATTTTAGATTAAAAAGATGCAATTAGTTGGGAGCTCTCTGGGTTTCCACAGAGTCAAGGATGGAGCAAGACCTTCTCAGGAAGATAGTCTGTGAATATTAAGGGCCAACTAACCCCTGCCCCCAGCTAACCCTTGCCCCCTGAAGGACAGGGCCAAGTTTTGCCACTTTAATTTGGGCAAATAATTATTCTTTTCCCTCATTATTCTCACTTGCAGAGAAGGTTGAGCTGAACGATATTCATAGGTTCATTAGGAATCTGTTTCCAATGCTCAGAAACAGTCTTCATACTTGCTAACACTGATAGCTTATTTCTGATTACAAAAATAATACTTCCTTATTATAGAAATTTTAGAAAAGAGCAAAATATAAAAAAGAAAAAATGCAATCCCATATGATCCTATACCCAGAGGAAATAATTGTTAACCCTTTGGAAACTTTACAAGCATTTTTGCTTGTTTTGTTTTTGTTGGGGTTTTTTGCATTCACACCACTTTTTAAACAAAATTGGGATCATACAGTCTTCACAACTTTGTATTCTGTCGTTATACTGTGAGCATTTTCCACAGTCATCAACTATTCTTCACAAATATAATTGTAATCACTGCATAGTACTCTACCAAGAATATATACCATGATTACTGAGCATTTAGGTTATCCACCTAGTATAAATAACACTGCCATGAACATCCTAGCCTAGTGCCATAAGTATATATTCCTGCATCTCCACTTCCTTAGTATCAATTCCTCAAGGTAGAATTACAAGGTCAACAAACTGATTTTTTTTTTTTTTTTAGCAAGACAGAGTCTCGCTCTGTCGCTCAGGCTGGAGTGCAGTGGAACGATCTCAGCTCACTGCAACTTCCATCTGCCAGATTCAAGGGATTCTCCTGCCTATCTGCCTCCCAAGTAGCTGGGATCATAGGCACGCACCACTATGCCCGGCTAATTTTTGTATTTTTAGTAGAGACAGTGTTTCGCCATGTTGGCCAGGCTGGTCTGGAACTCCTGACCTCAAGTGATCCACCTGCCTCAGCCTCCCAAAGTGCTCGGATTACAGGCGTGAGCCACCGCACCCTGCCAACAAATTGATATTTTTAAAGTATCTTGACATGTATTGCCATATTAATTTCCAGAAAGACACAACAAATCCACTGATTTTCCTGAGCCAAGTGAAAGCTGAAGTTCTGAAAGAGCTGGAG
Organism: Homo sapiens; assembly: GCF_000001405.40. Classification (NCBI taxonomy): domain Eukaryota; kingdom Metazoa; phylum Chordata; class Mammalia; order Primates; family Hominidae; genus Homo; species Homo sapiens. Next base: position 103,495,705 of record NC_000010.11, on the reverse strand, counting down.
TATTAGAATGCAGGACAGTGGTCCTATCTCTCCTCCTCTTCCCTGGTCTTAAAAGTTAACTGTTCAGCAAAAGAAGGGACAGAATTCCAAGTCAAAAGATAGGGGTCTACAGCCTAGCACCTAGCGCCGAGGTCTGGCTGGCTTTGGGAACCTGAAGCAAGCCTTGGTTCTCCTCATCTGTAAAATGGGTATAGTGTGATTAGCTCTGCTCTGCTGACTACCCCAAGCAGTGTCCATGCTCACTGAAAATGTGTTTGAGAAAGTTCGATGCCTTGTGTTAAAGGGCACTATTGTTATCCTTCTCATAACCTGAGGAGCTTAGGAAGTGGGGTATTCTTTCTGAAAGCCCAAGGGCTTCCCTTCCTGGCTTTTAGCCATCATGCCCAGGACAAGTGCCACTGGTTCTGAGGTGACAGAAAAGCACCTTCCGGAAGGAATTTAGTAGGGTCTGAGGGCCCGGGAGGACCCAGCAGTGTCTTCCAAAGGTCAGAGACAGCATTGGAAGATCCAAGACAGGAATGGCAGGCTCCGAATGGGGAGACTGGGCCTAGGGCCACCCTGAGGGTGCTGAGTGGATCTGGGGAGGTGAAGAGCAAAGACATTCCTAGTAAATGTCCCTCTGTTTCAAGGCTCCCAGACCCTCTTTTCTAGGGCTCTGACTGGATATCTGGTCTTTGGGAAAACCAGAAATCAAACTAATTCAATGGATGCAAAAACCCAACGGCTGCAAAGGACCCCAGGAACCAGCAGCTCTGACCCTTTCTTCCAGGCTGCTGTAATCCTGTCCTGAATTTTTAAAACCCTCCCATTGGAAATGCAACTAGTGCTCCCAGCCTGGTCTCTCCAGCCCTAGGGCCGATGGAAAGGAGACCCATCGAGGTGCCTCCCTGGAGACACGGACGACCCAAGCTTCCCTCCTCACTCCCCACTCCCCTATCGACCTGGCAAACATCCTTTCCCATCTCTTCAGGCTCGCCTAAGACCATGGCCTGAGGGGACTCCAGTGACGTTCCCAGTGCCAGCAGACAGAACTGCGCAGACCCCGCGGGACGCCATCCTCCATCACCATCATCGCCGGCTGCCCTCCACCCCCAGCCCACTCCACGGCCAGAGGTGCATCTCCGGCCTCCAGACACGCACAACAGGTGGCGTCTGCCCGCCCTCCCCAACCACACCTCCCTGGCCCTCCACCTGCGCCCCAGTCCTCCAGCAGCGCTCGGCCGGGGAGCCTACCTTTGAGGTTCTGGGGGTGGCCCCGCGGCGCGCGGCTCGGGTTTCCTCGGGGCAGCGAGGGGATACTGGAGAAGTTGTTACCCATGGCATCCGGCCCCAGGAGGTTCGGCGCTCGCGGGTGGGGGCGAGGCCGGGCAGGCGCTGAGGTGCGGTGTGCGAGTGTGCGCGCGCGGGTGCGCGCCACCGGGGGAGGGCCCTGCTGGGGCTGCAGCCGGGGGCGGGCGGGCAGCTCCTCAGCTTCCTTTCTCTGGACTTCGCGGTCCTTGGCGGGTTCCGCCCGCCACGGGTGTCCTGGCGCAGGCTGGGCTACCTGCCTCCCATGCCCCGTGGCGGGAGCGGGGGCCACAAGCAGGGCCCTGGGCCGGGGCCGGGGACGCCCGGGGCTCCCCGCTTGCTCCCCGGGACGCTAGGGTTCCGGCTGGGGGTGGGCGGCGCGGCGGCTCCGGCGCGCTCCCCCGGGGCCATAGAGTCAGGGTCGCTGGCGTGGGCGTTCGGCGGCTCCGAGGCAGGCTCGGTTACCGCCCCGCGGAGACGGCCGCGGCGGCGATGTGCGTGGCTCCCTCCCGCCCGCGGGTCTGCGTGGAGCGGGGCTCGGCGGAGCGCGGGGCGTTCTGGGCGCTCCGACGCAGCTGGTGTCCCCCGACCGCCGCGGTCCCGCCCGCGCCGGGTCCCTCCTGCGACCGCCGCCCCCGCCCCCCGCCCCGGCAGTCTCCAGGATTCCCTCGCTCCGGTTGTTATGGTGACAGCTGCGCCGGTGAATGAGCGTCTTAGTGACACGCGCGCGCCCGCTAGGCCAGATGTGGCCCCGGGGCGCGCCGCGTTCCCGTAGCCGCAAGCTCTCGGCGGCGCGGGTCGGGGTAAGACATCAGGCGAGTATGGTGGCACCCGGGGCTGGCCTTATTCCCAGCACGGAAACATGGAACTTGCACTTGAAAACAAGGGGAGCAGGGCCGCGAGAACGCCGAGCTCCCCGGATGCGGGGGCGGGCGAGCCAGCACTAATGTTCGGTTTCCCTAGCTCCAGGTACCGGGCCTGGCGCAGAGTGGAGAGCCCAGGGAAACATGTAAATGAGCGAGCGGATGCTTGGATAAAGTAATTGAGATTAGAACCCCGGCACTTGACCCTCCGTTCTCAGCCAGGCTAGGGGCACTAGGGCAAGGGTTCAGAGCAGGAACCCCGGGCAGTCTCACTGATGCACAGATGCCACTGAGGGCCTTTGAATGCCCGCGGACCAGACTCACAAGCCTGGAGCTCTGGCCAAGCTGAGGGAACAGATCTCCGGGACAGATCATCAGAAGACCACCAGCTCTGAACTGAGTGGTTCTGTTAGCTATAACAAGGTGGGGGAGAGGAGCCTCTGCAGCCTATGGCAGTCAAAGAAGGCTTCCTGGAGGAAGGGGGTTTCAGCAAGGGCCCTGCTCATGTGGCTAGTGCCTTCCTGTAGCTCAACACTGCACCAAGAAGCCTTCAGGAAGGGAAACAGAAGTCATTCTTCTCCTTCCTGGACCCGGGGCATCTCTCCTGGTCTATCAGGGATGGAAGATGTTCCAAGGTTCCCCCCAGGGAATCAGACTTCCTGCTCCTCTAAGTCATCTCTAGCTCCCTGCTCTGGCTTCAGCAACTCAGATCCAGAGTCCAGTGAAGACATGGGTGGGCAGGGGGACATCTCATGTATCCTTTTCTGTAATAAAGGTTCTTCCCCCAAGTCTCCATTTGGCAGCTCCTCATTATCTAGGCACAATTCGTGTCCTGACATTCCCTGACTGCCCCAACTAAAGGACCCCCTCCACTGTCAGTCACTTTCCACAATATTCCATTTTATTTTCATCATAGCTTTTATATGGAACTTGTTTACAAGTAGCCTTTCCTCGTTTATCTTCTGCCTCCCTGCTAGAACATAAGCTCTGTGAGGGGAGAGCACAGGTCAGTCGTGTTCACCAGGGTGTCCTTACCCACTGGGGGAATGCCTGGCATGTGACAGATTCTCAGAAAATAATTGTGGAATGCATGCTTCCCACTGTGGGCCAGGAGGCTCCACTGAGATCCCTGGGGGCAGAGCCTCCTGAACCACCCTTTATTTTCCTCTCCTACTCTCCTCTCTCCATCCCCATTCCAGGCATTCTACCCTTAAATGTCTGGGACTCCAGGCAAGCTAGAAATATCTGTGACAGCCACTGTCTCTCTGGAATCTGGAGGGAAAGGCAGCCCCGAACCCGGCCTCCAGCCTCCCAGATGCCCAGGATCACGTGTGCAGGCAGCTGCAGATGGCCACAGCAGGTCAGGGATGGCTGTCTTATTTATGGGCAGTATCTTCCCAAGGCTCACTCCCAGCTAATGACTCATGCATCAGAAATCCACAGGCTCTTAATGGCAACACACTCACACATGTGCTAACACACCGCTACACTATCTCACACACTCACACCTATACAAGCACACACACTTATATTCCCCCTGAAATCTGCCGGAATGAAGTCACTGTGAGTGGCCACTAGAATCAGGCCTTTCACAAGTTAGAACAAATATGAGGACTCTGCATAGTTGAGACTCATCCTGCTAGAGTGTGTTTGAAGTACAAGGGCCTAGCTAGGATTTACAGACGGTGGCTCCAGGGAAGCCTGGTGTGGGCAGGGGAATGGGGGAGGGGATGAGGCCCCAAAGGTAGAGCACAGCAGGGATGTCTTGAACTGCTGACCTCAGGTGATCCACCTGCCTCGGACTCCCAAAGTACTGGGATTACAGGCATGAGCCACCGCGCCTGACAAAGGGATGTCACAGGCCCCACATGGCCTAGACCTGGGGCTATGGGCAAAGCAGGGGAGAGAGGAAGACGTCAAAGGGAAGGAGGGAAGTGAAGGCCAGAGGCGGATGCTCACCTGAGTCCAGAGGCAGCCCAGGTTCTGCAGTTCAGGGCAGCGTGATCCCAGGGAGTCCCAAAGGAAGGTGAGAGGCGTCAGGGACAAAGGCAGGGAACTGAGGGTTGAGGAGCTGATGGGAGTATCAATAGGGCTGGGATAGGATGAGGTAGCCAAGGCATCCCTGGCGCAAAATTGAAGAAGGCGCCAACTCTCAAGTTCATGCAGATACCAAGCTTGCACTTGCGCGAGCCTGGGAATTAGGTCCTCTTATATTTCACGCCCTAGGCCCCTCTCTACCTTCACCCTAGTACTTCAGGGAGCTCTGTACTGGAAGAGGGGACACCACTGTTAGAGTCAACTAGGTCTCTGGCCAGGAAGGGACCTAGAGGAGGTTGGTGTGGCTGCATAGGACTCAGAGAAGTTGAGCGTGGCCCTTCTGAGGAGTCCTGTGCCCCAGCAACTCCTCCCTGGCAGGGACTTAGGGTAGACCCAGCTCAGAGGGTTAAAGAAGGCCAGCAGTCTCCTTACCCCCAGACCTTGGGCAGAACTCAGAGGCCTTCCTGCCATCCTTCCCCAAGGCAGCTCATAGGGGTGGGGTGCCTGGGTGGTGGCTCTGATCCAGAAGACCCTTCCCAGACCCATCCTGGAAGGGAAGAGGAAGAAGGAAACTGCCAGGGAGACTGGGGCTGATGAAGTCACTGTTTTGATGGCTTCAGGGGAAGCTATTAATACCCACAAGGTGATGCTCCAGCACCAGTCACCGTGGCAACACCCACACACCCAGCAGTGCAGATTCTGCGGGCAGTGCCTGAGGGGGTGGGTGTCAGTGCACACGTGTGCACTTTCGCGAACACCTGTGTCCTTGTATGTGCATGCGTAGGTGTTGTGAGTGCACACACAGGCATGCAGGAGAGGGAGGCCCCAGGCAGGGACCTGAGGAAGCTTCCTTCAACAGCAGCTCCACTCCCACCTTCCCTTCCTTCCCTGTTGCTCTCTTCTTGCTGATTTCTCTTTTTTTTTTTTTTATACAGAGTCTTGCCCAGTGGGAGCACAGTGGCACGATCTCAGCTCACTGCAATCTTGCAACCTCCACCTTCCAGGTTCAAGCAATTCTCCAACCTCAGCTTCCCGAGTAGCTGGGACTACAGGCACACACCATCATGTCCAGCTAATTTTTTTTCCTTCTTTTTTTTTTTTTTTTTTTGAGACGGAGTCTCGCTGTGTCACCCAGGCTGGAGTGCAGTGGCGCGATCTCAGCTCACTGCAAACTCCGCCCCCTGGGTTCACGCCATTCTCCTGCCTCAGCCTCCTGAGTAGCTGGGAATACAGGTGCCTGCCACTACGCCCGGCTAATTTTTTGCATATTTGGTGGAGATGGGGTTTCACCGTGTTAGCCAGGATGGTCTCAATCTCCTTACCTCGTGATCCACCCGCCTCGGCCTCCCAAAGTGCTGGGATTACAGGCATGAGCCACCGTGCCCAGCCAATTTTTGTATTTTTAATTGAGATGGGGTTTCACCGTGTTGGCCAGGTTGGTCCCTAACTCCTGACCTCAAGTGATCCGCCCGCCTCAGCCTCCCAAAGTGCTGGGATTACAGGAGTGAGCCACCGCACCTGGCCCTTGCTGGTTTCTTTCACTCTCTACCCCCTTCCCACCCCCTCTCGTCTTTCCCCCTGCCCTTCCTTCTCTGCTTCTTCCCACCCTGGTCACTTTCTCTCCTTGCAACCTCTGTTCTTCCCACCCTGGCTGTCCGCTCCTGCCTGGTTCGCCTCTCTCTACCTCCCTTCCTCTTTCTCTCTCTCCATAGCTTCCAGATCCATTCAAGTCTTGAAGAGTTACCGCGTTGATAAAATAATAGCATATTTAACTGAGAGTCTACTCCCTTCCCTGAGCCTCTGGATACTGAGTTCAGAACCAACCAGAGTGATGACCTTTCCTCAGGCAGACAAAAGTGGGGCGCCTCTAGGCCAAGCTGGACTCCCCTGAATTGAGACCACCCTAGTCAATGGCATGACACCTCCCTCCAGGCAGAGAAATTAACCTTAAAATGGGAAACAGCCACAACTATCCCTGGCTACCACAGGTAGCACCCTCCCATTCCCCAAGTCCCAGCCCATTGTTTCATTTTGTTTGGGTTTTGTTTATTTGTTTGTTTGTTTGAGACAGAGTCTAACTCTATCACCCAGGCTGGAGTGCAGTGGCATGATCTCAGCTCACTGCAACCTCTCCTCCTGGGTTCAAGCAATTCTCGTGCCTCAGCCTCCTGAGTAGCTGGGATTGCAGGTGCGTGCCATCACGGTCAGCTAATTTTTGTATTTTTAGAAGAGACAGGATTTTGCCATGTTGGCCAGGCTGGTCTTGAACTCCTGACCTCAATTGATCTGCCCACCTTGGCCTCCCAAAGTGCTGGGATTACAGGCGTGAGCCACTGCACTCCGCCTGGTTTTGGTATTTAGAGCTGAGGGTCTCACTCTGTCACCAGGCTGGAATGCAGAGGCGTGATCATAGCTCACTGCAACCTCGACCTCCTGGGCTCAAACGATGCTCCCACCTCAATCTCGAGTAGCTGGGACTACAGGCATGCGCCACCACACCTGACTAATTTTTTATTTATTTGTGTTTTGTAAGAGATGAGAGCTCAGTTTGTTGCTCAGGCTGGTCTTGAACTCCTGGCTTCAGGTCCCGACTAGGCCACCCAAAGCTCTGGGATTATAGGCATGTGCCACCATGTCCACCCAGCCACCAGCCCATAGTTAATCAGACTATCAGAAAAGCTGTCGGGGGAGAGGGTGGTGTCCTGTCTGAACTTCAGGGGGTGGCTGGACAAGTTGGAGGGGTAGATCTCTGAGTGCCTGTGCCTGATGCCTAGTGCATACTCAATAACTAGTTATTAAATAAATGAATGAATAAAGAAATGGATGGATTAAGCTGTCGGGCCCTCCCTCTGAAGGATGGAAGTCTGTGCTGCCCATTTTAGGATGGAATGGGCCCTATGCCATCTTATTCCCAGGTATTTTTGGGATTCAGCTTCACTCATTGCCCAGTGACCATTTATTGAGCACTACCTGTATCCCTGGCGCTGATGAGATGCAGTTTCCTTGCTAGCACCATGGGGCAGCCTGTCCTCTGCTTTTTGTGCACTCCAGTCCCAGTTCCCCACCTCCCAGGCCCAGGTTCAGAGCTGAACATACAGCAGGTCTGACCGCATAGCTGGGCTGGGCACGTTGCTCTGAGCTCCAAACTTTTTTGATCACGCACCCCTAGCAGTAATAAATTTTTAAAGTGTGTACACCAATATATGTATATTTCTTTATTTATAATTTCTAAAAATGCACTACTGTATTCATATTATGTATATTATGAAACATAGACTAATGATATTGAAAAAGGGATCATCTTGCCCTCCTCCTGGGGTGCACACACACTCTAGACTAATAATTCTCAAACTTAAACGTGCATCAGAATCATCTATGAGGCCTTGGGGAGAGGGGGAGAAAGTTACTAAAATGCAGACTCCCAGACCTCACCCCTTGAGACTTAGATTGAGCAGAGTATGATACAGGTCATTTATTGATTACACATTGGGAAACTGCTCCACATGGTCACATGTTCTAGTTGTGAAGACGGTGTTTAAAGAAGGCCTACAGGCTTTCTCGGGGGAAAGCTGGACACCCCATGGGGACCAGGCCAGTGCTGGCTGCCACACAAGCAGGGCTAACTTATTGGAAGAGGTGACTGTGCAAGGAGGTAGCAGGGGTGAATCCCAGCCCCTTCCTCTGCCCCACAGACAAACTTGCCCTCTGGGAGGTGGCCCCTGAATCCAGGATCAGTTGTGAGGTCTTCATAGACCCCCAAACTCTTATTTTGGAGCCCAACCCTGTCAGGCCAAATGTACTAAAATATACCGCATTCCACATTAAACATCATTTTCTTGCAGTAAACATTTTGAAAGGATTTTTACAAATTTGGCTTTTGGAATCACTGGATGACAAGGGACTCACTGAATTTACAACTGGTTTTATTTCTAAGCAATCATGCGTGTGCTGGATGCCTTGCCAAGTGAGAAAAAAACTATGTTTGTCTTCAAATATAATGAAATGTTTATGAGTACTACATTTAGCAATCAATGACATTGATACAACAAAGGCATTTAAGTGAACATTTATTAATTTTGGTTTGAAGTTTTCCTTTCATAACTTGAGGACAGTAATGTTTTTTTCTGGTCTCAAGCAGATGCTTTAAAAGTTCATAGGCTTAAGTACCCATAGCACCCATGGAAAAAATCCAGACCTGAGGCCAAGCACTCCCAAGACTGTATCTGAAAGGACGGAAGGAGGTTCCTCCATGAAGCAGAAAGGAAAATGCCCAGTGTTGGCCGGTCACAGTGACTCACGCCTGTAATTCCAGCACTTTGGGAGGCCGAGGTGGGCCGATCACCTGAGGTCAGGAGTTTGAGACCAGCCTGGCCAACATGGCGAAACCCCATCTCTACTAAAAATATGAAAAATTAGCCAGGCATGGTGGCTCATGCCTGTAGTCCCAGCTACTTGGGAGGCTGAGGCAAGAGAATCACTTGAACCCTGGAGGTGGAGGTTGCAGTGAGCTGAGACCCCACCACTGCACTCCAGACTGGGCAACACAGCAAGACCCCATCTCAAAAAAAAAAAGGAAAAAAAAGAAAATGCCCAATGTCGGAAAGAGGACAGTGTGTCTCCATCTGAGACAGTTGTGTACTGACTTCAAAGTCCAGCATCAGTTGATCTATCCCAGGGCCACTTGCTCAGATAACTGTGACAGGTGACATTTATGAAGCACTTACTCATGTGTCCCAGGCCTTGGTCTAAGCACTTCAGATGCATTAGTTCATTTAAGTCTGGAAACAACCCTGTGAGATAGGTACTATTTTTGTTCTTGTTATTATTACTATTATTATTCCTATTTTACAAATAAAAATCCCGAGGCTTCAGGAGGCTAAGTCACTTGCCTAGGAGCTGATGGGGGAGGCGTGGAGGCACAGCCCTAGGACAGCCTGAGTCCTGATTCCCATGATACTGTGCCTGCACCAGGGTGGAATTCCTTCACGTCCCTAGCCTGAGGGAGACACCTGTGGCAAAGGAGGCCTCCTCACTGAGCTCCTGAACCAGCCCCCTCCTGCTTGAGGACACCTAAGATGCCTGGTGGCTTCAGCTCAGCTTTCTGGAAGTTAGCCAGGGAGCACACAGCTACTGATGAACACAAAACAGAGTAAAAAGACAATAAAATCAAAGAAAGATGCTCGAAATGGCTGCAGTACCCCCAGCATCCTCTTTTCTCTCACAGATGTTTTAAGTGGCCTTTACTTGGCAGGATGGCCCTTCCAAGAACGTTACAAAGACCAGAGAATCATAAAAGAAAAGTATGATAAATATGACCACATAAAAGTGTAACACTCCTTCATGGCCAAAGTTGAAAGACAAATAGGAGTCAGGAGGCATCTCTCCAAGAAGCCAGCAGCCTTAAATCACACCAAATGCCTTTAGCGTGAGACCCAGGACAGGGAGCAGACTTTTCTCCAATTGCTGCTGGCAGTGTGACATCTCCCTTTCACGCACCCTTCCCCAGAGCAGTCCCAGAGCACACCCAAGGGCAGCTCTCTTCCCAGGGACGATAGCTGGGGGAAGTTTTTCTCATAGCCAAAAGAGCAGACCTGCTGTGTGTCCCGCCTCTCCCTTCCTCTCACCCCAGTTCCTCCCTCCAGCCACCACTAGGTGACACTACAACTCCATTGGAATCCCCTTTGTCTCTGACAAACGTTTTTGGGGAGCCCTCAAGCCATTCAAAACACCTTAAAAATGTTTACCAGAGCCAGGCGCGGTAGCTCACACCTGTAATCCCAGCACTTTGGGAGGCCGAGGCGGGTGGATCACCTGAGGTTGGGAGTTCGAGACCAGCCTGACCAACATGGAGATACGCCGTCTCTACTAAAAATACAAAATTAGTGGGGCGTGGTGGCGCATGCCACTGAGTAGCTGGGTGGTGCATCCCAGCTACTCGGGAGGCTGAAGCAAGAAAATCGCTTGAACCCAGGAGGTAGAGGTTGCAGTGAGCCGAGATTGCGCTATTGCACTCCAGCCTGGGCAACAAGAGTGAAACTCCGTCTAAAAAAAAAAAAAAAGTTTATGAGGCCAGGTGCGGTGGCTCATGCCTGTAATCTCAGAACTTTGGGAGGCTGAGGTGGGCGGATCGCTTGAGCCCAAGAGTTCAAGACCAGCCTGGGCAACATAGTGAGAACTCATTTCTACCAAAGAAACAAAAATTAGCCAGGTGTGATGGTGTGCACCTGTAGACCCACCTACTCAGGAGGCTGAGGTAGGAGGATCACCTGAGCCTGGGGAGGTTGAGACTGCAACGAGCAGTGATCACGCCACTGCACTCCAGCCTAGGCGAGGGAGACCCTGTCTCAAAACAAAAATATATAAATAAATAAATGTTTACGGATTGCTCTTTTCCTCTTTCAAAATGAAAAGAGTTTTGCTGGGAAAACATATACCCTTCTAGTTTCCATTGGCTACTTCATGGTAAAGAAAATATACCGTTGAGGAAACTGGCCCCCTCTTCAATCACTGAGATGTTCCCCTCTGAGTATGTGCCCTTCACTGAGGCCACGTTTTACCTTTCATCCTGAGATGGGGTCTCCGGCAGCAGAGGAGCTCTCCCTGTCATGGTGACCGTAGGACAGAAGGCCAAAGCTCCCTGCAGAGACTCTCTCCCAGGACTGAGGCCGAGGCTCCCCAAACTTCAGCTGAGTCACAGTCCTCCAGAGCACCGCTACTCACACCGGGATGCCCCTCTGGCTGTGTCCAGTTACCCAGTATGGGCATCTGCGTAAGCCCAGCCCCTGGCACTCCGCAGATGCCCAGGGAACGTCTGTCACTACATGGCCAGAGCTTGAGGGTGTGTAGTCAACAACAGAGGTGCTTCCTAGCCTGGCCCTCTGTGCACCCGATCACCCCCAGAGCTGAAACTCTATCCAGGTGCCCTCTTCCCCCAAAGCAGCCTGCCTGTCTTTGCCCCCAGGTCTCTGCATTTGGCCCAACATGTAGTGTCACATGCGATGGTCGCAGGATCTCCTAGCCAGAGCACCAGCCCCGCTTTTCAGGGTCTGGAAACGTCATTTCCGTTTGGGCAGAAAATCTACCTTTATAGTTTCTTAGTCATGTAAGAGGGAAGAGAAAATAATATTCTAAAATTCAGGCTTATTTATCTCTTCTTAGAAAAACAGGAGTTAAAAATATATTATGGTCGGGCACCGTGGCTCATGCCTGCAATTCCAACACTTTGGGAGGCCGAGGAAGGAGAATCACTTGAACCCAGGAGGCTGAGGCTGCAGTGAGCCATGATCGTGCCACTGCATCCAGCCTGGGCAACAGAGTGAGACCCTGTTTCAAAAAGAAAAAAAGTATTATCAACCAGGGAAACAGTTCCATGTTCTGTTCCTCAGTCAGAAACAATGTTAAGATTTAAACCTGATTATTTTGTTTTATGTCAATAATAATACTTTAATATTATTATTATTACTATTTGAGATGGAGTCTCGCTCTGTTGCACCCAGGCTGGAGTGCAGTGGTGGGATCTCCGCTCACTGCAACCTCCGCCTCCCGGGTTCAAGTGATTCTCTTGTCTCAGCCTCCTGAGTAGCTGGGATTATAGGCACACACCACCATGCCCAGCTAATTTTTTTTTTTTTTTTTTTTTTTGAGACGGAGTCTCGCTCTGTCGCCGAGGCTGGAGTGCACTGGCGCGATCTCGGCTCACTGCAAGCTCCGCCTCCTGGGTTCACGTCATTCTCCTGCCTCAGCCTCCCGAGTAGCTGGGACTACAGGCGCCCGCCACCACACCCAGCTAATTTTTTGTATTGTTTAGCAGAGACAGGGTTTCACCATGTTAGCCAGGATGGTCTCGATCTCCTGACCTCGTGATCCACCCGCCTTGGCCTCCCAAAGTGCTGGGATTACAGGCGTGAGCCACCGCGCCCAGCCAATTTTTTTGTATTTTTAGTAGAGACAGGGTTTCACCATGTTGGCTAGGTTGGTCTCGAACTCCCGACCTCAGGTGATCCGCCCGCCTTGGCATCCTAAAACGCTGGGATTACAGGCATGAGCCACCACATCTGGCCTGCTTCATTCTTTTAATGACTGCATGGATCCCATTTTATGGCTGTGTCATATTTTATTTAAACAGTCCCCTGTTGATGAAATTTAGATTGCTTCCAGTTTGATTGTCATTAAAAGAGCTATAATGAACATTCTTGTTTGTTTATCATGGCTCCTTCTGCAAAGCTACCCATGGGATGAATACAGACTTTGTAATTACTAAGTCAAAGGGCATGTGTATTTAAATTTTTGCTTTAAATGTATTGCTAAACTGTTCCATGAAAAACCTACCCATTTGTACTCCAACCATAGATGAAAAGTAGCTATTTCCTTAAGCCTCATCAACACTGGGAAGTATCAATCTTTCAGTTGCTAACAACTTGGCAATTTTTAAAGGCAACTGGTGGTTTCATTTCTTATTTAATTATGAATGAGGATTAGAATTTTTTCAGGATGTTTGGTCACTTTTCTCTCTCTCTCTCTTTTTTTTTTTTTTTTTTTTTTTTTGCAAATAACCTGTTCAAATCCTTTACCCATTTTTCTAGAGGATTGTTCGTCTTTTGGATTGATTTATATGAGCCTTCTGCAAATTAAGAAAAAGAGGCCTTTGTGTGGCAAATACCCTTCCTTCAGTTTGTTATTTTTATTTTGTTTATTGGTATGTTTGCCCATAGAAGCGTCTAGTTTTTATGACTCTTACTTGTCCATCTACTCCTCTACAGCTACTAAATTCTGGGGTCTGTTCACAAAGGCCTTCCTTAGCCTCTGATTATGAATAAATTCCCTTACGTTTTCCTGTAGAATTTTTATGATTTTAATTTTTATGTTGAATCTTTGAACCATGTGAAAATTATTTTGGTATGAAGCATGAAGTAGAGATTGCTCCCGAATGGCTAGCCAGTTGTTCCAGCGCCATCTGTTAGATGGCCCCATTTCATTTCCAGCCTGTCTCTGCCCTTAGGGCTACACGGCTCTGTGGAGTCACCAGAGTGGGGCCCACAGAAGTGCCACGTTGCTTTCCCCGGGTCTGCCAGGACCGCTCAAAGGCCTGTGTCCTCAGGGAAGCAGAGAATCACGCCACCGAGAGACAGAAAGGGCACCACCCTCTGCTAGACACACAGAACAACAGTCTCCCAGTCCTGAGAAGTGGGACGCACGTTCAATGCCTTCCCTGTGAAGGAAAAAGAAAAGAAAGAACTGTCAGGGGAGGGCATACTCACCATATACAAAGTAGGAAGACGGCCACACCCATATGTATGAAAACACACATGCATACACACACCAAATATGTACACATGCACTACGCACATACACATACATGTGTACACACATGCATACACAGGTACATAGACACATCTCTCACACATCACATACAACGAGTTTCTCCAGTAGGGGGCATCTAGTCCTAAACAGCCCTCTCAATAACAGGAACTCCAAGAACGGTGAAGCCAGTGTTTCTCAAATAATATCCAGACTCCTTTGCAAAGATCAAAAAAAACTGGAAGACCCCCAAGAATATATCTGCAAGACTCCAATTTGAAAATAAAACAAAATAACATGAAGAAAGTACCAAAGATTTATTCTATAAAGATCTTCCAATTGCAAATTAACACATATTTACAACTGGTTTTAAAAAAAAAAAAAAGATTAAATCATTATTAAAAAGAAAAATGTAATTTATTTTTAGTCTCTCTTTGTTGCCCAGGCTGGAGAGCAGTGGCATGATCTGGGCTCACTGCAGCCTCCGCCTCCTGGGTTCAAGCAATTCTCATGCCTCAGCCTCAAGAGAGGCAATTCTCAAGCCTCAGCCTCCCAAGTAGCTGGGATTACAGGCATGCACCACTATGCCCGACTAATTTTTTGTATTTTTAATAGAGATGGGGTTTTGCCATGTTGGCCAGGCTGGTCTCAAACTCCTGAGCTCAGGCAATCTGCCTGCCTCGGCCTCCCAAAGTGCTGGGATTACAGGCGTGAGCCACCACGCCCGGCCAGATCTGCAATTTAATATCTTTCCATATGTGTGAGTAAAAGAAGCCTTTCTCCATTTATTGCTGCCTCTAGTTCTCTCTCTACTAGTTCAGCAGGGCCAAGCTCCAGGCAACAAAATGGAATTCTCCTTTTTGCCTTGTCCTTTTATCTTTTTATGTTTTTCTAATTAAAATGTTTTATGATTTTTGCTGGAAATAGTTAAAAATCATTATTATGATTATAGTAATGATTTATTATGTCTACTATTATAAAAGTCGACAATTCAGAAAATAGAGATTTAAAAAAAAATGTAAGCCATCCCCTCTCTTTGACAGATAATATCCCTTTTGTGGTGGGCTTCTTTCTGGCCTGTTTCTTTACTGAAGTATTTCCTGTAAATACCCGGCAAGGGTCAGCCCCGCTGCAGTCACTCAGCACCTGTTGCCCTGCAGGGCTCCAGGGACCCAGGCTGACCTGGTAGCTCTGTCTTACCTCTCAGAGGCTGGAGCTGTGAAAAGGTTGGCCTGGAGTCTTTGACCCAGTTTTCTTCAAAGTGTTCTTCCAGAAGCATTGTCTATTGTTTTCTGAACTCTCAAGGTTAGAGTGGCTGGGGACCCTTAGGACACTCTATCCCTCCCTGAGACTAGAATGGGATTGAGGGGTGCTCATGACCCTCCCAGCCCAGTTAGCTCCCCGCCTGCTCCACACCAGCCCTGCTGGTTCAGGGTCACGAAGCCTGGCCTTGGGCCAGGACAGTCCCCTTTTCTGGTCAGCAGCCCAGTGGGTGACTAAGGCTGAAAGGCACAGATGGAGGATCCCAGCTTCCTCCCTGGCTCTGTCCCCGCCAGGGTATGTGACCTCCAACAGCCCCTCTGGGACTGTACCCACCTGAAGTTGTGGTGGTCCTCCTGGCTTGAAGGGTTTCTCACCCCTGCCCCGCCCTCTCCTCCGCTCAGAGTCAGACTCACAGGGCCACTGGTGGCTCTCCCCATCTTCTCCAGTGCCTCATTTCCCTCACACAGGGAAATCTGTCTCATAGGACCTAGAGTAACGTACAAATATGGAAAATAAAAATACTAAGTGGCCAGGCTCAGTGGCTCATGCCTGTAATCCCAGCACTTTGGAAGGCCAAGGGGGCCAAATCACCTGAGGTCAGGAGTTCGAGACCGGCCTGACCAACATGGCAAAACCCCTGTCTCTACTAAAAATACAAAAATTAGCTGGGCGTGGTGGTGGGTGCCTGTAATCCCAGCTACTTGGAAGCTGAGGCAGGAGAATCACTTGAACCCGGGAGGCAGAGGCTGCAGTGAACCAAGATCGTGCCACTGCACTCCAGCCTGGGTGACAGAACAAGACTCTATCTCATAATAATAATAATAATAAGTAAGACCCAGGTTTCTGTCTGTCTTCATCAGAAGTACAGACCACACAGATGGTTACGAAATTTGCAAGACTTATTTGGGATGATCTGACTTACAATATGGGCCAAGTGACCTTTACAAAATTCGTTTTGCAGGTTTCAGGGGTCCCTCAAACATCTGGGCTGTCATCCTTCGGAGAGACTGGAACTGAGACACAAGGAGAGACCTAGTGATGTGGGAGAGTTAGGAGAAGAAGCAGTGATTTCAAACGCATGCCCCTCACACGGAAGAAGGGCAGGGGGAAAGCCATGCAGGTGTGGGCGTGGCACTTGAGCAGCCTCTCCCATGGGCACCCAGTGGTTAATGCACAATGTTTAGCACGTCGCCCAGGGAGGCCATCCCCTTCCGCTACCCCTTTCATGGCAAATGCTGAAACATCGTTGAAGACTCCTCTCAAGGGTCTCCTCTTCCAGGAAGCCTTCGGTCAGGAATAGGTGCCCCTTCTGGCTCCTCCTAGCCTGAAAGCCAACATGAAATCTCCCTGGGCTGAGCTGAGTCGTCATATTTTGTTGTTGTTGTTGCTGTTGTTTTACTATGCCTGTGAGACAAGTTCAGAGTCATGCTTTTGATCAAGACCAGAAAATATACTACCTTGGCTCCATCAGCATCTTTTCCTCACCACACCCAGAATTTGCCTGTCCCCCGAAGGAAGCTCCAACGGCTGTCAAGCCTGAGCATCCAGACCGTAAAGCAAAGAGAAATGGGCCGGGAGGAATGGAGTGACAGGGCGGGGCCCATTTGCCTAGAGGTGCTTTGGGCTGCCCGGTCACAGAGGGTGACTCACTCCCCCAGACAGGAGGGGAGTGGCACCAGGGGACCATTGGGCTGGGCAGGGGAGCCTTTGTGGTGAGAGCCTGTCCCTGCCTTAAGTGCCTACTGGATCCCGGGAGCCTGGGCTGGGGCCTGGGCACTGCTTCCTCCTTGGCCCCTCAGGCCCTTGGAAGCAGAGAGAGAACCTCTTGCAGATCCCAGGCTCGTCCCCAGCACAGCAGACACCAGGAAGGTGGCCAGAGCCTCACTGAGCCGAACCGACGGCCGCCCACCCACCCAGGCTGGAGCCATGGATAAATTCCGCATGCTCTTCCAGCACTTCCAGTCAAGCTCGGAGTCGGTGATGAATGGCATCTGCCTGCTGCTGGCTGCGGTCACCGTCAAGCTGTACTCCTCCTTTGACTTCAACTGTCCCTGCCTGGTGCACTACAATGCACTCTACGGCCTGGGCCTGCTGCTGACGCCCCCGCTCGCCCTGTTTCTCTGCGGCCTCCTCGCCAACCGGCAGTCTGTGGTGATGGTCGAGGAGTGGCGCCGGCCCGCAGGGCACCGGAGGAAGGACCCAGGCATCATCAGGTGCGGTCCCACACCACTCAGTGACCCATGAGCTTTGCCAGGGGCTCCCCAGCCACCCCACAGGCACTGTCAAGTGCACCCCCAGACCCCAACCATTCTCATTATCAGGGGATTCTCCACCCACCCTACAGGTACTGCCAGGTGCGCCCTCTCCTTTCCCCAACTAGGAATTATCGGCTCACAGAGAGCCACTTGCCAGTTTCCACTCTGGAAACATATTTCTGTTCCTATCGTTTGTCACCTTTCCGTGGCCAGTGCTGTAAACATAGGAATGACACAGGATTCCCAATTACCCAGGCCACTCTAGGGGCTGCGGGAAAACTTCCTCTTTGCCCTCTGAAGCTCTGCTGAAAATCAACTGACAAAAGGCAGATTAATAAGAGAAAAGGCATACAAATTTATTTGATTACCGTTTTATGTGCCACAGAACCTTCAGAATAAAGACCTAAAGATACAGAGGAAATGGTTCATTTTTATGCTTAGGTTCAACAAGGTTTGGATAGCCACGCAGAAATAGAATTGGATTAAAAAAGGGATGAACTGATGTTATAGACGGAGTGGGGAAACTCAGCAAGGCCATCTAGGTTCTTCTTGGCCTCTCTATACAGTGTTCCTTTCTCCCAGACACGGGGCAGGACCCTCTCTAGAAGGGAGTCTTATGATCTACAATGAAACTAGGTAGGTCAGATCATTTCTTTACGGCCAGTTTTCAGACAGAAAGGCGGGGGGAAATTAGAATCATATTTTTAGGTTTTATGGTGGCAGCTTTGGAGAAAAGGAGTTCTGGTTTCTATGACCCACCTTGGGGAAGATGGATTCTAGTTTCTATGGCTAGCCTTGGGGGAAAATAAGGAGCCAGAGATTGGGTGGGGGGGCCAGGCGCGGTGGCTCTCACCCGTAATCCCAGCACTTTGGGAGGTCGAGGCGAGTGGATCACCTGAGGTCAGGAGTTCGAGACCACTCTGGCCAACATGGCAAAACCCCCATCTCTACTAAAAAATATAAAAAATTAGCTGGGCGTGGTGTTGGGCACCTGTGGTCCCAGCTACTCAGGAGGCTGAGGAAGGAGAATCGCTTGAACCTGGGAGGCAGAGGTTGCAGTGAGCTGAAATCGTGCCACTGCACTCCAGCCTGTGCGACAGAGCAAGACTCAAAAAAGACAAAAAAAGAAAAGAAAATGCTAAAGCCACCACTGCCTAGAACATATTTACAGCTCACACTGGGTAGGCCATGCACGCACACACCTGGCACACACCATTGGATGTTTTGTGTACAATCCAATTCAGAAACAACATCTGCATCCGGTGCACCCTCAGCCTCTGTTCCATGTTCTCAGGGATCACATCTCCCTGCAATTCAGCTGTGCAGGGTGGGTCACAGGCACTGGGTGTGTCCTTGGCCTTTTCCTCTGGGGTCCAGTGGGCACAGCTCCACTGGGCTCCTGTCCTGTGGCCAATACCCAGTCGAGGTCACTACAGGCAGGGGCAGAGTTGATCTGGAAAGGCGCCTGAGGCCGGTCAGAGGGTGGGCTCCTGGGATGCCTTGTGGGTAGGGGTGTTAGAGGTGCTGCTTTTGGAGGGTTACTGGGCAGGGCTGTCTTAGCTTAGGCTCTCCTCCAAAAGCAGGCTCTGAAAGAATGTGATAATGAGTGGGCAACTGGGGCTTAATCCTTCAGGGGACCCCCTAAGGGCATGCATAGAACACATCTCAGAATTTTCCCACTGAGGATTTAAGAAGCTGGGATATTTATCCACAAGGCCCCATCCCTCTGGGGTTGAAGGTTGATTTGGGGGTTAACTTTTCAGTGCTTCCAGCCTACCCCTCTCTGGAGCAAAAAATCCTCCAAAGCCCCAGGGGCAGAACAATGCAGATGCTTGAGGTAGGAGGCCCTCAGGCCCTCCAGGTGAATAGAACCAGCCACTGCACCCACAGATGCCTCTGGCATGGGCAGGGCACCAGCAGTGTCTGCTGTAAGGCCTAGGGCAAGAGGAATACCAAGTCCTCAGTGCTCCAGTCCTGGGGATCCCAGGGGCCCCTGCCCTCCTTTCTGCCTGTCTCTGTCACTGGGACCTCTACACTGGGAGCTGCAGTCTGATGTAACCCAGCCTGGGACTTCCCAGCAGTCCATCCTTGCACCTCCCCTGCTGCAGCTGACTTCCAGCTGCCCCTTGACCCCCCTCCTTCCTCTGCTGCCAGGTACATGTGCTCCTCTGTGCTGCAGAGGGCGCTGGCCGCCCCCCTGGTCTGGATCCTGCTGGCCCTCCTTGACGGGAAGTGCTTCGTGTGTGCCTTCAGCAGCTCTGTGGACCCTGAGAAGTTTCTGGACTTTGCCAACATGACCCCCAGCCAGGTACAGCTCTTCCTGGCCAAGGTTCCCTGCAAGGAGGATGAGCTGGTCAGGGATAGCCCTGCTCGGAAGGCAGTGTCTCGCTACCTGCGGTGCCTGTCACAGGTAACTGGGGTGATCCTCCCCCGGCCCTTGCACCCTCACAAATCCCCCGCATTGGTTCTGGAGTGGGGTGAGGGGGTGGTGAGGAGGGACAGATGATGGGCTCAGCCCATTCCCAGGAGGCAGGGAAGTGCTGGAGACCACTGCTCTGCCTTGCCTGCGCCCACTGCACACCTTCTTCCCACCCGTGAGAAATAATACTAATCTCCACTTATTGAGCATTTATGTGCCAGGCACTGCAGTGAGCATTTTATATGTATTATTTCATTTACTTTGTGGAACAACCATTATCATCCCATTCTCCAGGTGAGGAAGCAGGCTCTGAGAGTTTAGTTCATAAGGCCAAAGTCACAAAGCTTATAAGAGGCAGAGCAGGGATCGGAAGGAGTGTCATTATTCCTCTTAACCACCTTCCAACAATGCAGGCTCTCTCCAGATGCTGATCTTCCCAAAAGGCACCAACTCTATTATCTTGGGGGACAAACCCCAGCTCTACCCCCAGCCTAGACTCCAGATTCCACCACCACTGCTCCTACAGCCCCAGCACTGAGTTGTGTCCACCAAAAAGTATTTATGTGAACCCACTACACACGGAGCACCACTAGGGCTATAGATAATAAACACACAGCCCCTGCCCCTTGGGAAGTCTGACAGGCTCATGGGCTGGCCAATGGTGCGGTGGAGGGAGGACCCAGGTGCAGGATGCACTTGATTCTGGCTCAGACTGTGACCGTGGCCATGGGACTACCCCTCTGGACCTCAGTTTATCATGCAAAATACAGGGGAGCTTGGTCTCCTCCATCTTGATGGTCCCTGCAAGCTTCAAAACTCTAGGCTTTCCCTAGTTCGGTGGAAAGAGCATGGAATTTGCAGTGAGACCGGGGTTTGAATCCTGACTCAGCTGTAAATTATCAGTCATGTAAAGTTTAGTAAGTTGTTTGGTTTTCTACTCTCGTGTATAAAATACTCACCTTAAATCTGGTGATGTTGGGGGAGTCCTGTGAGATGCCAAATGAGAGAGCTTTATAAATCGTGGAAATCACTTCTGTAAATGATAAGGATTCAAATATGTCCCTGTGGTTTAGAGACGTGACTTCCCTGCTCCAGGTCCACACAATTGCATCAGGTCTCAAGCTGGGCCTTAAAGAGACTATGGCTTTGGAAGGTAGAGAGGAGGGAGAGGAGTCTGCCAGGTGTGGGCCCCAGCTTTAGAGAACTACTTCAGTTTGTCCTCATTCCTGGCTGGGAACACTGTCCCCTGTTCATATTGTGTGTCACTGTCGTTCAGCCTTCAGTCTTGGCCCTCAAAGTCAGGATGGGTGTCCCTCCTCTGGACTCCCTCTCTATGACAAGTACCCAGTCATCACCTATTTAATCATCTATTTCCTTCACTAAGGTATGAGCTCTGTGAGAGCAACGACTGAGCCCCTAGTTCTTAGCACAGTGCCTCCCACAAAATATAGCACAGTGGATGCCTAAATGGGAAGATAGACAGATAAGCACACACAAGGATGACAAAGGACTGGATAAAAAGATGAGGGGGGCCGGGCGTGGTGGCTCACACCTGTAATCCCAGCACTTTGGGAGGCCGAGGCGGGTGGATCACATGAGGTCAGGAGTTTGAGAACAGCCTGGTCAACATGGTGAAACCTCGTCTCTACTAAAAATACAAAAATTTGTTGGGCATGGTGGTGCACATCTGTAATCCCAGCTACTCGGGAGGCTGAGGCAGGAGAATGGCTTGAACCCAGGAGGGGGAGGTTCCAGTGAGCTGAATCACGCCATTGCACTCCAGCCTGGGCAACAGAGCAAGACTCCATCTCAAAAAATATAAATAAATAAATAAAAAGATGAGAGGATGGATGATAGATGGTTGGATGGGGGGGGTGGATGAGTAGATAGATCAAGGGAAGGAAGGAGGAGCATATGAGAGCATGAATGAATGGGAGAAGAGATGGATAGATGATGGCAGATGGAAGGATAGTTAGGAGCTTGACTGGATGGGAAGATGACGAATTTACAGTAAGACAAGAGGATGGACGATTGGATAGGTGGAGAGATGATTGAATGGGTGGATAGATGCAAGGATGAGAGAATGAATGGAAGGGAGGATAGATGAATGGATGAAGGATGGTTGGCAGGACGGATGACTGAATAGGAAAGTGGATAGATTTGAGGAAGGATGGATGGGAAATGTAAAAGGAGGGACTTTGGAATACCTTTGCCACACTATACAGGACAATTCCTCAAGTAGCAGATGCTCTAAGAGTTAATTAAATTTACAAGGACACAGGGATACAAAAGAGGACATGTAATCTGATGATCACACAATTTTCTTTGCGTTCATTCTTCTCAATTTATTTTATTTGGTCCCATTTCATTCAATACTCTGATTAATGAATTATGATGTTTGGAGTGGTATACTGCAGTTAAATTCTCTAAGGAGTATTTGAATCCATTGGAAAATGAAGAATATTATTATGTAGACATGATCAAATTAAATATGCAACATTCATATACGTATTCATAAATACATATGTATATAGGATTAGGCCCCACTCACATCTAACCTCGGGCCTCCTTACTTTGCAGGCCATCGGCTGGAGCGTCACCCTGCTGCTGATCATCGCGGCCTTCCTGGCCCGCTGCCTGAGGCCCTGCTTCGACCAGACAGTCTTCCTGCAGCGCAGATACTGGAGCAACTACGTGGACCTGGAGCAGAAGCTCTTCGACGAGACCTGCTGTGAGCATGCGCGGGACTTCGCGCACCGCTGCGTGCTGCACTTCTTTGCCAGCATGCGGAGTGAGCTGCAGGCGCGGGGGCTGCGCCGGGGCAATGCAGGCAGGAGACTCGAGCTCCCCGCAGTGCCTGAGCCCCCAGAAGGCCTGGATAGTGGAAGTGGGAAGGCCCACCTGCGCGCAATCTCCAGCCGGGAGCAGGTGGACCGCCTCCTAAGCACGTGGTACTCCAGCAAGCCGCCGCTGGACCTGGCTGCATCCCCCGGGCTCTGCGGGGGTGGCCTTAGCCACCGCGCCCCTACCTTGGCACTGGGCACGAGGCTGTCACAACACACCGACGTGTAGGGTCCTGGCCAGGCTTGAAGCGGCAGTGTTCGCAGGTGAAATGCCGCGCTGACAAAGTTCTGGAGTCTTTCCAGGCCGTGGGGACCCCACGGCAGGCACCCTAAGTCTTGTTAGCCTCCTTTTTAAAGTAGCCCAATCTCTGCCTAGTTTCTGGGTGTGGCCTCCAGCGCGCTTCACAAACTTTAATGTGGACTCGGTTCACCGAGGGCCTTGTTAAATACAGGTTCAGACAGTGTAGCCAGGACCGAGTCTGAGATTCTGCATTTTAAACAAGCTCCTGGAGGCTGATGTGCTTTTGGTCAGTGAACCAAACTTTGAGTAGCAAGAATCTAAGTAAATCTGCCATGGGTTCTGGGTTCTAGATGTCAATTCTAAATAATAATAATGACCTTAGTCTGCTGCCTCGATAGTTTCATTTGTGTAATTGTCTTTTATTTTTGAAACAAAGTTTTGCTCTGTCGCCCAGGCTGGAGTGCAATGGCGCGATCTCGGCTCACTGCAACCTCTGCTTCCTCGGTTCAAGCGATTCTCCTGCCTCAGTCTCCCGAGTAGCTAGGACTACAGGCATGCGCACCCGGCTAATTTTTGTATTTTTAGTAGAGACAGGGTTTCACCATGTTGGTCAGGCTGGTCTCGAACTCCTGACCTCAGGTGATCCACCCGCCTCGGCCTCCCAAAGTGCTGGGATACACAAGCGTGAGCCACCATGCCCGGGCTTGTGTCTTTAATTCTCTGGGGTTTCTAGCAGCTTATACCAAGTTTCTCATAGCAAGTTCTAGCAAGCTCTGCTAGTTGAGTTCCTCTTGAAACCACTAGTTAGTGCCTCTTGCTGGCTACTACAGATGACTACTTTTATATTTTCCTGTTGAGGGGATATTTCTGTGTTTGAATGTCAAGGGGCTGACTCTCCCAGCTCCTACCTTCCCAGGCCCCACCAATTCTGGCCAACCAAGGCCAAACAGCCCTGCCTGGGTCCTCCTCCTTCAAGATTCAGTTCCTCTCAGCCTTCTGCTCTCCTGCAGCGGGGGCAGGTGCTCCTCCCTCACCTTCCATGCACCACCTGCCCCACCGCTAGCCTGAGCCCTGGGCTCAGCAAGGTCCCTTCCTAAGATGACCCCCTCCCCTAGACATTCCCAGGGGTATCTACTGCTGCCCTTAGCAAGAGGTTAGCACCCTGGTGAAGATTTCCTCAGAGCAAAGTAGGAGTGTGGGTTCTAGCTCAGGGATAAAAACCCTTGAAATGCCGGTGTTAGTTCTGCTGGAAAAACTGCCACTCCAGGCCGGGTTCAGTGGCTCATGCCTGTAATCCTACACTTTGGGAGGCCGAGGCGGGTAGATCACCTGAGGTCAGGAGTTTGAGATCAGCCTGGCCAATATGGTAAAATCCCGTCTCTACTAAAAATATAAAAATTAGCCGGGTGTGGTGGTGGGCACCTGTAATCCCAGCTACGCAGGAGACTGAAGCAGGAGAATAGGTTGAACCTGGGAGGCAGAAGTTGCAGTGAGCCAAGATCGCGCCACTGCACTCCAGCCTGGGCAACAAGGGCGAAACTCTGTGTCAAAAAACAAAAAAACAAAACTGCCACTCCATCTCTGGCAGCCCGAACAGGAAGGGTTTGGGGAAGATTTAGCCTTTGCTCTCCTCTGGGCCTCTGCCCCTCCCTGATGACTCATCCAGCCCCCACTCCCTACCCCCACCCCCAACACCCTGTGGTCGCCTCCATCAGCACAGATGGTGGCCACAGGAAGCAGACCTGGGTTCACCCCATGCTTTTCTACTTCCTCAGCACCCCAGGAAGTACAGGGGCCCCTGGATGCCCCCCACCCTGGAGCCTGCCCCCTTCATCAGGCAACTTTTGTGCTCCTGGGCTCTTGACAAGAGACCTTGTGAGACCCGAAAATCCCTGCAGCTCAGCCTCCCCCGACCTACTGGCTGCGGTCAGGCCATGCAAATGTCGGAAATAGTGCTGGGTTGGGACCTGGTTTAGGCAAAGCTTTAGCAGTGATAGGGTGTGGAGGAAGGAGGGAGACCTTGGCGGCGGCCCAGTCTGCATGAGTGAGGTCCCAGCCTGGGGAAAGGAGGCTCAGGGAGGCTGCTTTGGGCTCCAGGGAAGCAGCATCTGGAGTAAAAAGTCGCCGACTGCAATCAATACTCTTATCTTCCTATACTGAGCACTTATAGAGCACCTACTGCATAGAAAGCACTGTGCCAGGGAATAGGGAAGAGAGAATACACTGATGACCTGCCCCTGCCCTCAAGGAGCTGTGCTTCCTTGTGCTGAGGAAGTAGAAAAGCATGGGGCGAACCCGGGTATGCTGTCTGTGGCCAACATCTGTGCTGATGGAGGCCATAGCAGGACGTCTGCGGGGCAGGGATGGGGTAGAGAGGGGAGTCATCAGCAAGGGGCAGAGGCCTAGAGGAGAGCAAAGTCTACATCTTGGCACTTTATTAGGGGGACAGAGGTGAGTACAGAAATTATGAGAATCCAAAGCATAAGGTGTAAGTGATCTAATAAAGGCAAACCAGGTGCCATGGGGAGTTAGCAGGGAGAAGGAGGCTCTCAGTGGGGCGGGGGTTGAGGGTGAGGGAAGGCTTCACAATGAAGGTGCCATTTGAATGGGTCTTAAGGATGGGAAAGATTTGGACATGTGGAAAGAAAGATGGAGGGAGGGTGCAGAGCATCTCAAGGGAAGAAATAAGAACAAAGGCATAGGCTGGGCGCAGTGGCTCACGCCTGTAATCCCAGCACTTTGTGAGGCTGAAGCGGGCGGATCACGAGGTCAAGAGATCAAGACCATCCTGGCCAACATGGTGAAACCCCGTCTCTACTAAAAATACAAAGCTTAGCTGGGTGTGGTGGAGCACGTCTGTAATCCCAGCCACTCGGGAGGCTGAGGCAGGAGAATCGCTTGAACCCTGAAGGCGGAGGTTGCAGTGAGGCAAGATCACGCCACTGCAACAGCCTGGTGACAGAGCAAGACTCCGTCTCAAAAAAAAAAAAAGAAAAAGGAACAAAGGCATAAAGTTGGGCAAGGGGCAAAGCATGTTCTATTTATTTATTCAGCAGATACTCACTGAATGCCTAGAGTGGCCAGAGAGCAAGACAGATAGTTCTGTCTTAATGGAGCTTCGAGTCTGGAAGTGGATAGAGAGATAAAACAAGTGAACAAAGAGCCAAGTGGAGAGGCATGCAGTCCAGCCTGGCAAAAGCAAAAGACCTTGGCCAGAGGGCCCAGGAGTCCCATCAAACCATGTTCCCTGAGCTCGGTACCTGGGAATACATTCTCTTGATCTTCTGTCCTTGACAGCTTTCAAATGTATCTTTCATCCTCTTCTGTCCCCAGTGTGGTTTCAAACCCCTCACCGTGTCCTGTATGTGGACCTTCTTCGGGAGACACAGTGGCAAGCCAGACAAGGCAGGAATGTACTGGAGGCATGGGCATTGGCTGTTCCAGTCCCCACCCTCATGCTGCCTGGGCAGCTGTGGTCCCCATCTCAGCTAGGTTTGCAAGAGGAGGGGAAGATGGCAGGAGACTTGAGGATTTAGCTCAGGACTTTGATTTTATCCTGCTGGCAATTGGGAATGAGAGACAAGTGCTTGGTGGCAAGGTCAGGAAGAGTGATGATATTTGGGGTTCACACATGTGGAGAGGATGCTGAAGCTGCAGAAATGGATAGGGCCATCGAGAGGAGGGGCTTCTGTGAGATGAGGAAGGACTAAGACTTTTAAAGTTCTGGAGTGGGAAGAGGAGGCAACAAGGGAGAGAAAGGGTTAGTCACAGAGGCAGAGTCCAGAGGCAGGCCAGGGAGGAGAGAATCCCTAGACGGGGGAAGGAGGACCAACAAATCTAGTGGTGCTTCTGAGCAACCGAGCAGGGGAAGGACAGAGGGAAAGTCACCGGTTATTGCCAACTTCCCAGGGGAGGGGACTGCTCACCCAGGGAGGTAGTCCTGGCCAAGCAGATGGGTAGGTTTCTATATGATTCGTATAAATCCCTGGGCACCTGCCCCAATTTGTGACGATGATACAAGAGAGACCTTCAGCATCCCCATACGGGGAAGGGCACTGGGACCCAAAGACTACAATGGGAGCAGAGAAATCGTGTCCACACTAACATGCTCCCATTTCCAAGGCTCTCATTGAAAATGAGGGAGTCCAGCCAGGCATGGTGACTCATGCCTGTAATCCCAGCATGTTGGGAGGCCAAGGCAGGCAGATCACTGGAGCCCAGAGTTCAAGACCAACCTGGGCAAGATGGCAAAACCCCATCCTAAAAAAAAAAGATGACTGGATGCGGTGGCTCACGTCTATAATCCCAGCATTTTGGGAGGCCGAAGTGGGTGGATCACCTGAGGTCAGGTGATCGGGACCAGCCTGGCCAACATATAGTAAAATGCTGTCTCTACTAAAAATACAAAATTAGCCAGGTATGGTGGCGCACACCTGTAATTCCAGCTACTTGGGAGGCTGATGCAGGAGAATCGTTTAAACCCAGGAGGCAGAGGTTGCAGTGAGGCAAGATCACACCATTGCACTCCAGCCTGGGCAACAAAAGCAAAACTCTGTCTCAAAAAAATAAAAATAAAAAAGAAGAAGAAAATGAGGGAGTTCTCTGTTTGGGGCTCAGCTCTGCCCAGCCCTTTGCAGCCACATGAAATGACTTCTCCCTGCCTGTGCTGACTGGCTGTGATGGGGGAGGCTGAGGCATGTGGGATGGGGAGAGGTCCCTGAGGGTCTAGAGGAGGCCAGTCGGAGGTGATCTGGTGGCAGCTGCCATGGCAGTGAGCTTCGTACAGGCATTTCACCCCGCACTCATCTCACAGAGTTGTGCCGTCTCAGAAGTGTACTGTCTTATCTCCTCGCGGAACTGTACAGGTGAGTGCTGTCTCCCTTTTGTGTCTGAATTCTTGCCTCCCTACAAATTTATCTTGGTCCAAGATTCACTTCTTTTCTTCATTCACTTGTTCATGTATTCCTTCATTCACACTTATTAACTGAGCATCCTTTATGTACTAGGCACACTGTGCTAAGCATTGGGCATATGGTAGTGAATAAAACAGATGAGGACTTTTAGCCTTTATGGTACAATGGGAGCCCCTAGATATTAAATAACCCACCCACCTCAAAAAGTAATTACAATTGTATTCAGTGCTGGAAGGGGAAGTACATCCAGGGGGCTCTGAAAGCCTGTATCCTGCAGGACTGGTCTCAGCAGAAGGTTCAGGAAGGCCTCTCTAAAGAAGGAACTGTAGGGGAGGGAAAACGTCCCCTTCACCCAATGAAAGTTCACTGAAAATCACTGACAAAAAGCAGATCAACAGGAGAAAAGCATACATATTAATTTGATGCCAGAGTTTTTAGGATGAAGACCCAAAGACACAGAGGAAATGGTCCATTTTTATGCTTAGGTTCAACAGAGTATGGAAACAACCACGCAGAAATACGATTGGACAAAAAAGATCTGAGCTGATGTCACAGACTTGGGGGGAAAACCCAGCAAGGCTTCCGTTAAGGTTCTCCCGGGCCTCTCTGGGCAGCACTTCTTTCTCCCATGGGACAGGAGGAAGGGGATCTTGTGACCTGCAACCTAACAAGGCAGGTCAAATCATTTCTTTATGGCCAGTTTTCACACAGAAATGTTGGGGGTGGAGATTAGAGTAATTTTTTTTTTTTTTCTTGAGACAGAGTCTCTCTGTCACTCAGGCTGTACTGCAGTGGTGTGATCTCAGCTCACTGCAACTTCCGCCTCCCAGGTTCAAGCGATTCTCCTACCTCAACCTCTCGAGTAGCTGGGATTACAGGTGCCTGCCACCACGCCCGGCTAATTTTTGTATGTTTTAGTAGAGACGGGGTTTCGCCATGTTGGCCAGGCTGGTCTTGAACTCCTGACCTCAGGTGATCCACCCGCCTCGGTCTCCCAAAGTGCTGGGATTACAGGCGTGAACCACTACCCGCTGGGCCTAGAGTAATATTTTTAGGTTGTATGGTTTTATGGCTGGCTTCAGGGAGAAAGGGGTTCTGGTTTCTATGACCCACCCTGGGGAAGAGGGAGTCTAGTTTCTATGGCTAACCTTGGAGGAGAATGAGGGGCGAGAGACAGGGGCACAGGTGAGGGTCAGAAAGAGTCCTTTGCTTCTGAGACCTTCATTTCAGGGTATTGTTTCTCTGAGCCCCAACACAATCATTACACTGAGACCTTAAGGATTCACAGGAATTTCTCTGGTGAGAATAGGGGGAGAAGTATTGCTGGAATGTGCAGAACTTGTGCAAAGGCCTGAGATGGGAAGGGGCTTGTCCTGTTTGAGAAACTGAAAGCAAACTGGTCAGCTGGGGAGGAGGCATCGGGAGGAGAGTTGCCCTGGTACCAGCTCTCACATGGTCCTACAGGCCCTGTTAAGGATTTTGGACTTAAACCGTTGGAGGGAATTAAGTAGTAATTTAGTCAGATGTTCACTTTTAAAAGATTCCCCTGGCCACAGCCTGGGAGTGTCTTGAAAGGGGCCCATGTGAATTGCAGAAGGCAGGCAAGAACTGATGGGGCTTGGATTAGGGTGGAGATGGAGAGAATCGATAGATTAGAGGTATTTCAGAGTTAGAATGGACTCTGGGTGTCTTGCTTAAAATCTCACACATAAACATTGTATTAGGCTAGGCTGGGAATGTAAAATAAAATACACTAGGCTGG
This sequence comes from Homo sapiens, assembly GCF_000001405.40. Taxonomy (NCBI): domain Eukaryota; kingdom Metazoa; phylum Chordata; class Mammalia; order Primates; family Hominidae; genus Homo; species Homo sapiens. The sequence goes on along the minus strand of NC_000010.11, from coordinate 103,466,525 downwards.
GCGCGGTGGCTCACGCCTGTAATCCCAGCATTTTGGGAGGCTGAGGCAGGCGGGTCACCTGAGGTCATGAGTTTGAAACCAGCCTGGGCAACATGGTGAAACCCCGTCTCTACTAAAAATATAAAAATTAGCTGGGGGTGGTGGTACATGCCTATAGTCCCAGCTACCTGGGTGGCTGAGGCAGGATGAATCACTTGAACCTGGGGAGTGGAGGTTGCAGTGAGCCGTGATCATGCCACTGCATTCCAGCCTGGGCAAGAGAGTGAAACTCCATCTCAAAAATAAATAAATAAATAATAAAATACAGTAAAAATAAAACAAAAGTGTCAGTAGCTTAACACAATAAAGATGTATTTCTCACTCAAGCAAAACCTGATGTAGTTAAACAGGGAAGGGAGGTTGAAGAAGGGGGATCTGCCCCACACAGTCGCTTGGGGACCCAGCTGACACTGCCATCTTGTGATGCCACCATCAAGACACATGATATGGCTGGGTACAGTGGCTCACGCCTATAACCCCAGCACTTTGGGGGGCCGAGGCAAGGGAGGATCCATTGAGGCCAGGAGTTGAGACCAGCCTGGGCAACATAGCAAGACCCTATCTCTACAAAAATTACAAAAAAAAAAAAAAACCCTAGCTGGGCGTGGTGGTGCACACCTGTAGTCCTAGCTACTTTGGAGGTTGAGACTTAATGATCTTTTGAGTCCACGAGTTCAAGGTTACAGTGAGCTGTGATTGTGCCACTGCACTCCAGTCTGGGAGATGGAGCAAGAACCTGTCTCTAAATAAACAAATAAAAATTTAAAAGACCCACAGTATTTCCCAGAAGCAGGTCCTGAGAAAAGGAAATGAGTGCACATAGCTTATAAGAATGTTGCTTCCGGGGAACCCTGCAAGGAACAGAAGTGATACTGGAGAGGGAAGAAAGCCAACCAAGGGTAGAGCCGCCAGCCAGTTACTACCGTGGGCAACCAGAGCATGATCCGACCGGGGAGCTCGGGGAGAGCACAACACGAGTAACCGCTCCCCAGGAACGAGGAGGTGGCATGTCTTCACCAATCTCTGGCTGTCACTGGCTAGGGCACTAGCTGGGCACCTCCAGGTTTCCTTGGGCCAAATGTAAACCCAGTGCCAGAAAAAAAAAGCCCTCAGGCAGACAGTCTGGGCTGTTTTTAGTGAGCAACCTTTAGAAGATAGTGGTGAAAGGCTGGGTGTGATGGCTCAAGACTGTAATTCCAGCACTTTGGGAGGCCGAGGCGGTTGGATCCCTTGAGGTCAAGAGTTTGAGACCAACCTGGCCAACATGGTGAAACCCCATCTCTACTAAAAATACAAAAATTAGCCAGGCGTGGTGGCGGGCACCTGTTGTCCCAGATACTTGAAAGGCTGAGACAAGAGAATCACTTGAACCCAGGAAGCCGAGGTTGCAGTGAGCTGAGATCACACCACTGCACTCCAGCCTTAGCGACAGAGTGAGACTCCATATCAAAAAAAAAAAAAAAGAAAGAAGGTAGTGGTGAGGTCTGAGGGGAGTGGGCGGGGCACAGAGGTCTGTTACACCTGGTGTCCATGGCCACCCTCAGAGAAGAATGGGAAGATGGTAAAGGATGAGGGTAGATTCTGCACCAGAACTCAGGCACAAGGCCCCAGCCTCCCTGGCACAGAGGCTGAGAATTATAAGGGAACACGTGAATGACTTGGTGAGTGCTACCATTTTGCCACAGCATACACCCCCATAGGGTTTGGCTGATGAAGGAGAACGTAGCATTTTATCTTTCTCAGGTAGAGACTTCATACCTCTGATAACCCAGCCTACCAGCACCTGAGATGCCTTGGCAGCCACATTTGCTGTTGGCTCCTGCCTCCTCCACTGCCCCAATCTCTGGACGCACCCCACACTCACACTCTCCTACGCAAATTGGGCATTTTCCTAAAAGTACGGCACCCACTGTCCACAGGAGCCTCCTTTGCATGCTGCTTTTCATGACACCCCTAACTCCTCCAAACCAGAGGGCACTCACCAGCTGTGCCCTCTGGGTGCTTGGACAACAGCCCCAAGGCCAGGAAGCAGGAGGCGAGTGTACATCCCACAGTGGTGACCATGGCTGAGTTTGCCACCATGCTCCAAAATGTGTGTGACATCCTGCTTTTTATTTATTTAGTCGTGACCTGGGAGTTATAGGGAAGAGATGGAGAAGACTAAGCACTGATAAATGCACCACCAAAGACCCCTACTGAAGTTAAACAGAACCATGGGCCCCCAAGAGTCCACCTCCTAATGTCTAGAACCTGTGAATATGTTACCTTCCATGGCAAAAAGGGCTTTGCAGATGTGATTAAATTATGGATTTTGAGATGAGGAAATGATCCTGGATTAGCCAGGTGGGTCCTGCATGTCCTTATAAGAGAGAGGTAGGGCCCGGCACGGTGGCTCACTCCTGTAATCCTAGCCCTTTGTGAGGCTGAGAGGGGAGGATCACCTGAGGTCAGGGGTTCGAGACAAGCCTGGCCAACATGGTGAAAACCCGTCTCTACTAAAAATACAAAATTAGCCAGGCATGGTGATGCACGCCTGTAGTCCCAGCTACTAGGGAGGCTGAGGCAGGAGAATCACTTGATCCCAGGAGTCGGAGGTTGCAGTGAGCTGAGATCACATCACTGCACTCCAGCCTGGGTGACAGAGTGACTCCATCTCAAAAAAAAAAAAAGAGAGAGAGAGAGAGAGAGGTAGGAGGAGGGTGAGAGTCAGAGAAGGAGCTGTGATGAGGGAAGCAGAGGTTGGAGGAATGCGATGTCACAAGCCAGGGAATGTGGGTGTCCTCTACACAGTAGAGAATACGAGGAAATGGATTCTCTTCTAGAGCGTCCAGAAGGAACAGCCTGCCAGCCACTTGATGTTAGTCAGCCAAGATCCATTACAGGCTCCTGACCTTAGAACTACAAGAAAAAAAAATTCATGTTGTTTTAAGCCACTGTATTTGTGGACATTTGTTACAGCAGTTAATAGAAAACTAATACAGATTTTGAAAATGCACTACTGAAGCTCAGGTGCAGAGATGATCACTATTATTATTACAATGTTGTAAAGATGGTTCACGACCACTCCTTGTGTGCCTGGCGCACTGCGAAACTCTTGACCTGCACAGCTGATTGAATCTTCACAACCACCTGGGAGGCAGGCGCTATCATTCTCCCCATTTCACGGATGAGAACGCTGCAGCACCCAGAGGTTAGATGACTTGCCCAAGGTCCCTGGCTAGTGTGTGGCCAGACTGAGACTTGAACCCAGATCACTGGTTGGGTTGCTCTTAGCTCTGTGACATGGCTTTTTTTTTTTTTTTTTTTTTTTTTGAGAGGGAGTCTTGCTCTGTCGCCCAGGCAGTGGCATGATCTCAGCTCACTGCAACCTCCGCTTCCTGGGTTCAAGCGATTCTCCTGCCTCAGCCTCCCGAGTAGCTGGAATTACAGGTACACACCACCACACCTGGCTAATTTTTTTTTTTTTTTTGTATCTTTAGTAGAGACGGGGTTTCACCATGTTGGTCAGGCTGGTCTCGAACTCCTGACCTCAAATGATCTGCCTGTTTCAGCCTCCCAAAGTGCTGGGATTACAGGTGTGAGCCACTGCACCTGGCCAGCTTCTTGGTAAGAGAAAAATTTGACCATCGAGTGGAAGAAACAAGGAGTGAGCAGGTGGAGCCGGGATGTGGCTTTGGATGGGCAGTGAGGCACGACCGTGTTCCAGGAGAGCAGCAGCGTGAGGGAAGGGTGGTGCCTGGGAGCCCAGGGGTGTCCCTGTGTCCAACAGCTTGGGCCACAGTAACAAAACATACCACAGACAACAAACATTTATTTCTCACAGTTCAGGAGGCTGCAAGTCTGAGATGAGTGTACCTGAGGCTGGGTTCTGCCTTCTCACTGTATCCTTGCAGAGTGGAGGTCCAGGGTCCAGGGTCCCTTCTATAAGGGCACCAATTCCATTCACGAGGGCTCCACCCTCATGGCCTAATCACCTCCCACAGGAGGTGTATCCATGATGACGTTGATATACAACACTGGGCCACAGTGAGGGAACTAGGAGACATCCATGGGATGCCTGGTGAAAAAAACAAAAAGATTACTATTTCTTTATCTTATATAATTATGATAGGAAAAAATGAAATATAAAGTATTAGGAAAGACTTGTGTAAAACATCCAAATGAAACCTCCTAAACTTCTCAAAATGAGAAATGAGCTTGCTTTCGTGAGCACTTTTTAATATGAGGTGTTTTTTTGCATGAAATGACCACAGGCAATTCCTATTCGAGGCTCTTTATTTTATTTATTTATTTATATTTCTGAGACAGAGTCTCGCTCTGTCACCCACACTGGAGTGCAGTGGCATGATCTTGGCTCACTGCAACCTCCATCTCCTGGGTTCAAGTGATTCTCCTGCCTCAGCCTCCTGAGTAGCTGGGATTACAGGTGCCCGCCACCACACCCAGCTAATTTTTGTATTTTTAGTAGAGATGGGGTTTCACCATGTTGGCCAGGCTGGTCTCGAACTCCTGACCTCAGGTGATCCTCCCGCCTCGGCCTCCCAAAGTGTTGGGATTATAGGTGTGAGCCACCACACCCAGCCATTTTTGTATTTTTAGTAGAGACGAGGTTTCACCATGTTGGCCAGGCTGGTCTGGAACTCCTGATCTCAAGTGATCCGCCCATCTCGGTGTCCCAGTGTGCTAGGATTTCAGGCATGAGCCACACCACTCCCAGCTCATCAGGTCTTTTTTTTTTTTTTTTTTTTTTTTGAGATATAGGAGTCTCACTCTGTCACCCAGGCTGGAGTGCAATGGCGCGATCTCGGCTCACTGCAACCTCTGTCTCCTGGGTTCAAGCGATACTCCTGCCTCAGACTCTCGAGTAGCTAGGACTACAAGCGTGCGCCACCACGCCCGGCTAAGTTTTTGTATTTTTAGTACAGACAGGGTTTCTTGATCTCCTGACCTTGTGCTCTGCCCACCTCAGCCTCCCAAAGTGCTGGGATTATGGGTGTGAGCCACCGCACCCGCCCTCATGAAGGCTCTTTAATGATGATTTCTTCAAATGTTGGATAAACACCACCCACAAAAAAACTTACCCCAAGTAGGTGATAATTTTTTTTTTGAGACAAGGAAAAAATACAAAAATTAGCCGGGCATGGTGATGCACACCTATAGTCCCAGCTGCTCAGGAGCCTGAAGTGGGAGGATGGCTTGGAGGTAGAGGTTATAGTGAGCTGAGATCATGCCACTGCACAGCAGGCTGGGTGACAGAGTGAGACCCTGTCTCAAAAAAAAGAATTAACCCTCACTCTTCACTCTCACTGACAACTGTAACACATTTTTTTTTCAGGCATAGAGACTGGGTCTCTCTATGTTGCCCAGGCTGGTCTTAAACTCCTGGGCTCAAGCAATCCTCCCTCCGTGGCCTCCCAAAGTGTTGGGATTACAGCTGTGAGCCACAGTGCCCACCCTGCAACCAAAATTCTTATGATAATGATTGATTGAGAATCTAATCAAACTATTATTATTATTATTATTATTATTATTATTTATTTAGAGACAAGGTCTTGCTCTGTCATCCAGACTGGAATGCAGTATTGTGATCATGGCTCACCACAGCCTCAAACTCCTGGGTTCAAGTGATCCTCCCACCTTGGCCTCCCAAAAGTGCTGGGATTACAGGTTTAAGCCACTGTGCCCAGCCTCAAGTATTTTAAAATAACACTGCGCTTAGAATTTGCAGAATGTGTATATGTGGTTAGAGCACGCAGTATGGGCACTACTAGAAAGGCACATTATCTACAAACAGGGAGCTGTGTGCAATATACAAGACAGAATTCCAGGTGGCCCCCTGAAACCACTCCTCCTGGTTTCCTGGACCACCCCAAGCCCACCCCAGCTCTGGCATCAGCTCACACCTGCTGTTGGCCATGCACGCAAACACTGCAGGAGACGTGCAGGGTAGGTCGCCTCCATCACTGGACCTCCCTCATCCTGCCATCCACCTATAGTGTTCCCTGGGGAGCCTCTGCAAGGGTCTTCCGGAGGCTACCAGCCTGGGGGCTCCATTTGCCCCAAGCCCAGCCTGACAGCAAGAGGAGCAACATCCTTCCCCACTGTATCCTATTGGTGACACTCCAGCATCTCCACCCAGACCAGCAGAACAGGAGCCTGATTTGCCCAGAAGAGAAAGGCCAAAAAACATTTCCTGACCCCTCCTCCACCCCCCACTCCCAGCCCCACGAGAGAGCTAGCCTGGGTTCCAGTCCCACTCCTCCACCTACAAGCTGGGTAACTCTCAGCTGATAACTTAACCTCTCCAAGCCTCAGTCCCCATCTCTGTAAAATGGGGATGGCAGTACCTGTCCCATAGGATTGTAAGAAGATTACACAGGCAATGCATGTAAGTGCCTGCCATGGGGCTCCACCCAGGGCAAGCCTGGGTCAATGCTGGTTCTGGTCAGTGATACAGAGACCCTCAGACACAAAGATCACTAACGTGGTCACACACACACACGGATACACAGATGCAGAGGCCCAAAGGCACAGTGAGCTCACATGTGGGCACACACATGGGGAGGCACAGATCTGTGGGCCCCATGGGGATGTCCTGGCCAGGCTCTGTCTCAGCCCCAGACCCCACCCCTTTCCCCAGACAGGAGCCCCCCGGCTGGAGCTGGATCTGACCTGCCCTTGGGAGGTCAGGGAGAGCCCTGGGCATCAGAGCGAGCATGCTCAGCTCCTCCTCTTTGATGTGTCTGTGGAGGAGGGCTGGCCAGGTTTCTGCAGGCACTCTGGAGGCCCAAACTCCAGGCATGAAACCCCATCACCCCACCCATTTAATTTTTTCACCCCCTTGCTGTCAGCATGCAGACCCCTTTATTTTTTGATTGGGGAAGTAGAGGTCGGAGGTGGAGCCAGGAAAGGGTTTGCCATCCACAGCCCACAAACACACAGGCACACCCACAGAGACACAGGCAGGCTGACACAAGGACCCCTGCAGCACACTCACAGGCCACAGCCCCTGCCCAGGCAACTTATCAAATTCAAGTCCTCTGCCAGCAAATCCAGGATGTTTCATTCTACGCCACGTCCACATTAGCACCATCCCCTGCACCACCACTGCCATCCCCTCTGTGGCTAGTATCCCCACGACCACCAGCAGCACCCTCACTGCAGCCACCACCACCGCAGCACCACACCGTCATCGGGGAACTGATGGAGGAGCCCTCTAGGATTCTGATACAGCATGGAGGAGACCCCCAGTGGGAAGGGCAAAAGGAGGGCGATGAGCTTCCTAGGAGCCCAGAAGACAAGGTCCAGGACCTCAGGCCCCTGCAGCAGCCCTGGACTCTCCAAACTCCAGCCCTGCTGGAGACAGTGTCTTCCCAGTCTGTGTCTGAGCCTTCTCTCCCGCCCCTCCCTCCCTCCCTCCCACACCCACAGAAAGCTGGTCTCTAGCAGGTGCTAGCGCCGGAGGTGGAGGCGGCTGCAGAGAGAGAGAAGCCCAGGAGGGAGGGGCACAGCCCTGGCTGAACCCACAGGATTGGTCAATCTGCATCCTCTCAGCCAGCACCTGACTAAAGATTCCTCAAAGCGACAGTGACCTCAGCCTCTGCTCTGAGCTCTGTTGGTCCCAGCCAGGAGAGCCCGAGTCATGAGGTGGGCACCCAGTGGGCAGGGTGGGCAGCAGGGGCCCTCTTGGAGGCAGCAGTGAGTTGGGAAGAGGAGGCCGGGCCCCACAGCGGGCATGATGGACAAGTTCCGGATGATCTTCCAGTTCCTGCAGTCCAACCAGGAGTCCTTCATGAATGGCATCTGTGGCATCATGGCCCTGGCCAGTGCCCAGATGTACTCGGCCTTCGACTTCAACTGCCCCTGCCTGCCGGGCTACAATGCAGCCTACAGCGCGGGCATCCTGCTGGCGCCACCCCTGGTGCTCTTTCTGCTTGGCCTGGTCATGAACAACAACGTGTCCATGCTGGCCGAAGAGTGGAAGCGGCCGCTGGGCCGCCGGGCCAAGGACCCCGCTGTGTTGCGCTACATGTTCTGCTCCATGGCCCAGCGCGCCCTCATCGCGCCTGTCGTCTGGGTGGCCGTCACGCTACTCGACGGCAAATGCTTCCTCTGTGCCTTCTGCACTGCCGTGCCCGTGAGCGCACTGGGCAACGGCAGCCTGGCACCCGGCCTTCCTGCCCCCGAGCTCGCCCGCCTGCTGGCCCGGGTGCCCTGCCCTGAGATCTACGATGGCGACTGGCTGTTGGCCCGAGAGGTGGCCGTGCGTTACCTCCGCTGCATCTCCCAGGTGAGGGGCCGCATGGCTTCACGCTGGGTCTCCCTGGCAGATCAAGGTCCCTCTGGGAGGGCCCTATCCCCCTACCTCTCAAAATGGGGCCTCTGCTCAGGTGGAGCTCCGAGGTGTGGGGGGCATCTTCCCAACTGAGGCTGAAGGCAGAGCCACGCATCTGCCCTCAGCCCAGGGCCATCCGGAGAACGTGCTTTGGCTCCCTCTGTCCAGAGGCTTCTGGTGAGTGGGCCTGACCCCTATCCTGAGGTCCCCAGAGTGGACCTGCATCCCCATCCTGATTTCTGAGCTTGGAAGCTGGAGGAATTTGCATGCTTTCCCTCTTCCGGGCCTCGGCAGTGGTGAGGCCAGTGGGTGGCTAGGCCATTTGGGTACATTTCCCTAGCAAATGCCCCCATCTGGTGCTTCCCTGCTGGGGAGTGGGAGCTGAGGACCAGGGTGTCCTGGAAGGGGGTGCATGGGTGAGAGAGAGGAGGCCCTGTTGGGATGTGATGGAAAGGCAGTTTGGAGAGACCACTGACGGGTCAGCCAGAGTGAGGGTCCTCCCCAGCCCTACTCCCACATCCTCTGCCCCTCCATGCTCACCCATCCAAGCCTCTCGGGCCTTCTCCAACCCAGTCAGTGCCGTGTGGGGAGGACCACCCAGGCAGCCTGCCCTCACAGCTGGCAGACCAGGTGCTGTCAGGGCGAGGGGCTGGGGCCAGCCTGCTCTGCAAGGACTGGAGAAACGTGCACACTCTGCCCTGGCAAGTCCAGACACCCCTGGCTTCCCACTCTAGCAGGGGCCTCTCTCCTGGGAGGCCTCTGTCACCACCCAGATGACCTTGGTGAATGTCATGCTCTAAGCATCCCGACTGAACTCTACTTCCCTCTCCTCCCTAACCTGTGCCTCCTCTCCTGTGGGCACTCATCCCATCGTCCCCGGCCTCAGGGCCTTGGCAGCTGTCATTCCACCTGACCTTTAAGCCACCACATCATAAGCTGAGAGGGCCCCAGAGGCCACAGGCTGCCTGGCCTATACATGTTTCATTTGGCCTTCAGAGACTGAATTCTAGATTCAACTTTAGAATTTGTTGGCATCTTCTAAAAACCAGAATGGGCCGGGTACGATGTGCCTCATGTCTGTAATCCCAGCACTTTGGGAGGCCAAGGCAAGAAGATTGCTAGAGCCCAGGAGTTCAAGACCAGCCTAGGGAATATAGTGAGACCCTGTCTCCAAAAAAGAAAAGAAAAGAAAAAAATTAGCCAGGCTTGGTGGCACATGCCTGTAGTCCCAGCTACACAGGAAGCTGAAGTGAGAGGATTGCTTGAGCCTGGGAGGTCAAGGCTGCAGTGAAATGTAATTGTGCCACTGCACTCTGGCTTGGGTAACGGAGTAAGACCTGTCTCAAAACAAAAAAGTAAATAAGATTAAAATAAAAATCGGAATTTTTCACATAAAAATCAGATTTTCAAGTTGGAAATCCAGAAAATCCAGCCCCACCAGGCCCGCGTGTACTCCTGGAACAGGCTGGGGTGCCCCCAGCCTATGCACATGCTCAGTGGCTCCCCACCCCGTGTGCTCTGTCACGACCTGCCTGGCCCCATAGGCATCTGGGCTTGCCCTCAGCCCCAGTCCTGATCTGCCCAAGTGCTTCTCTGTGCGGCTGGGGCCTAACCCTGAAGCGTGGGCCAGGGGAGCATCCTGCCCCGTGCCCTGCAGTGAGGTGACAGAGCAGAGCTGGAACCAAGCGCAGGGTGCTCTTCAGCGCAGAGTTTGATTTCTTGCCTGATTCGCCTCTATGACCCCTGAAGGCCCAGCTCAGAACCGACACAGAGGAGGTGCTCATTTGGCACTGGTGACAATACTAGGAGCCAAAGGAGAGGTTCAGGACTCAGAGGAAAATGGGCCACTATGGCCTGGGGAGATCAAGGAAGGCTTCCTGAAAGAAGAGGCACAGTAAGTAAGTGAGGGCCTATTGGCACAACAGTAATGGTTAATAGTCACTGAGCACTGGGTACCAGGCACTGCACTAAGCTTATCACATTCAGTCCTCACAACAACACTCTGAGATAGGTGCTACCACCAGCTGCTTTATAGGTGTGGAAACTGAGGCACAGAGAAGTTGAGTGCTTTGCTCCTGGTCAACTAGTAAATAGTGGAGACAGCATTCAAACCCAAGCAGCCTAACTCCAGGGTCTGCCCACTTAACTCCTGGGCCCTGGGTGCCCCGCCAGCACGGTGGGTGCTTTACCCACGTGATCTTCTTTCCATGAGGTGCACCTATCTCCATTATTTCAATTTCTATGCCCATTTTACAGATGAGGAAATGGAGGCCAAGAGGCAAGCTCACTTGCCCAATTTGTGCTCTTTGCCCTAGAGGCACTGGCATAGAGAGTGCTTTGGGAGTCTGAACAGGCTCGGAGGCCCAAGGACAGTGCCCCGTGACTCTCTCTCATCTTCCCACAGGCGCTGGGCTGGTCCTTCGTGCTGCTGACCACTCTGCTGGCATTCGTGGTGCGCTCTGTGCGGCCCTGCTTCACGCAGGCCGCCTTCCTCAAGAGCAAGTACTGGTCCCACTATATCGACATCGAGCGCAAGCTCTTCGACGAGACGTGCACGGAGCACGCCAAAGCCTTTGCCAAGGTCTGCATCCAGCAGTTCTTCGAGGCCATGAACCATGACCTGGAGCTGGGTCACACCCACGGGACACTGGCCACGGCCCCTGCTTCCGCAGCTGCCCCCACGACCCCCGATGGTGCGGAGGAGGAAAGGGAGAAGCTGCGTGGCATCACGGATCAAGGCACCATGAACAGGCTGCTCACGAGCTGGCACAAATGCAAACCGCCTCTGCGGCTGGGCCAGGAGGAGCCACCGCTGATGGGCAACGGCTGGGCTGGGGGTGGGCCCCGGCCTCCGCGTAAGGAGGTGGCCACCTACTTCAGCAAAGTGTGAGGTGTGGCCAGCTGAAGAGGCAGGAACGGGGATCTGAGCCCACAGCCCCTCCAACCCCCAAACCAGGTGGAAAAAGGAAGGGTTTCAGTGCTGGGCAGTACTCCCCTAGGCAGATCCACACTCCCTAGCACTCGCCTGCCCATTGGAGGCAGGAAATTTGGAGCTGGAAGGGGATCTGATGCCTTCAGGTGTGACACTGCCCTGGATGGCCCTAGGGCAGTGGGCCCATGAGCAGTATTAGTCTAAAGGGGTCGGAACTGTCATGGCAGGTACAGGGACCAATGGCTCCCCTCTGCCCAGCCCTTCCCAGGCTGATGTTCACTGTCTCCTCCCAGGTTCAACAGACATCCCTGCCCCAGGGTCCACCCTCGTCTGTGGCTGTTCAGTACCTCTCTTCCTTTATGCTCCGGGCTCGGGGAGTGGGAATCATCAGGCGTCTCATGAAGTGGGAGCCCTCTGATTTGGGCAAGCGTGTCGTAGGTGAGACTGGGTGTGCCGGGGCAGGTCCATAAGGACATGACACACAGCCTACCTGGTGTGACACACCTGGGGTGACAGGCGATGAGACAAGATGTCAGAAGCTAGGTTCACATGGAAGAGGTCAGAGTGTGTGGTCACCATGGGGGTCATGTGACAATTGTCCAGGTGGACTGCATGTTTATTTAGCACAAACCAAGCACAAAAGTCCTCCTGTAGAGGGGTCTTTGAAAAACCACCTTAATACCCCCGTCACATCCAGGTCTCCAGGGGAAATCAGACCATCCCCAAGGCTTGAGAAGTTAGACACAGAAGCTGAAGTCTCTCCATTTTTCTCAAAGACCCCACCTCTTGGGGATGGAGTTCTAAGAGGCTAAGAGGAGCTCCAAGGCTCTAGCCCAGGTGGGATGAGGGTGGAGGAGAGCAGTGTAAAGAGAAAGCAGCTCAGATTCCAGAGTGAGACAGAACTGGGTCAAATGGTGTCTCTACCACTCACAAACCCTGTCCCTGGGCCAGCTGCATCACTGCCTGTGCCTTCGTTTCTTCATCTATACAATGAGGATGAGGCCCCCCCGGCCCGCCATCATGGGGTTGCTGTGTGTAAAAGCACATGGCACATAGTAGGCACCCAGCACAGGGTGGCTAATGTATTTGTTGATTTCTGAACCTAAGGACTTCCTTCCTCCTCCCCTGGGCAGGGATGAGACAGCAACACAAACACTCGAGCTTCCATCTTGTTGAGGAGGAAACAGAGGTACAGATAGGTTTCTCAGCACCGCCCTCAGCTCTGAGACATAAGTCCCAAGCATCTAAGGATTCATTTTGATCTTGGCATGATTCCATCCTTTTTTATCCATCCTTCCCTCTATTCCCACTTCTGGGGTCCAGTTTCCCTCCTCTTAATTATTTGGGAGGAGTTGCTCAGATCTTTGTGGGCCAAGGTGGGCTGGGAGGGCTCTTCCAGGAGGTAGGAGTTGGTATGGGCCCTGAAGTCAGGGAGGATTAGGATGAGCAAAAAACAAGGTGTATGTTGGTGGGTGGCAGCACTTCCAGTGGGAAGAGAAGGCCCGGAGGTATCAGGAGGTACAAATGTGATGAAGAGCAAAGCTTTGGGTCAGGCACACCTGAGTTCAAATACCAGCACTGCAGGACTTGTGGCCAGTCACCCAGCCACTCTAAGCCTCAGTGTGTCTGTCTATAAAATGGATATTAGAAGACCTGCTTGGCCAGGCGGAGTGGCTCATGCCTGTAATCCCAGCACTTGGGAGGCCAAGGAGGGAGGATCACTTGAGCCTGGGAGTTGGAGACCAGCCTGGGCAACATAGCAAGACTCTGTCTCTGTAAAGTAATAATAATAATAAGAAGAAGAAGAAGAATAAAGAGAAGATTTATAATTTTTTTAAAATGAAAAAATTATTTTTTAAAAAAGACCTGATTTTCAGGATTGTGGTAAGGATAGAGGAAGATAACTTTTAGGGAAGGATCTGGGACTGTGTTTAGCACATGCTGGGATCTGAAACAAACAAATAAACAAGCAGAACTTGGTACCTTTTCTTTCCTTCGTACATATGGTCAAGCCCAGCTCAGGGAGGCCAGCGGGTCACTCGGCAGCTCCACCATGACGGAACCACGAGCACTGCAGAGCTGACAGATGTCGGGGGTCCTCTCCCTCCATGCTAAGGGTCATCTAGCCTGTCCGTAGACTCTCCTGTGCAGCATTCCTGACCCGTGACGCTTCAGCCCGCATCTTGACCACTTTTAGATACAGGCTGGGCAGCTCTGATTATTACACAGGGCTTCCTTCAGAAACCTGCCTCCTTGTAACTTTCACCCACCAGTTGGAGCTCTGCCTGCAGGACCCGGAGAATCCCTAGGCTCCTGAATTCAATCCTCAGCCCTCCAGGGATCCGAAGCAGGTCCCGGGGAGTTAGCTGACTATAGGTCAAAGAGTCAGCATTGGGGATGGTTTGTCCAGTCAATGGACAACTCTGAGGGAGAAGGGCCAGTAGAGGGTGGGGCCCTGGCCCTGAGCATCCTGCAGGGCTCAGCGCGGGCCTGACGACACCCTCCCTTGACCCTCGCGGGGTCTCCTTTGGTAGCTTCTGCCCAGCGGGGGTCAAGTACGTGGGGTGCTCTTGAAACTGTCATGGGGGGCAGGTCTGGGTCAGATCTCCCCAATGCCTCCACATCCCCACGTGGCCCTCCCGACTGGTCCCATTGGTGTGGAGCATGGCCCGGTCCGGGTCTGGGCCGAGGGCGGAGGGCCAGCACGGCCCAGGGACGGCGAGCAGCGGGTCGGTGGGACGCGCAGCAGCTGCAGAACAGGCATCTCAACTTCCTCTCGGCTCCTCTCCTCTCGCGCCGCCCTCGGGGCCCGCCCTCCTCTGCCTGGTGGCGCCGGGAGGCTGTTTTTCCACTCACTGGCGCGCAGACTCCATCCCACTGTTTTCTTCTCTCTTTTCTGGAGTTAGATTAGTCTGAAGCCGCCACCAGCCCCAGGCCCCCGTGCAGAAGAAAAGCGGGAGGGAACGGCGGAGGCCGCCGCTGCCCTGCACCGCCCTCCTGGAGGCCACTTGGAGAGTCCGGCCCCGAGGAGGCCATGGCCACAAGTGCCCACAGCTGGCCCCAGGTAAGGAAGGGGCCCTCCCTGGGGTGTGCCAGGTGTCAGCGGAGCATGGTGGGGCCTGTCCCACGCTGCCCAGAGGGAGAGAGGCCCCTAGCTGAGGTTCCCTCCACCCGGTTGAACAGGGAGCAGTCCTGCCCCTCCCCGAGCCGCCAGTCTCCTGTCGTCACTGATGTTGGAGGAGGTCCCACTGGGGGTCTGGATGTGACCCATCCTTGGCCTGGGGGCAGTGGTCTCAGAAGATGGCCTGGCCCATCCTCTGCTCACCACCCACCCTGTGCAGGTATCTTGTACCCCACTTTGAGCCAGTTTATGAACCCAGGGCCTCCACAGGGAGCTAATTAGGAGCCTAGAAGCCAAGAAGGGAAAAGGATGGGGCAAAGGGGGCTGACTTTAACCCATTCTTCCCCAGCAGTGATGCAAACTGCCTTTCCCAGGAAGTTAGGCTGGAAGCTCCAGGCTGTGAAGTGGGGGAAGAATCAGACTCCTCCTCCTCCTCCTCCTCCTCCTCCTCCTCCTGTTGTTCCTCCTGGTCCTCCTCCTCCAGCTTCTCCTTTTCTTGGAGTCTGCATGGCCACATGGCTCTGCCTGAGCCCATCTGGCAGCCTTCCTTGGCAGGGACAGAAGGGGTGATCTAGAAGGGGTGATCCCTCCATGAAGCATGGAAGGGAACAGGGCTAGGTCTGTGTTTGGCGCTCACCCCATCCCTCCACTCCCTGGCTTCCTCTGGCCTGGGGAGTTTTGTTTTTCACCCTCCAGAGGGGGAGGACATGGGGCCACACCCTGGCCTGTCTCTCAGGCTTGTGTGGGTGGAGGCTGGGAAGGGAGTTGGGCTAAACTTCGCTGTTGCCCGAGGCCATGGCCACTTCCCGGCAGGTTGCCAGCGTCGCTACAGCCCAGACCAAGGCAGAATAATCTCCGGATGAGCTGGTGGCACCGCTGAGCCTTTGGTCTCACCAGGGCTTCCTGTTGCTGGCAGGCGGGGTGGAGCGGAGCTGCTGGGAGGCTGCTGGATAGGAGAGGGGTCACGGCTGCGGAAGAGGAGGTTCTTCGGGACACCCGTGGATGGACACGGCAAGGTCAGTAGGAGACAGAAAAAAAGAGGGTTCACTTAGTGCAGAATCACCCTTATCCACTTCCCAAGTCTCCTTAGGTTGTGGTTAGAGGTCCTGCTGTGGCACCTCTGTATTTCTTGGGCCTCAGCAAGGCACTTTATCCTCTTCAGGTCTCAGTTCCCTGATCTTTGCAGGCAGGAGAATCGTCCCCACCCCAAAGACAAGACAGGGTGGAAGAGATGGAGAGTTTCACGCAGAGCACAATCAGGCATCTTTTATTCTTTTCTTTCCCTCCAACATCCCTAGGAAAGAGCAAGGCTCAGGATGATTTATCCTCTTTTCACTGATGAGGAATCTGAGGCCCAGAGAACAGTCATGAAGTGTGATCAGACCCTGAGGTCTCCAAAAAGATAATGTCCTTGCGAACTCCAGGGATTCTGGCATCTTGCTGTACCCACCCCAGCCCACACGGCAGGATCCTATCCAAGTCCCTTATCCACCCGGACACTCACTTTAGCTTTTACACCCTCAAGGCTGAGACCCTAAGGACACGCCCTGGATCCAAGGAGTCCCTGGCCCCTCTGCTAATATGCGCCACCTGGACTCCCAGAGGGAAAGCCGGTCAGCACCCCACATGCATTAGCACCATGGGCCACCCCCAAGCCCTACCCCAGGAGAAGCTCGTGGTGGCAAAAAGAACCTAAGCATTTGAGGCAGGTCACCCAAGCTTGAATCTCAGTCTGCCTCTCATCTGTGACCCTGGCGAGCCACTCGTCCTCAGGAAGCCTTCACTTTCCCTAGTGCACGGCGGGCACACAGCTCAACGTGGGACTGTGAGGATGGGAAATGAGGGGTGCCATGCACCCTGGAGGAACTCAGTGAACAGTGGCAACTGTCACTTCCCTGGGGCCCTATGGTCCTTCCTTTCTCCCCAGCCTGTCCACACTAGCATCTTCCTCAACTCCTGGTTTTCAGAGGGAAACACTTATCGGTCATCTGCTCCACAGGAAACACCAGGCCAACCACAGCTGGGGATAAAATAGCACAACCACACCCTGCCGTCCAGCGCCTCCCAGCCTGTGCCCCTTCCTAGTACCACCAGCAACCATCAATCCCGTCTCCTCCTGCCTCCTCTCCTGCAATCCACCCCGCCACGACTATCGCCATGGCAGCCCTGATCGCAGAGAACTTCCGCTTCCTGTCACTTTTCTTCAAGAGCAAGGATGTGATGATTTTCAACGGCCTGGTGGCACTGGGCACGGTGGGCAGCCAGGAGCTGTTCTCTGTGGTGGCCTTCCACTGCCCCTGCTCGCCGGCCCGGAACTACCTGTACGGGCTGGCGGCCATCGGCGTGCCCGCCCTGGTGCTCTTCATCATTGGCATCATCCTCAACAACCACACCTGGAACCTCGTGGCCGAGTGCCAGCACCGGAGGACCAAGAACTGCTCCGCCGCCCCCACCTTCCTCCTTCTAAGCTCCATCCTGGGACGTGCGGCTGTGGCCCCTGTCACCTGGTCTGTCATCTCCCTGCTGCGTGGTGAGGCTTATGTCTGTGCTCTCAGTGAGTTCGTGGACCCTTCCTCACTCACGGCCAGGGAAGAGCACTTCCCATCAGCCCACGCCACTGAAATCCTGGCCAGGTTCCCCTGCAAGGAGAACCCTGACAACCTGTCAGACTTCCGGGAGGAGGTCAGCCGCAGGCTCAGGTATGAGTCCCAGGTAAGGAGCTGTGCAAAGGGAAGCTCCTCTTCCCTAGTGGTGGCTGGTGAGAGGTCCGGGGATGGCCTAGTGCTAAAGCTGGGGTTGGTCCTCAGGGGCTGAGGTCTGTGGGAAAGCACTAGCGTTAGGTATCAGGGCTGGTTAACTGGTGCATGGTGGGGCAAGGGCCAGTTCCAGACACAAATAAGACAGTTTTATCAATTTTTTTTTTTACTGTAAATCTCAGTTGTATATGACCAAATTAGTTTTAAACATTAAAGGAACATTCTTCTGGCTCAGTCTGGGCCTTAATTGCAATCACAGATAAGCCCCTTACCCCAGCCAGATTGAGCATGGGCCCTTGACAGTGGAGTGTGGCTGGCTCTGGGGATGAACACATTCCTATCCCAGGAAGGGCCCAGCCAAGCACTGAGTCAGCCTCAAGTGTTGCTGACCTAAGGGGAGTCCCTTGGGTCAGGATGGAGTGTTGAGTCAGGAAGATGCAGTTGCCGTCCTGAGCCTTAGCTGGGCTCTGAAGGAGAGGAGGTTGGTCAAGGGACAGAGGGCAAGGGAAGAGAACTGGGAAGTAGCAGAAAATCTCAGCTGCAAGTGTTAACTTAGAGAAGCAGGGGGTGAGGGAGAGACAGGAAGGAGAACAAGTTTTCTTTTTTTTCTTTTTTTTTTTTTGAGACAGAGTCTCACTCTTCTTGCCAGGTTGGAGTGCAGTGGCACGATCTTGGCTTACCGCAGCCTCCGCCTCCTGGGTTCAAGCAATTCTCCTGCCTCAGCCTCCCGAGTAGCTGGGATTACAGGCACGCAGCCACCACATCCACCTAATTTTTGTATTTTTAGTAGAGATGGGGTTTCGCCATGTTGGCCAGGCTGGTCTCAAACTCCTGACCTCAAGGGAGCACAGATTTTCTAAAAGGTTTCTTCAATAGGTAAATAAGAAATGTAAACAGAGGCTGGGCAGTGGCTCACACCTGTAATCTCAGCACTTTGGGAGGCCAAGGCGGGTGGATCACTGGAGGTCAGGAGTTCGAGACCAGCCTGGCCAATATGGTGAAACCCTTTCTCTACTAAAAATACAAAAATTAGCCAGGAGTGGTGGTGGGCACCTGTAATCTCAGCTACTTGGGAGGCTGAGGCAGGAGAACTGCTTGAACCCGGAAGGTGGAGGTTGCAGTGAGCCAAGATCACGCCACTGTACTCCAGCCTGGGCGACAGAGCAAGACTCCATCTCAAACAAAAAAAAAAGACAAAGAAAAAAGAAAAAGAAACGTAAAGAGAGAAAAGGCTGGAGATAGCACCAGAGCGGGAAGATGGTAGACAAAGAAATGATACTTATTTGATGCTGATCAAATGCCCCCAGATCTCTGTACAGGAGCAAGTGGTGAAACAAGGATGACCTTGCCTGTCCTTGCCCTCCAAGCATTTCAGACAAGCACATGTGTGACCTCCAAACAAGGCAGATGGTGATGAGAGGAACCAGGCCACGGGAGATTCAGAAAAGGCACAAGTGCTCCCAGAGGGGCCTTTGAAGCCTTCCCAGAGGTGGCATCTGAGCTGAGCCTGGCAGGTTGAGCTGGGTTTTGATGGCCTGAGATGATGGCAGGGGAAGGAGGTGCTCTTAAGTTTGCAGGGGTGGCAGCAGAAAACGCAGGCTAAGTCTAAGCGCAAGTAGAGTGTGAGTTAAAGGGGGTAAGGAAACGATGGAATCACAGCCACAAGGGCCTGCTTCTCTTACCCAAGCAGAACTTGCTCCTTTTCCATTCGCTCTGGGGGGTAGGGCTTAGGCAGTTCCTCGCCCCTCCTGAACTGTGCCCATTCTCTGGCCAGCTCTTTGGATGGCTGCTCATCGGCGTGGTGGCCATCCTGGTGTTCCTGACCAAGTGCCTCAAGCATTACTGCTCACCACTCAGCTACCGCCAGGAGGCCTACTGGGCGCAGTACCGCGCCAATGAGGACCAGCTGTTCCAGCGCACGGCCGAGGTGCACTCTCGGGTGCTCGCTGCCAACAATGTGCGCCGCTTCTTTGGCTTTGTGGCGCTCAACAAGGATGATGAGGAACTGATTGCCAACTTCCCAGTGGAAGGCACGCAGCCACGGCCACAGTGGAATGCCATCACCGGCGTCTACTTGTACCGTGAGAACCAGGGCCTCCCACTCTACAGCCGCCTGCACAAGTGGGCCCAGGGTCTGGCAGGCAACGGCGCGGCCCCTGACAACGTGGAGATGGCCCTGCTCCCCTCCTAAGGAGGTGCTTCCCATGCTCTTTGTAAATGGCACTACTTGGTCCCAAACTGAACCCCACTGCTTGCTCACATCCATATCAGAAGGGGATTTTTAAAAAACTGTTATCTTCTTGGCCAGGGGAAAGGACCACAAGGCAATCTGGGGTGTGGACAGACCCAGTAGACAATGGAAGCCCCAGCCAGCAGGGCCAGGTGACAGTGAAGCTCACCAGTGGGCTCCTTTATGGTACTCTATGCAGTTAACATGTATCTAGCTGCATAGGGACACCCAGCGCAGCAGTGCACCACTGGGAAGTGGCCTCCAGTGCAGCCTCTGGCCTTATTTTATATATTTAAATTTTTGATAAAGTTTTTCTTACTAAAAGGACTAGCCTGGTGTCTGTGTGATTGAATGGGCATGCCACAGCAGGCTGGTGGTCATAGGGCCAGGCCCAAATCCTATGCCGTGTTAGGGAAGGGGACAGGACTAAAATGGCCCACAGGGGTGGCAGGGAGGGTGCAGTGAGTACCAGGGGTTCAACACAGGGGAAGGCTCTGGGGCTGATGATCTCTTTGCAGTTGGGTTCTATTATCTGATTTGGTGTGGGGAAGAGATGAAGCCTGGCCTTTCTCAGAAGGAAACAGTCTGAAATTTCACGAGTCAGAAGATTCTGCGCTCAGTGGGCAGGCCAGAACTAGCTCTCGTAACCTAGTGCTCATGTCCAAGAAGCAGGCCAGCCCCAGCTTCTCCTTCCTCCCATCCCTGCCCGCCACCCGCCCCACCTCTAGAACCTTTGGATGCTCTCCCTTGGCCCTGTCCGGCTTCCTGGCATATGACTCAGTCATTTCCCATGGAAAAGCTCTCAGGACACTTAAAGCTCTGCCAGAGAAAACGTTTAATTCCCTCATGACCAAGACAAAAAAGAACTGGCTTCAACAACTAGCTGGGTCTGTGCTGGCCTCCAAGACCTTGAATAGCCCAGATATGGAGAGGTTAGGTAATGTGGCCATAGTGGGCGTGGGATGAGACATCATCAGTTCACGCCAACACCCGTGGCTTTCCTCAGCAGCCCAGGTTTCTCCATTTCCCCCTCTGGGCTCTGAATTTGTCCTCCTGTCCCAGACTCATAGCCTCCCCTAAAGGGCAGAAGGTACCAGTGAGGCTGAGGCTGAAGGAACACCCAGAGACTCCAAGATCGGAGGGGAGGGCCCACTCCCTGGAGCCTACTGACCCCCTCCAGCTGGACTGACAGCCTGCCAGGGACAAAGCAGGACCCTGACCACAGGACCCTCGGGAATAGCCCCTCTACTCTTGCTCCCCAGGGAACTCCCCTGGAAGAGGGACCCTCAGCATTTCTGGGAGTCCAGGGGCCTGCTGCCC
The DNA here is from genome assembly GCF_000001405.40 of Homo sapiens. NCBI lineage: Eukaryota > Metazoa > Chordata > Mammalia > Primates > Hominidae > Homo > Homo sapiens. Next base: position 103,445,792 of record NC_000010.11, on the reverse strand, counting down.
ACAATCCCCAGGTAGCCTCAGATAAGGAAAAAGATAACAAGTTGGTACTGAAAATAAAGCAAGCGAAGAGGGATTTAAAAAATCTCAACTTCCTTTTCATCCTGACAGGATTTCCCCAAGCGTGCTGCAGAAAAAGCAGCATTTAAATAGAGTCCTGAGGTAACAGTTTTCCGAGTGCCCAGGCACTCGAGGCGGGGCCGGGCTGGCCCATTGTTGACAGTGTCCCACAGAGCCAGCCTGCCACTAGTCCTCTAGCACTGAGCTCTTGGCCTCCACATACTCCAGGGCCTTGGCCTTGACTGCCTGCACATCCTTCTCAGTGCCATGCTGCTTCTCGTAGTCCAGGTAGCGCTTGAAGAAGAACTTCATTCTCTTGGGGGCCAAGCTCAGATGAATGACCCGCTCAAAGATGTCCCTGTTGAGGAAAAGCAGAGTGGCATTTGCCTGTCAGTCCCAGGTCACGTGCTTCCTGCCTAGCACTCACCCACTTGCTCTCAGCCCTGGAACCAGGACCCTCTCCCATCCAGGACTCCCACTTCTACCATTATCTTTATTAATCCATGATGAACTCCCATGATGCCTTGGGGAGAGGCACTACCACCCTCATCTTCCAGATGAGCAGATGGACACCCAGAGATGGTAAGGGACTTCCCTGCCTAAAGCCACACAGTGATCAAGACAAAGCTACTGGGATGGGGGACACAACAGTGAGAAACATACATAGTGAAGGGCTTGGGTGAGGCACCTGTTCTTTTTGGACCTCAGTCTACTCATCTCTAAACCCTCCCTGTCTTGTGGAGACGCTGGGGTCAAAAGCAAGAGAATGCCTGTGAAAGTAGTCTACAATGAGAGTCAGGAACAGTGTTAATTATGAGAGAAACTCGAGTCTCTTGACAAGGCTACCTCCTACCAATGGTTTCAGACACAGACCAGATGCTGGCCTTTGAGGCAGAAAGAGGAGTTGAAGTGAATGTCACTGGGCCTGGGGCATCACATCTAGCTGGTTTTCTAGATCAAGTAAGAGAACTGGGATGCTGAGAGCTGCTGTGGGACCAGTGCCTACCACGCCCTCTCCTGAGGAACTCGGCCTTGGCCAGCTGCCCCACTCACCGGACGTCCTTCTGGCTGCCGTGCTTGATGGTCATGTCGATATAGACCGACCAGACATCTGTGCGCTTTGGGTAGGTGCTCAGCGTGTTCTCAAAAATGGCTTTGGCCCGCTCTGCATCCCCCAGCTGAAACTCAAGCTGGGCAAACTTGGCAATGACATCCACATCTGCAGGGAGAGGACTGCTCAGAGACCCAACAAGCAGACAGCCCCCTCACCACAACACAGTGTTCCGCAGGGTCAGCGTGCACCTGACTCCCTGCTCTTGGGTCCCAAGACTCAGGTTGTGACAAGAGGGACAAAGACCCAAAAGGGGTGGGTTTGGGGCCAAATACACAGATGGGCACTGCAGACACACCACTCTCTGGGCACAGAAGAGGTGGGGGATCCCAGGGGCAACAGAACTAGTACTAACTGCGTTTTGTTCCTCCATCTTTTGGAGCCTGACATTTGAAATTTAACATGCACTGTTATGCTGAGGGGCAGAGAATCAACAGGCAGCAAGAGGAAAGCCCTCACAAGGCTCTCCTGACTTAGAAGAAGCAATGCCACAGCCAGTTCCTACTCCCCGATCCTGGAGTGCTCATGGGCTCAGGAGCTGGGAATGAGCACTCACGCTCCTTGCTAGGCAGGCACTCCAGGGCTCGCTGCAGCACGCGGTGACTGGCTGCAGCCTGGCTCCTCCGCAGAAGGAAGGCGCCGTATTTGATCCACACAGCTTTCTCCTGCCGGAAACGCTTCAGCATCCGGTTGTAGAGTTCACCAGCTTCCTGTGGGAAAAGACGAGGCACGCTGAGGAGAGTGTGATACTACAGAGGGGACAAGACAGACAAGCAGCAACACTCACAAGAAGCTAGACCTGGGCTCCCAGACACCAAATCACTCTCAGGGCCTAATGCTAGAGACCTGAGAGGAGCGGGAGGGAGGCTCACAGAAGGGCACCGTGAACAGGCACAACACGACGGAGGGGATTCCCTGCTGATCCGCACCCATGGGAGGGCGGTCCTAGCCTAGAACATGAGAATGACAAGGGGGAGTAGGAGAGACGCCAGAGCGGATGCTGGGCCGGGACGTCCCCTTCTGTCTGTGATGCCCTGCCAGCAGCCCAAGGCAGACACACCAGGGGTCCACTGCCCCTTCACTTCCAAAGCCACTCCTTCCCTCACCTTGACCCCACAGGCCTGAAGAAGAGGTGAGGGAAATGACTTCTTTTACTTGGAAGATAGGGAAGTTGGGGCCCCGATGTTGGGTGGCAAGCTCACAGCAGGACTGGACCCAGCACCCCAGGGGCTCTTCTCTGAGATTGTGGCCCTGGAACTCCCAGGAGTTCGTCTGTGGCCCAACCTCCTACCTGGAATTTCTCTGACTTGGCGTAGATGTCAGCCAGGTGGAGAAAGACTTTGAGAGGCTCGTTGTACTGCACGGCTCGCTCAAAGACCTTGGTCAGGGACTCCTGAGAGCCGTACATGTTCTCCAGGTTCAGCAGAGCCACCCACACGTTCAGCTTCTCCTGCTCCTCTCTGGAGGGAGAGCAGTCAGCACATGAGCGCCACATGAAACCAGTGAGCCTCCCGCCCCATCCAGACAGACTCAGGAACCACCTCCCCCTCCCAGCCTCTATCTGTGTCCTCAGATCCCACCCCAAATGTAGACCCTAAGAGGCTGTGTCCCCACAGCTCCTGCAGCATTAGAAACCCCTGCCCCAACCCCAATGGCTGAGTCTGAGGCTCTCCTGGATTCTGCCTCCATTCCTAGAAAGGATGCCCACCAGATCCCAAACGGGCCTGAGGTTTGGGCTGGACGCAGAGTCCTGGGTCTGATTCTCTCTTCAAGCTAAGAGGATGAAGCAAAGGACTGCCTTCCCTCTTCATTAGGCCTCAAAAACTCCCTCTGTTTGGAAAACCACCACAGGGATTTCGCCCAGGTATGTAGTGAGTTCTTTTCTTACTGTGTTTCTGCTCAAACTGGTTCCCTCATATAAGTGTATGGACTCTTGTGAAGGTTACCCTTAGCAGTTTCAGGGAAGAAGACTATAAAATATAAATGAGTAGATCTATTTCACAGATGGCCGCAGCTATGGCAGAAAGCCTGAGGACCCATGGGCCCCTGGTGGCAGCCACCCAAAATGCTGCCGGCCTGCCTAGGAGGAGCTACCCCACAGGTTGAGAAACTTCCCAGCCCAGAACGTGCGAAGACACTGTGCTCCCTGGGGCAAAGCTGAGACCTGAAGGAGATGGTCTTAAGGGCCCTCTCAGCCACGGCACGGGCCTTCTCGATCTCCGTGGCCTGCAGGTGGAAAGCCATGTACTGCAGCCACAGAATGGAGCTGTTGGGGGAGCTCAGCACCAGTCGGTCAAAATCATCCGCGGACTCTGGCTGCCGCCCAGGATCCATCAGCGCCTCCTCAATGCGGGACAGTTCCTTCTCTGCCTTCTGCTTCTCCAACTCCCTTTCTTTCTTGCTTTTCTTTATCTGCTATGGAAAGCAGAAACACCGTGAGTCATCTGCTCCTCAAGGCCTAGGGGAGGTCTGTGGTGGAAGTCACGAGTTGGCTGGGCAGCCCAGGGCTCTATATATACCCCCTGGCCTGGGACTGGCCGCTGCCCCCTCCCCCACTCACCCAGGAAGACACCCAGTCTAGGAACAGAGCACAAGAGACTGACACCAAGGGGTCCCTGCAAAAAGGACATGCCCTGCAAAATACAGCACCGTGGCTTGGTGTGGCTTCTCATCCTCCTCGCTGTCTGAGCTCTCTGCTAGAGGTGGCAAGGCCGGGGTCAGAGAGTCTAGTCCCACATTCCAAGCGAAGCCTGAAGACAGCTGCAGCCGGGGCGCTTCTGCTGGCTTGGTTTGCTTCTCCTGGAGGAACACAGAGGCGCTAAAGAAAGCACCTGGCTCAGGCTGCTCCCTGTTCCCCCGTGCCAGCCCACCTGGAGGAGCATGGACTCCTACCAAGCCCAGAGACCCCTCCTCTCCTCTCCTCTCCTCCTAGGCCATGCCAGGCCCCAGCCCACTGGGGAAACTTTATAGCAGTGACATAAAAGTTTTCTTTGTAAATACATTTATTTAGATAACAAAATTTTCACACACACACATGCATATGCATACCAGTATATAAAATAACAGTAGAAGCCAGGTGTGGTGGCTCACACCTGTAACCCCAACACTTTAAGAAGCTGAGGCGGGCCGATCATTTGAAGTCAGGAGTTCGAGACCAGCCCGGCCAACATGGCGAAACCCCCTCTCTACTAATACAAAAATTAGCCAGGCATGGTGGTGCATACCGGCAGTCTCAGCTACTCGGGAGGCTGAGTCATGAGAATTGCTTGAACCTGGAAGGCAGAGGTTGCAGTGAGCCAAGATCACACAACTGCACTCCAGCCTGGATGACAAAGCGAGACTCTGTCTCAAAATAATAAAAATAAAAATAACAGTAGAGCTGGGACAGAGAGATGACAATAATTCTGAGGGTGGCAGGGAGGCCCTGCCCAGATGGTTATAAGCCATCCCATACCCGGTCCTCTCAGCCCAGGTATTACTATTCTCATCTTTTGGAGGATGCAGGCTCAGAACGGCTCAGCCTCCTCTTTCTCTGCCCAGCCTCCTAATTTAATTCAGTTCCACCCAATAAATATTCCTTAGAATTTATTTTATGCAGCCTGCTCTGGGTAAAAAGGGTCCCTTGTCCTCAAGGAGCTGACGGTCAATGGAGGCAACTGACAGCCCCTGCTTTCGTATTTTATAGGAAATGAAGTAAAAGAGGATGAGGCAGAGGATGGCCCAGCTCTTCCCTTGCCTGGAGCAGCCTTCCCCTCCCCGCGACGTCACCCTCACCTTGGGCAGCACATTCGTCTCTTCTGCCTCCTCTTTTCCCTCCCGATAGTACACGTCCACAAGGCTGTCGTCCTCCTCTGACAGGCCGGCTTTCTTTGGCTTCTTGCTCACTCTTTCCTGAGAGGCCAGGTGGGAGAATGCCTAGGAGCATCCTCCTGCAGCCCCAGGCGACACCCTCCCTCGGCCCCACTGGGTGCCCTGTCCCCACGCCCTCATGGCTGTCCCTCCAGGAGGAGGATAGGCAGCCACAGCCCTCCGCAGGACCTCACCTGCTCACTCCCAGACTCCCGGCACTCCCGCCCGCCCCGCTTCTGCGCCTGTGGCTTCTGGGGCTGTTGCTTCTCCTTGCTGGGCATCTCCACCTCCTCCTGCCCCTTCTGGTTCTTCTTCTCGTTCCTTTTCTGATTTTTCTTTTCCCCTTTTTGGTCTCTCTCCTCAGCCTCTGTTTTCCTCTCCTCTTGCTTTGTAAGTTGCCCTTCCAAGGAAGCAGAAAGCACGTCTGGCTTCCCAGTGTCTCCGGGGAGGAAAGACAGCTCTACCAGGTTCTTCTGGTGGTTAAGGCTATGACAGAGCAAGATGGGGAGGTAAAGACATCATAAAAAGCAGAGGGCACCACAGGCGGCCCAGGCCTTTTTCCTCCTGATCAGCCCACGATTCTGGGCCCTGCCCCCATCTGCCTTGGGAGTCCTTTCAATATTCTCAAGAATGATTTGCACAATTTTTCATGCTTAGTAGAAAAATACAGGGGGTAGATGTGATGCCCCCTCCACCATCCCCAACAACAGGAGCTATGCAGAGATAAGTTACCACCTGTTTTCACAGGCACTGGGGGAGAAGGTTCCAAACAAAGGCCTTTTATTCATCTGAACACCACTACGCAAGCCATTATGTTTACAGTTCACCCTGAAATCTCCTCCCAGGGCTCCTGGAGAAAGGGGTTTGATTCACATTACAGAGAGAGAGAGAACGGGAAGGCACCTACCGTAGGACCCTGGCTGTGAGCAGCTTCCCTTCAGGGAGGTGTTTGTTATAAAGGGCTTTCTTGGACGGGCTGTGCTGGGAGACATGGGAGTACCGAGCCAAACCCACAACGGAGGGGCCAAGGCTGAAAGGAGAGAGGCAAGAGTCCTGTGGTCACAAATGCAACAACAGAATTCCAACCAGGCCTCGGGACTTCACTCTCACAGGGACTCAAGTTGTGACAAGGATTTGTGACAGACATAAGTTCCTGGCATTCAGCAGGATGAAGTGGGCTTTGTAAACTTGAAATCATCATCAAGCATAATGAAGATATGATTGAGGGTATTTTTTACTCCACACTGTGGTATCATAATATATAAATCACAAACTGCTAGGAGAAACTGCAGAAACAGCATGGCAGGGAAGGCTGCAGTATCAGGTGCTTGTGAACATGAGGTGATTTCACAGAACGAACACTTACAAATCATGATCAAACACTAAAACAGAATATCCACATTTATGTATTTTTTAATTTAAATTTAATTTTTTTAGACACAGGGTATCACTGCCTCCCAGGCTGGAGGTCAGAGGCACAATCATAGCTTAATGTAACCTCGAACTTATGGGCTCAAGCAATCCTCCCGCCTCAGCCTTCCAAATAGCTGGGACTACAGGCTCATGCTACCACACCTGGTTAATTTTTAATTTTTTTCTGGAGACATGGGGGTCTTGCTTTGTTGCCCAGGCTGGTCTTGAACTCCTGGCCTTCAAAGCAATTCTCTCATCTCGGCCTCTCAAAGCGCTAGGATTCCAGGCATGAGCCACCACGCCCGGCCCCAGACTTACTTAGAACAGAAATTAGAAATGCCATATTCTTTGTCCAAAACACCAAATAACTAATAACTCAACAGTTGTTTTAAAAGTATTAGAAAACTTGGAATTTTAAAAATGAGTGGGGACTCATAAACTCTCCTCCCTTCATATTCCCATCAAAGAAGTTGACCGAGGAACACAGTGGACCCCAGAGCAACACAGGCTCAGGGAAGGCACTTGGGTCCGGGTGCAGAGCCCCCCTCACTCACCGAAAGAACACACCGTGTGGCTGGATGGACCCTACATAGCCCCTCAGAAGCTGCCCTTCCTTAATGTCCTGGATGGAGTTAATCTCTGGATCTTCTACTTTGCTTTTCGTCTCCGGGTTTGTTCTAAAGGAATAAAAGGCTTACATGCACACCTTTAACCTCCACTGTCCCATGCCACCCCCAATACACCTGCAACCATCATACTTAGTAAATAAGAATATGACTCTGGACCTGTCAGCAGGATATAACCTTTAGAGCCCAACTCTACTCTCTCCTAACATCTTGCCAGGCCAGAAGCAGGTGCCTGGGGCCCAGCTATGTAGAAATGGGGAGAGGCGGACCAAGCCAGAGAGGTCAAACCTAAAGCCTTGGCCTCATTAACATTGATGTCTAACCATACAGCAAGCTGACCTCAAGCCAACTCCATACATGGCACGCTCACCCCTACAATGGAACCCTGGAGGCTAAAGCATCTCCCCTCACCAGGACTACCATCTGCAACCTTGGACACCCACATCTGGATATCTGACCCTTTCCATGGAAAACAAGAGCCTGAGCAGACAGGATTCTTGCAGCAATCTGAACAGCCTCAGCTTTTCTGGGTAAAAGAGGTTCAGGATAAAAAGTGATGAGCAGAGAAGGTGGGAAGCCCAAAATTCTGTGTCAGATACACGTAGCCTCCCCTTGATCCTGAGTGGGTCTTCCTCCTTTCTTTTTCCAACAACACAGAAACCCACCTGGATGATCGCAGCGACAAAGTCAATACGTTGTCTGCAGTGGACAGGATGTAACATCTGAATGAAGGCAAAAGAGAAGGAAACGCTCAATTTTCAGCATCTGTGAACAGCAAAGGGTCTCAGCTTCCTCTCCTCCAGGCTGACGAATAGGCAGGAGTGAGGAGACAGGAGACTCTGGTCATGTTTCTTCATTCTGTTGAAAACCTGCTGAGGGACTCTGGACAAGTCACGTCACCTCTGTGGGCTTCAGTTTACTAGTCTATTAAATAGAAATAACACTACCGGGCTGGGCACGGTGGCTCACGCCTGTAATCCCAGCACTTTGGGAGGCTGAGGTAGGCGGATCACAAGGTCAGGAGATTGAGACCATCCTGGCTAACACGGTGAAACCCCATCTCTACTAAAAATACAAAAAAAATAGCCGGGCGTGGTGGCGGGCGCCTGTAGTCCCAACTACTGGGGAGGTTGAGGCAGGAGAATGGCGTGAACCCAGGAGGCAGAGGTTGCAGTGAGCCGAGATCGTGCCACTGCACTCCAGCCTGGGCGACAGAGCAAGACTCCATCTCAAAATAAATAAATAAATAAATAAATAACACTACCTACTCTTCTTACCTAACAAGGGTGTTGGGGCCAGGTGTAGTGGCTCACATCTGTAATCTCAACACTTTGGGAGGCCGAGGCAGGAGAACTGCTAGAAGCCAGGAGCTCAAGACCAGTCTGGGCAGCAAAGCGAGACCCTGTCTCTATAAAAAAACTTTTTTAAAAAGCCAGGTGTGGTGGCACACACCTGTAGTCCCAGCCACTTGGGAGGCTGAGGACAGAGGATTGTTTGAGCCCAAGAATTTGAGGTTGCAGTGAGCTACGATCACACCACTGCCCTCTAGCCTGGGCAACTAAGTAAGACCCTGAGAAAGAAAGAAAGGGGAGGGAGAGAGGGAAGAAGAAAAGGAAGTCTCACAGAGGCATACAGTATGTCCTTAAAAGAAGAACCAGCTCTGTGTTAGATCCTGAGAACGTTTGATCTCAGCAGAGAGACACACTAACCCCAGGAGATCATGCCCAAGGCATCAGCTAGGTACTACTGCAGACACACAAGAGCAGTTCAGAGGAGGCGGGTCAGCGCTTCCAGGAGGGACAGCAGGGTTGCATCTCTAAACATTTCATCTAAAATGGCAATTAGTAGTCCAAAACCATAATATACAGATTCTTAGAGGTAGAAAGGATCTCAGCAAAAATCCAGTCCAAAATTTTCCCACGACAGATGTCTGCCTTTGGTAACGTGGCATCATAGCCATCAGAGCTGGACAGAACCTCAAGGGACCGTCTACCTTTAGGCAAGTAATTTATCGTAGGTTTGGCCACAATAAAACACATTTAAAACCACAACCTCATTATCTAAGCCTCAAGAGAAACCAGAGATGATCCTGGCTGTCTCTAGGACTCATTCTTTGTCTTCTCCCAGGCCCTGGGCATGTGTGTGCCGTGCAGTGGTTGTGAGTGGTTGAGAATTTAGGCAGGTAGGTGCTGGTGGCTGGGACAGCTGAGACAGGAGAGGGCAGTTACTATTTTCCAGTCTCTGCCTCCAAGGGCATCTACTGTACTGTCAGTTGACTACTGGATGCAGCTGAAATCTGTCTCCTCAAGTTTAGTTTATTCAGGCTATTAAAACAGTCTTAAAACTCCAATTGGCTGGGTGCGGAGGCTCACTTTGAGAGGCCAAGGCAGGCAGATCACTTAAGCCCAGGAGCTTGAGACCAGCCTGGCCAACATGGTGAAACCCTGTCTCTACTAAAAACAGAAAAATTAGCCAGGCATGGTGACACAACGCCTGTAATCCCAGGTACTTGGGTGGCTGAGGCACAAGAATCGCTTGAACCCAGGAGGCAGAGGTTGCAGTGAGCCAAGATTGCGCCACTGCACTCCAGCCTGGGTGACAGAGCAAGACTCTGTCTCAAAACAAAACAAAACAAGAGCCAAGATTGTGCCACTGCACTCCAGCCTGGGCAACAGAGCGAGACTCTATCTCAAAAAAAAAAAAAAAGAAAAAAACAAGAGACCAATTTTTGCTGAACCAATGGCTAAGACACAAATTTAAAATATCCAGTGCCAATAGTGGTGTGAGAAATGGACAGTCATATTTACTGTTAATGGGGACATAAATTAGCACAGTCATTTTGGAGGGTATGTAACCCATCAATTTCACTTCTAGGAATTTATTTACCAAACATACCTGCATTAGTATCCAAATATATGCAAAAGGGCCAGGCACCGTGGCTCATGCCTGTAATCCCACCACTTTGGGAGGCCAGGATGGGCAGATCACCTGAGGTCAGGAGTTCGAGACCAACCTGACCGACATGGCGAAACCTAGTCTCTACTAAAAGTACAAAAATTAGCCAGGCGTCATGGCGCATGCCTATAATCCTAGCTACTTGGGAGGCTGAGGCAGGAGAATTGCTTGAACTTGGGAGGAGACTGCAGTGAGCTGAGATCGCGCCACTGCACTCCAGCCTACGCACTGCACTCCAGCCAGACTGCCTCAGTTAAAAAAAGGCTGTGTCTCGCGCCACTGCACTCCAGACTCTGTCTCACGCCACTGCACTCCAGCCAGACTCTGTCTCAATTAAAAAAAAACAAAAAACCCAAATATATGTACAAAGATACTTCAACATTATTGTCTATCAAAAAAAGTATTGTCTATCAACAGAGAATTGGTTACACAAATTTCAATTAAAAAAACCCCAGAATACTAAACAAACGTTTTAAAATAAGGTAAAAGGACAAAATAGATTTTGATATATTAGCATAGAAAAGGAAAAAAATTCATGATAAACTATGAGAAAAAAACAGTATATCAAATGATATTCTATTATTTATATAAAGAAAAACTATATATATATGCATTAAAGTCTAGAAAGATAGAAATCAAAGTACATAATGGCAAAAAGTGGTAGAGAAACAGAGGGGTTACAGAAATTTTCATTTTCTATTTCATATACCTGTTTTTCTGATAAAAAGTCATGTATTACAACAACGTTTTTTTTTAAATATACCAATTCCACAGACAGGTGAAAAGAGGAAGAACACTTCGCTTACCTGACAACCTTCTGGGGGACGAAGTCTTCCAGGGGCGTCTCGGAGTAGGAGTCACTCATGTGAAATATACTGACTGTTCCTATCTTCCCAAAGGGGAAGGAGACGGTCAGCCCCTCGTTGGGAGTCACCTTCACCACTCGGCCCATGGCCACTTCCCCTTCCTCAAGCTTGTGAGGACCTGGTGGAAGAACCAACCTGATTCAGGGAAGAGGAAATGAGCTAAGGGAGGAGCGGGAATGCCAGCCACACACAGGCTGGGGAAGGTGGAGGCTGCCCAGACTTGGGGTATCTGGGCTGAGTGATCCAGAACCATCTAGACTGAGATCACCCTGCCATGTAGCCAAGGACCTCAGGGCCAAGTGGTGGACAACTCTTTCCCAGGGACTTGAGAAAAACACCTGTGTAGGTAAGGGTAACCTGTATAGGTAAAGGTAACTCAGAGAGCAGTGGAGTAACTGGGCCAGAGCAAAGCCCAAGAGAAAAACTGTTCCAAGAAGGTCCCACACCAGGCTTTCTGAGGATTCCAATACCGAAGGGGTCCTCCAACTCAAGCAATAGCTGAAAACCCATCCCACCCCTTCCTGCCGCTCCCCTTCCCCGACCAGGCACTGTTTCATCCCCACACCTGTGAGGGACAGACATAAGAGGGTCTTGGAGGAATCTGGGCCAACAACGGTGGCCCTCAGGGCCTGGCCAACCCGGAACTTCTTATCTGGATGCTTCAGAACCTGGAAGGATAAAAAAACTCCTGTGATGCTTGAAGAAAGGCTGTCATTTATCCAAAACCACAGCATTTAAGTCTCCAAAGCAAGTATCTCCCAAAGCAACCCTTAAATAAAGAACAAGCTTCCTCAAATCCACTGTAAACCCACACACCAGGCACTGGGCCAAGCTTAGGGAACTTGGGTCCCCTCTCCAGGGATCTCAAGCACACTGACCTTGAAGCTCAGAGAAGTGAGCAATAAGGGAATTCTCCCCCGGATGTCTGGGGCAATCTCCACCTCAAGCCATTTCTTCACCACATTGTACTGAGGGAAAAAAAGGAACCAGAGTAGGGCAAATACAAATACAAGGTTTCCCGCCATTAAAACTTTCCTAAAACCACAAGGTGGAAAGGGCCCCAGTACACTTTTCCAAGAGACAGGAATCCACCCTTCCATCCCACTGCCCTTGCCCAACCTCCACTTCTCACCAGCTTCCCTCAGACTCCAGCTCAGAACCTTTGCTAGCCTAGCAGAATGTGCATCTCTTCCAGGGTCTCAGCTGACCAGGAGGCAAAAGAGACTCCAGAGATGTCCTCAAACTGGAGAACCAATCCCACAGACCTCTGTAGCCTCCTCCAAGCTCAGCTGTGCCCAGCGATTGTTAACCATCTCCAGAGGCCAATTTTTAATTTCTAAACCAATTTGGATTTGGATCCTTCACTGTTTATGCAGTGTCTTGCCCTAAATATGCACTCCAATTTTCTCCTTTTTTTTTGAGACAGAGTCTCGCTCTGTCTCCTAGGCTGGAGTGTGTGGCGGCAATCTCGGCTCACTGCAATCTCCACCTCCTGGGTTCCAGTGATTCTCCTGCCTCAGCCTCCAGGGTAGCTGGGATTACAGGCGCGCACGCCCCAGGCCCGGCTAAATTTTTGTATTTTTAGTAGAGATGGGGTTTCACCATGTTGGCCAGGCTGGTCTCAAACTCCTGACCTGAAGTGATCTGCCCACCTCGGCCTCCCAAAGTGCTGGGATTACAGGCGTGAACCACCACACCTGGCCGTAAATACATACTCCAATTTTCTAGTCAACTTAACAAATCATTTATCGAGCAGCTACTATGCACATGGCATCATAATGATAAATAAAAGCCAGAGCCTGCCTTCAAGGAGATTACAGCCTACAAGCAGTAAGTCAAATCAGTGTGCAAATAACTACAACAGCAAGCAACATGTAGGAAGTACAACATGCTACAGGAACTAGTAACGAGGGAAGGTTATCTGTGCTGAACCTTGATGGGCAGTAGGCAATTGGAATAGAAGGTACTCCAGATGTAGAAACCAGCATGAATAAAGACAGGAAGGGAAAAAGACAGAAAAGCTTTTCAGAATGACTGCCACACAAGGTGCACGGAAGGTCAGATTATGAAGAGCCTTATCTGCCACGCTAAGGCATCTGGGGTGTATGAATGTCTATAGACAATAGGTAACTGAAGGGATCAAGCATCAGAGACGATCATGCTCAAAGATGCTCATCGAAGAGGAATCTGGCAACAATGGAGAGGTATTATTCTTCAAGGTCAAACCCAATCCAGCCGCCTCTCCTACATGTTTCAACCAGTACAGGCTGCTTTCCTTCCTTTTTGAACTCCTGTTCCAGTTGGGGTTGGAACACATAATCTGGCACCCAATTTCATGTTGTTTTACAGTGCACCTGAACTTCATGAAAAGCATGAATCTAAAATCCAAATTATATACATTTATATTCTAAATCTTGCCATGTATTTTACTTTCCATTTCTACAATTAACCTACCAACAATGAATTACGAGCTGCTTGCTAATTGTGTGTAAGCCATATTTTAGCTCCCTAATTAGACCAGAAGTTCTCTAGTGGCAGAGGCCACGTACTGTCTCCCACAAACCCAGCATGGTAGCACAGACTCAAATGCCTTTCTCTGCTAATGGCTTTTCTCTCCAACGTCATGACCTTTTTTCTGAAAGAAGAATGACATCTCATTGCCGAGTGGCAAAACTACTTACTTTCTTTAAGAAGCAAGTAACAGTCTGGCCGGCCTGGTACTGTTTAATCTTCTCCATGGGGCTAACAGAGTGAGTGTTAAGAGCAGTGTGGCCATCCTCCAGCTCACTGTTTGCAGAAAGGAAATGTAAACAGTAAACCCATCTCTGGATAAGACTTCCAGTTTGAAACCATCTCTCCCAAGTGGCCACGGATTGACTGTACGGGACTCCCCTACTCATACTCACCCTCCAAGGCCGTTTCTCTCCTCAAAGGGGAATGTCCACAATACTGGCCCGAGGCTAATCTTTTCCGTTTCATTCATCTACTTATGAACAAGCTGCTTTTAAAGCAGGTAGCCCACAATAGGCTTTATAAACTCAGGAAACAAAATTGTTTTACTTCTTTCATAATACTTTGGCTGTTGCTTTACTTTGCAAAACTGCATTCAAAAATTATCTCTCACTGAATTTGACAACTGTGTGAGTTCAGCAGGGGAGATATTAAGCCCATTTTATGCTACTGAACCAGGAGTTAAAATCAGGGCTTCTGACTCAAAATCCAGGGCTCTCTGCCCTATGCTACCCTTCCATTAGCATTTTCTTGATTTTTTTTTTTAATAAAATGAGCATTCATTTATTCAAGTAATTTTTTTTTCTTTTTTTTGAGACAGAGTCTTGCTTTGTCACCCAGGCTGGAGTGCAGTGGCACAATCTCGGGTCACTGCAACTTCCACCCCCCAGGTTCAAGTGATTCTCATGTCTCAGCCTCCCAAAAACTGAGATTACAGGCACCCGCCACCACACCCAGCTAATTTCTTTGTATTTTTAGTAGAGACAAGGTTTCACCATGTTGGCCAGGCTGGTCTCGAACTCCTGACCTCAAGTGATCCACTGGCCTTGGCCTCCCAGAGTGCTGAGATTATGGATGTCAGCCACGGCACTCAGCCTTTGATTTTCTTTTTTCTTCTCAGAAAAACCACAAAGGGATGTAGCCTGAAAGTTATCAGTCCACAATCACCTCAAAGGAATCACAAAACTGCCACCCCTACTTACCAATTCAAATAATTTCTAAGCCCAAATGAACCAAACTGGTACAAGTAATGTTAGTAAATTTGTAAAATACAATAGCAAGTGCTCCCAAATGTAGAAAATGGGAACTTTCCTATCTAGTAAAGTAAGAATTGCCCCAGCACTTTGGGAGGCCAAGGCGGGTGGATCACCTAAGGTCAGGAGTTTGAGAACAGCCTGGCCAACATGATGAAACCCCGTCTCTACTAAAAATACAAAAAATTAGCTGGGCGTGGTCGTGGGCGCTTGTAATCCCAGCTATTCGGGAGGCTGAGGCAGGAGAATCACTTCAACCCAGGAGGTAGAGGTTGCAGTGAGCTGAGATTGTGCCATTGCACTCTAGCCTGGGCAATAAGAGCGAAACTCCATTTAAAAAAAAAAAAGAGAGCAAAAGGACTTGAGTAGACATTTCTCCAAAGAAGATATACCAATGGCCAAGAAGCAAATGAAAAGATGCTCAACATCACCAATTATCACAAAAAGCAAATTAAAGGCACAATGAGATATCACCTTACCCCGGCAGGATGGCCACTATTAAAAAAAAAAAAAAAAGAAAATAACGAGTGTTGGCGAGGATGTAGAGAAATAGAAACCTTTGTGCACAGTTGATGAGAATGTAAAATGGTACAGCGATTATGGAAAACAGTATGGAAGTTTCTCAAAATATTAAAAATAGAATTACCATACGATCCAGTGATCCCACTTATAGGTATATACTCAAAAGAACTGAAATCAGGATCACAAAGAGGTATTTGCACACTCATGTTCAATGCAGCACTATTCACAATAGCCAAGAGGCACAAGCAACCTAAATGTCCGTTGACCAATGGGTGGATAAACAAAATGTGGCATATACCTATAATGGAATATTATTCAGCCTTGAAAAGACTGGATATGCCAGACACAGTGGCTCATGCCTATAATCTCAGCACTTTGGGAGGCCGAGGCAGGCAGATTGCCTGAGCTCAGAAGTTTGAGACCAGCCTGGGCAACAAGGCAAAACCCAGTCTTTACAAAAAAAATTCAAAAATTAGCTAGGCATGTTGGTGCGTGCCTGTAGCCCCAGCTACTCGGGGGACTGAGGGAGGGGGATCACTTGAGCCCAGAACGTCAAGGCTGTAGTCAGCCATGATCACGCCACTGCACTCCAGCCTGGGTGACAGAGCAAGACCCTGTCTCTAAAAAAAGAAAAAAGAAAAGAAAAGACAGGACATTCTGACACATGCTGCAAAATGGATAAACCTTGAAGACATCACACTAAGTGAAATAAGCCAGTCACAAAAGGACGCATACTGTATGTGTTCCATTTATATGAGTGAGGTACCTAGAACAGTCAAATTCACTGAGACGGAAGGGGAAATGGTGGTTGCCGGGGCGGAAGAGAGGGAGAAGCAGAGTTGCTGTTCCATAGGTATAGTTTCAGTCACGCAAGACAAAAAACTTCTAGAGATTTGCTGTATAACATGCATTTAGTTAACAATGCATGTTGTTTCAGGTAATGTATACCTGAAAATTGTTGAGGGTAAATGTATGTGTTATAGTAATTTTAAAAATTACAGTAATTTTTTACTGTAAAAAATTACTCATCTGTGATGAGGACACAGATACACATAAAAGGAAGACCATGTGAAGACATGGGGAGAAGATGGCCATCTGTAAGCCAGGGAGAGAGGCCTTAGAAGAAACAAAACCTGTCAACACCTTGATCTCAGACTTCTAGCCTCCAAAATTGTGAGAAAAGAAATTTCTGTTATTTCAACCAAACCAAACCAAACCAAACCCACCACATAAACGGATATGTGTTATCCTTTGTTCTTTTCCTGAAGTGATTTGAAACTTCCTCTCCAAAAAGAGCAACCCTCCAAAAAAGAAGGGTTGGCAGTACTGAATGGGGACCTATGAGAAAACTCACTGGCTAACAGGAATGCCAGAGACACCGTTTAAGACTCCTGAATGGCCTTGTCTCTTTCCTCTCAGCCCTCCAGAGGAGTAAGCAGGTAAGATGAATCTTAACCTTGAGTGCCCCTCAACACCTCTGAACTCAGCTCTAGAACAGACAGCATTCTCTTTGTGAACGAGATCCCCATACGAAATGAGGAATAAAAATACAGCTATAATTCCTCCGTTAAGTCAAAACTGTCAGTTAAATGTTTTTCATCCTGACTTCAAAATATTTATTTTAAAACATAAGCATGAGAAATATCACTATGTTTCTCAAGAGCCTTGAGATTAAAACAAGTCACAGTACAACAAAGGTCCATGGAGGAAGTGGAAGATGTCTGGCCATCTGTCTGGGAGTGTGTCTGGCCATCTGTCTATCTGTTATTATAACTCTACATCTCCCACCTCCTTAACAAATCCACTCAATTCCTGTCATGGCCCACTCTGCTACAGCCAAGTACCCCCACTCTGGCTCATACCATAGTCTTCCAACACCAGCAGTGTTAATGAGGGGTTCCTCAGTACTCCTAGGATCAAAAACCATTTAGGATCTCAGTGTTCCCACAGAGTTCACTGACTCATCCCCCATATATCTGTTAAATTAAGATATCTACCCTTAGTTTGAATAAACTACTTAACCTCAACCCTAATTAAGGGTTTAATTAAAACAAGACATCACATGTCAGAGTTGAAGATACTGCAGGCTGAAACCATTAATATGAAGAGGTTTCTTCATTTTTCCAACAAAGACTGGAGGATAAATACAATCAAAATCTACAAAACTAAGAAACCACAGTTAACAAATAGGAATGTAATTCATCCCCCAAATCTTATTATTCTGAAATTTTAGTTTAGGGCTTACTTTGAAGTTCCAAAAGTGTTATTAGCATCTGAAACTCAATGTGCCAGGAATATTTACTTTGTGTTTTTTTTTTTTCTTTTGAGACGGCTTTCGCTCTTGTTGCCCAGGCTGAAGCACAATGGCGAGATTTTGACTTACTCCAACCTCCGTCTCCCAAATTTAAGCAATTCTCCTGCCTCAGCCTTCCAAGTAGCTCGGATTACAAGCGCCCGCCACCACACCCGGCTAATTTTGTATTTTTAGTAGAGATGGGGTTTCGCCATGTTGGTCAGGCTAGTCTGGAACTCCTGACCTGAAGTGATTCATCTGCCTCAGCCTCCAAAAGTGCTGGGATTACAGGCGTGAGCCACTGTGCCTGGCTCTGGAAGTTACTTTGGAGACCGTTCTGTAAATCTCTAGGTGCATTAAGATTTACAACCTGGCTGGATCCCAGGACTGAGCCACAGAGCCTTTCTTAATTAAGGTCATACACACCTAGCTTCATTCACTAAGGGTCTATCAATCTGAGAGGCTGGGTTCTTTTAGAGAACTCCTCGTTCTCCTCCCCACAGAGTATCTCATGGAACACCCTTCTCTTCAGAATCTACCCCACCATGACCTGAAATTCCTATTCAGCCTCCAGCCCACCACACAGTCGTCTAGGTTGAAATAACAGGTATTCTTGGATACATGTTGCTTATTTAGGGAATTACTGAGTTATAGAAAATTGGGTTGAGAGCAAAAATGTTTCTTTTTGTGACATGCTGACAAACAGAACTGAAACCAGGCTTTAAATTGATACTTAAAACCTGTACACAGCTTTTGCATTAATTTTCATATGATCCCTCCAGCCCTAGGAGAACCAAATATCCCCACTAGAGAAACAAGAAAACTTGGACAGAGAAAGGCAAAAATCAATCCTAACACTGGTAAAATCAAGATTCGAATTCGGGATTCCTAATTCCAAAGCCCAGTGCTCTTTCCGTAAGACAGTGCTGCTAATGTCCCCCTCACCTTGGCCGAACACTCAGCTCCGGGATGGTTCGAACGAATCTGGGGTGACTTATTGGGAGATACCTGGAGAAACAAATAAGCTGAATCATTTCTCTTCATCTCTGTAACACAGTAATCTGTAGGTCAGGATTTCTCCCTACTCTCCACCAAACCAAGCTCACAAAAGCACCCTGTTCCACTGTCACACCACCACTGAAGACAGATGTGTCAGGCTGAAGGTTTCCATTCCCAACCTTTGCAGTTATTAGTAAGGAGCAGGCTCATCTGAATTTTTTTTTTTTCTGGGACAAGGTCTCACTCTGTCACCCAAGCTGGAATGCAGTGGCGCAATCATGGCTCACTGTAGCCTCAATCTCCTGGGCTCAAGCAATCCTCCCAGCTCAGCCTCCCAAGTAGCTGGGACTATAGGTGTATGCCACCATGCCCAGCTAATTTTTATTTTTATTTATTTATTTTTTTTTTTGTAGAGATGGGGTCTCACCATGTTGCCCAGGCAGGTCTTGAACTCCTGGGCTCAGGTTTTCCACCTCCCTCATCGTCCCAAAGTGCTGGGATTACAGGGTTCAGCCACTACACCCAGCCTCACCTGATTTTTTTTTTTTTTTTGAAACGGAGTCTCACTCTCTTGCCCAGGCTAGAGTGCAATGGCACAATCTCAGCTCACTGCAACCTCTGCCTCCTGAGTTCAAGTGATTCTCCTGCCTCAGCTTCCCGAGTAGCTGGGACTACAGGCACTGTGCCCGGCTAATTTTTGTTTTTTCAGTAGACGGGGTTTCACCATGTTGGCCAGGCTAGTCTTGAACTCCTGATCTCAGGTGATCCACCCACCTCAGCCTCCCAAAAGTGCTGGAATTACAGGCGTGAGCCACCGTGCCTGGCCTGATCTTTTAGGATTGTCATATCAGATCCTGAAAA
The DNA here is from genome assembly GCF_000001405.40 of Homo sapiens. Taxonomy (NCBI): domain Eukaryota; kingdom Metazoa; phylum Chordata; class Mammalia; order Primates; family Hominidae; genus Homo; species Homo sapiens. Next base: position 103,426,476 of record NC_000010.11, on the reverse strand, counting down.
CAATTTTCCTTACAGTCTATATACTCCAATTCTTTCATTCTAAAAATAAGGAAACTGAGGTCTTTATTTAGAGGATAATTGACTTACTGAAGACCCCACAGTTAGCTACTGAAATTAATATGCAAATTATTGGCCAGACTTTGAATTCTTTTTTTGCTGTTCTTGTTATAGCAAGAATTTCTGCTACAGTAACATGTGGCACTAGATTTAAAGTAAATGAGGATAATTAAAGTGGGAGGTGGAGAATGACAACTGCAGATGTATACAGCGCAGTAACTGAGGCCAGCAACCCACTAGGCAAAGAACAGACTACACGTTCTCTCTTTCAGTCTTCACCATGGCCCTACAAAGTAGTCGCTACCATGACTCTCACGTTACAAATTAAGAAAATAAAATTTGGACTTAAGTAGCTACTGCCACATGGTCACAGTTAATCTAGAATTCAAACCCGGGTCTGACTCCAAACCCATGTTCTTAACAACCACACCATATATTCCATATTTTTAAAAAGAATAATGCACTGTAATCCCAGCACTTTGGGAGGTGGAGGTGAGCAAATCACAAGGTCAGGAGATTGAGACCATCCTGGCTAACACAGTGAAACCCCATCTCTATTAAAAACACAAAAAGTTAGCCGGGCGTGGTGGTGGGTGCCTGTAGTCCCAGCTACTTGGGAGGCTGAGGCAGGAGAAGGGTGTGAACCCAGGAGGCAGAGCTTGCAGTGAGGCGAGATCACACCACTGCACTTCAGCCTGGGCAACAGAGTGAGACTCCGTCTCAAAAAAAAGAAAAAAAAAAGAATCTTGCAAAATAATTCTTTGGTGAATGCCTTTTGTTAACTAAAAGAGAATCTGACTTACATGCAACTTTTTGGAGCCCACCTACTTTCCCAGTCCTCCCACAACAACAACAATCTCCCTCGAAGCCAGCCCACCCCCAGAGCCTCCATACTTGAATGTCTTCATGTCTCGCCCGCCAATCACTCGGGCAGTGACCGTCTTCCCAACCTTCAGCTTGGTAGTAGGAGAGGTGCCCTCTGGAACATCATCTAGAATGTGGGAGGCATGGATACAGCCAATAATGCCATCTTCCAGAGTCACAACCACATGGGTAGGCTTAATGGACTTGACAGTCCCTGTGACCATGTCCCCGATGGAGAGGGTGTGCTTCTTTATGGTCCCTACAGTCAGAGCTGGATCCACTTCTTCATCCTCATCAACTGTCTCAGAGTCCTTCTGGGTCGGCCTCATGGTCCTCTTGGCAGCCGGCCCCTCCACAGCCAAAAGAAGGCCAGTCACTCCTGGTTCTGTGGTCTTGAGGGTTAGGGAGACACCCTGTCCCACCTGCAATTTCTCTGAGTCAAAGCGGAAGGTGTCGTTGAGGTGAGAGGTCAGGGAGAAAGCTGCCAGGTGGCCCGTCTCTACCAAGGAGGCAATGGCAAAGGACTTCTCCAAGTGCTGCACAATCGCCTGGTGTTCGCTGCCTTTCCTCAGCTAGAAGAGAGAAAAGCCACCATCCCTGCTTTCCTTACACAGCATGGTCACTCACTCATGGCCCCACTGGGCAGGGTGTGGCTGAGGAAACCCTCTGGGGTCCCAAGGCTAGGGAACTCAAGGCTGGTCTGAGCTGGAACAGACTAGCCTTCACTCCCTGGACCTAGCTTTCCTCTCCTGTACACTAAACTCATGGGGCTGCCTCTGAATTACCTTGGCTTGGTTTTTGCTTTGCTTTGAATTTAAATTGCAAGACCCTATCCTAGATCTAGTAAATCTGAATTTTACAAGTTATTGAGATAATTCTGATGCACAGCCTTGCAACCTCTAACAGCTCTCTCAGCTTAGAGACACTGTGGTTCCTGAATCTGTCCTGCAGCTCCCCCACCCCCAATTAATCACTCTTCAACCCAAGCAATGAATAGAGTCATTACTGAGAGCTTATTGTGTGCAAGGCACCTAGCCTCTCTTTCCTCAAAATCCAAATTGTGCTCATGCTCTTATATGCCCAAGCTTCCCTTAGGTGATAAAATGGTACAGGGTCCTGCTAGAAAACTGAATGAGAGGTTAGTATTGCTTTCCATTCTCTCTCTGTCCTAAACTCTTAATACTGTAAGCAACTGGAAATTAAGGATTATATCTACACTGCACCATACTCTGTGCAACTAGGTGCCTAATAAGTGCTTTAGACAATAACCAAATATATTCATCACCCAGAGAAAAATAATAATTTTTCCCTCAAACCCATTCTTATGTCACACAAAAGTGTCCAGAAGACAAGGCAGGCGAGGGTGTGGACGCACAGCTTGGAGGTCTGAACTGCCCACAGACATGCTGTTTGGCTCATGGGATGTTTTTAAAAAAATAAGTTTCCAACATTTTCAGCTTTTATTTCAAATAAAAATCCAAATTCTGCCTTCTCTTAAAAATCAAAGATTTAGCAGCAGTAGCCCCAGATTCCCACCCGGCAACAATTGGGCGGGACTGAACAGTCTCAGCCCCACAGGGGCTGGGCATGCACTCTCCAGCTCGTCAGAGTCCCAGGCCAGCCACTCCCTACCCACACAGCCAGCTCCACTCCTGCACACTATTTATCTGTCTGGCCCTAAAGATGGAGTGCCCATGTAACTTATCACCGGAACCAGAACAGAAGTCAGCACTATGAACCACACCAGGACAAGAGGTCTAAACCGGGGGTGTCCTGGATCCATCCAGACATAGGGCTACCCTTGCTACAGGCATCTGAGTTGGAATCCCTGAACTGGAGTGGGGTTGAAGGGTACATCATGTGAAACCATGGAAATGGAAGTCAGGAGCAAGCTTACCTTTCTAGCTTTTCTATTCACCAAGTCCTGGTGAAGGGAAACGTGCACTTCCAACTTCAAAAGATCAACATTTAAGATAACAACCTTCTTTTTCTGCCCAGATTCCACCTCCTGCCCTGCAGTGCAGAACCACAGTGTGATTATCCTTCTGGAACAGAGTGAAGGGAGAGCAGCACCTCTCACATGTAGCTGCTACCCCTTAGATCCAAAAAAGCAAAGAGGACACATGTCCTGGGTCCATACGGGCCATAATTAGGGAAATCAAGGGTCTACCTCCCATAGTTCAAGTTCAGGTAGGCCTTAATTTATGTAACCTAATATATAAAAATCTAGATTTACCCAATTGTAACAATTAAAGGATTCATACCTAAGCCTTTGCATTCACACAAGATAGGCATGCCAAAAATCTCTACCGAATCAACTCACCTACCGTAAGTATTTAGAAATTCTATATCCAGGAGAGGGAGCAATGGACAAAGGGTCCTCCCACCAACCACAATGGGTAAGACAGAAGCACTCACCTGCGCGATGGTATCTGCTGGCTTTCAGGACCAGGTCGGGCACTGGACCCCCACTGAATACCACAGAGCCATCTTCCAACACCTCCTGCACCACTAGGTCAAGGAACATTCCTGGGGTCATCTCGGCCAGCGTCTGGATCAACACAGAGTCTGCCAGAGATCCAAAGGAAACACGGATTAGTACCATGAAAGAACTCTCACTGTTCTTTTCCTCTGGCAGTGTGCTATCACCACGGAGGACAGTGGAGCACTGGAACCACTGACAAGGTAAAATCACTTTTTGCAAAAATGTTCAGTATCCATGAAAACTCTTGTCACAAGCAGACAGACCTAAGCCCCTTGCTAATAATCCTACCTGACCATAATTCATGGGAGTAGCCAACAAATACCAGGAAGACAGGCTTTCCTTTGGTTTCTGAATTTTCACTGTCCCCTCTCAAGCCTCCTGCTATGAAATTCCATTAAAGTTACAACAACCCCACACAATGGTTCAAAGTCTAAGAGGGTCAGAATAATAACCCCTCACAAAGCCTGGCAGGTCCCAGTTCCATTTCATCTGCTGAATAAAGGAATGAAAGGTGAAAAGGCGAGTGAATTCACAGCAAATGCAAATATAAAGCCACAGAACTAAGGGAAATTTTGACTCTGGACTGGCAGTGGGGAGAAGAGGACATCTAGGATGCTCGTAATGACCTTTATCTTAAAGGGGTGTAATATAAACATTTATTGAGCTGCACACATAATAACTGTGCACTTTGGCCGGGCGCAGTGGCTCACGCCTGTAATCCCAGCACTTTGGGAGGCCAGGGCGGGTGGATCACTTGAGGTCAGGAGTTCGAGACCAGCCTGGCCAACATGGCGAAACCCTGTCTTCTCTAAAAATACAAAAATTAGCCAGACATGGTGGCAGATGCCTGTAATCCTAGCTACTCCGGAGGCTGAGGAAGGAGAATCGCTTGAACCTGGGGGGTGGAAGTTGCAGTGGCCAAGATCGCACCACCACACTCCATCCCAGGCGACAGAGTGCAACTTGGTCTCAATAATAATAATAATAATAATAATAATAATAATAATAATAATAAAATTGTGCACTTTATGCAGGTCATACTTCCATTAAAAAAAAAGTTAACCCAATTTTTTTTTTCTTTTTTTTTTTTTTTTTTTGAGACGGAGTCTCACTCTGTCACCCAGGCCGGACTGCGGGCTGCAGTGACGCAATCTCGGCTCACTGCAAGCTCCGCTTCCCGGGTTCACGCCATTCTCCTGCCTCAGCCTCCCGAGTAGCTGGGACTACAGGCGCCCGCCACCGCGCCCGGCTAATTTTTTTTTGTATTTTTAGTAGAGACGGGGTTTCACCTTGTTAGCCAGGATGGTCTCGATCTCCTGACCTCATGATCCACCCGCCTCGGCCTCCCAAAGTGCTGGGATTACAGGCGTGAGCCACCGCGCCCGGCCCCAAATTTTTTTTTCTTATGTTCTGGGAAGCCCAACAACTCACCTAACAACAGGTGTAATTTACAACACATACTCCCACCCCTGGCCCACCTCCCCTGCCCCACAGGTGCCCCACCTCGGTTGCTCATAAGGCTGCGCACGCCCTGCAGCTCCTCCAGGCACTGATTCAGGAGGAGGAGGCTGGTGATAGCCAAGTCCCCCAGACCACAGTCCGACAGCCGCAGTGACAGCAGCATCCGCTGCTTCTCCTCATCCACATTGGTCACCTTTGCCGCTACTGTCTGGCCCTCAACAAAGTGGTCACTTGTGGAGGTCACAAATTTGTCACTCATGATCTGAACAGAAGAACAGGCAGGAGATGAGAAGAGGAAAGGTCTTCATTAAGACAACCCACTTGATGTTCCTGGAAAGGGGTACGTGAGTAGGGGGAAATGGGGCCTAGGAAGCTCCCCCAAGCCCTCTCTGAACACAGCTCTACTTCCCTTCCATAAAAACAGAGCCTCCGGATTGGCTGGGAGCAGTGGCTCACGCCTGTAATCCCAGCACTTCGGGAGGCCGAGGCGGGCAGATCATGGGGTCAGGAGTTCCAGACCAGCCTGACCAACATGGTGAAACCCTGACTCTACTAAAAATACAAAAATTAGCCAGGAGTGGTGGCATGCACCTGCAATTCCAGCTACTCGGGAGGCTGGGGCAGGAGAATCACTTGAATCCGGGAGGCAGAGGTTGCTGTAAGCCGAGATTGCGCCACTGCACTCCAGCCTGGGCGACAGAGTGAGACTCCATCTCAAAAAAAAAAAACAAAAACAAAAACAAACAACAACAACAAAAAAAACAGAGCCTCCAGGAGAGGGCACCCAGTCAAGAAGGCACATTCACAGCAAGCCAGGCAGACACCAGGGCTGTCCTCACCCCTAACAACCCACGGGAACCCTCTGCCCCTCACTGGGCTTGTTTCTGGGGCCCTCCCCTCTGCTCCCATTTTTAAAATGTTTCTGGCAGGGGATGCAAATGAGATTTTCCCAGGCAAAACACCAGGGAGACAGGCCTACAGAGGGGAAGAAATACTGATGAATGATCTGCAGCAGCAATCAGCTGCACGCCATTTGCTCGCTGTCTTCCATGACTTTGGTGAGTCCCATCCCCTCAATAGGCCTCGGCTGACGTGCCAGGCACACCAGGAGGCTCTGCTAGGGGACTGCTGGGATTGTTCCCATCTGAAAGTGCAGGACTCAATGACATGGGGGTGGGGGAGGTAATAATTTCAAAGACATTCTGGTCCCTTAACACCTCAAAAACCTCAGAAGTCTGCAAAACCTGTACTCAGTAGCTCAGGATGATCAATTTCCCTGTCTAAGTGTGCTGAGAGAATAAAAACAAGTGCAGTCATCTTCACACTGGAGACTAAGGCCTTCAATGTGTAGTGTGGAGTGGGAAAGGTGTCCCTTCCTCCAGATGGTCACACAGCTGGGCGAGAGGAACATGGGCCAAAAGCTCAGCTGCACTCACCCCTCCCAGGTGCCTTTATGTCACACACACCTTAAGAGGTACCCCTGAAAATCTTTCAAAAGAGTAAAGTATCCTTGGCCAGGTGCGGTGGCTCACACCTGTAATCGCAGCACTTTGGGAGGCCGAGGCAGGTGGATCACTTAAGGTCAGGAGTTCAAGACCAGCCTGGCCAACATGGTAAAACTCTGTCTCTACTACTCAAAAAAAAAAAAAAAAAAAAGCCTGGCATGTTGGTGGGCACCTGTAATCCCAGCTACTTGGAAGGCAGAAGCAGGAAAATCGCTTGAGCCCAGGAGGCGGAGGTTACAGCGAGCAGAGATCACACCACTGCAAGCCAGCCTGGGCGACAGAACAAGACTGTCTCAAAAAAAAAAGGAATAAAGTATCCTACTCCTCCCTACCCGCCCTCAGGTTCTGTGACCTTGTATCTCTCCTCAAAGCCCTTGTACATGGAGTTGAACTTACAGCTTTTGGGGCCAGTCCGCTAAGACCTGAGGGGAACTGGATGAACACGCCATAGTCCTTGATGCTCTTCACAAAACCAATGAGCAGCATTCCAGGATGGATTTCTGAGAAGTTCTTGGGATCCTGGCCACCTTCTACTGTGGAGACCAAGGCTGGCTTCCTGCAAAGAAGCTAGTGGTACTTCATCAAGGAATGTTCCAGAAAGGGCAGATGAAATGTCCATCTCTCCCATCTCCTTTCTCCACAGAGAAGGACAGAACTGCAGGCTGATCTCTGCTGCTACAGCGATTCTCTAAGTGTGCAGACCAGCAGCATCAACATCGCCTGAAACTTAGGAGAAATGCAAGTTCTCAAGCACCACCTAGACCTACTGAATTAGAAACTTTGGTGTGGCCCAGCCATCTGCATGGCCCAACTGCACACTACAGCTGAGAATCACGGTTTTATTCCATTCCCGATTCACTAATCTGCAGATTACTAGAGGACACCAAAAAGGGATGGCTCATCCCCCTGGTCTGGCAGCTGGATCAGCCATCACACAATCCTCTACTACTCCCTCTTTACACTGATGAACTCATTTTCCCTCCTCTGCCCATTTTTACTCCCAGGAGAATGAACTTTACATTCTGTGAGAAGCTCCTTCAAAGCACCCATGCAAAGACCAAAGGGAATATTCCTGAGCCTATAGCCCCGCGGGGAGAAGGCATAGGGGAAAAAAAAAAAGAGGAAAGGGGGACAGAAGCCACCTTATTATTGGTTCTAACCCAAGGGGCAGGCACTGAAAGCCCCAAGAAAACTAGATGTGCTCCCAAGCACCCCACTGGGCCTCCTTCTCCAGCCTCCGAGAGTCCCCCTCTCTGCAACCTTTCAGGCTACTCCGCCCTGACCACCAGCATCTGCTGGCAGCACTTACTCAGGCCTGCTCTTACTTTCCATAGCACAGGCTTCATCACTGGTTTGGTTTTGTGGAGATATTTCTGAGGTCAAATAGCTGTCTAATTTCCCCAGAATTTCCCATCCAAGCACCCATGGCCCCCCACCTTCCTCTGCTCCACAGATACCAGTCAAGGATACAACACGCCCCTCGCTCTGGCTCAGACACAGGACTCGGTGAAGGATGTCACCTGCCTGGAGCCAATGATGTAACAATGGGCCGTTGGCAACGTGGTCCGACAGATGAGATGTGGGGAGGAAAGCACGGATGTTGTGGGGCAGGACAGCCACCTCCAGCCCATCTTTGGTCTTCTCTAAAACCTTCACATCTACCAACTACCCAGGGAAGAGAAAGACAAAAATAGCACTTGTCATGAACAGAGAACAACCTGGTCTGGATTAGGCAGGGCTTGGAGGCATTAAACTCCGGCACCAAGGATCTCTAAGAGGCAGCTTTCTTCCAAACCCCACCCACCACCCCAACCACCCAGCATGCATGTACGTGCACATTCACCAGGACTCATGGGTGGACCCATCGCACTCCTCTCTCAAGTCCCTCCACGGAGCCCCAGGAAAGCCAGAACTGCAGGCTGGCCCTAGGGACCCGAGAGGAAAGAGGTCAGCAGCCCACTGCTGAAAAGCCTCACTGTAACAGGACTTTCAGGGACAGCTTCCATTTGTTCTGACACACAGGAAGGAATGCGTATGAACCCCTCTAGCCCCAAAATCTTATCTAGCTACCTCTATCTTTCCGCTTCGTGGGTTCCAATATGCCATGTGTTAGTGGTTCCCTGCTCTCTGCCACTGTAACATAAAATAGCTTGTCCAGAGAAGTCCACGTACCTGCCCAATGTTAATGGCTTTTCCTTTCTTCTGACTGTGTCCTGCAGGCTCTTTCTTTGGCTCTGGATCACTCGACAGCTTGAAGGATAAGAGCATCCTCTCTTTGGATGGCTCACAGTTCAATACGACAACCTTCACCACCTGGCAAGAAACCACACAGGCTTGGCCAACTCCTCCCAGCAAGCCTTGCAGGCCCTGCAACGTGCCCTCCACTACTGCTGCAGAGGACTTGGGAGATCTACCGAGCCTTTGGATCAGATCAGGAGGCAGTGAAAAGAAGAAATGCACTGAGAGCTACACAATCCCCCAGGGCAGCCTTTGGGATAAATGGAAGACATAAGTAACTTTTTTTGTACAATCCAAGTCTTAAAAATTATTTTTCTTTTTGAGGTGATGGAGATGCTAATTACCCTGGTTTGATCGTTACACATTGTAAGCATGTATTGAAATATCACATGGTGGCCAGGCTTAGTGGCTCAGGCCTGTAATTCCAGCACTTTGAAAGGCCAAGGCAGGCTGATCACTTGAAGCCAGGGAGTTCGAGACCAGCCTGGCCAACATGGCAAAATCCCATCTCTACTAAAAATACAAAAATTAGCCGGGTATGCCGGCACATGCCTGTAGTCCCAGCTACTTGGGTGGCTGAAGCACGAGAATCACTTGAGCCTGGGAGGTGGAGGTTGCAGTGAGCTGAGATCACGCCATTGCACTCCAGCCTGGGTGACAGAGGAAACTCTGTCTCAAAAAAAAAAAGGAAAAGAAAAAAGAAATATCATATTGTACCCCATAAATATGTACAATTATTATCTATCTGTTTAAAGTCGTTTAAAGGAATAAAAAAATGCTTTTCCTAGTGATACCAAGACTTACTAGTTTTACAGCACTGCCCCCATGTGGTGACAGTGACCTCAAAACAATTTCCGATATGAGAGGCACAGGTTTATTACAAGTAAAGACTGACCTCTTCCATGCGTGCCTGAGATCCATCAGCTTGCCAGCTTCTGCTGAACCCCGCTGAGGCTTTCTCTCTGTTCTGTTCCCCGTCTCCTCCATTTAGCCGGCTCACACCCACTGCCCCATGTGCTCTCTTCCTCAGCCTCCTAAAGGCAGCCCCACTACTTACTGCTCCTTCATATTTGTGTTTGTGGGGTCACCAAGGGTAAAGGGGACCTGTCTAGGGGAAGGGTTACCTGGCCAGTGTAAAAAACTCTCTCCGGGTCAGGGATATACTCAGTACTGAGCTCATGCTTGGGCACCAGTCCCTGCACATTGTTGTAGAACTTCACAATGCAGCCATAGTCCTTGACCCTGATGATGAAGCCATGTGTCTGCAGACCAGGCTTGGCATCGGCATAGCAGGTAATGACAGGTAGTTTGGACTCAATCAGGGTTTTTTTCAGGGTCATCATCAGCTTCTTGGCTTCAGGGTCACAAAGCAAAACCTAGGGGAGGGACACAGGCTGTCATCAAGTTATCTGTTATCATGAGAGCCACTGAGCTGGTCTCTGCAACCTCTTAAACCCAAAAGCCACGGGGCCATTCCCCAAGAACCTGCTATAGCTTTTCCTCTAATCATCTCAGTGGCAGATTCTTCCTGCTGTATGACAATCTGGAGCATACAAATCACTATTTCAAATGTAATTCCTCCCATAAATTGCTGCAAACTACCCTCTCCTGACCATGAAGCAACATTAATTATCTTACATCACCTCTATGGAGTCTTGGTTACACTAACTTCTACACCATCTTGGCTCCTTCCTAGTGGGCTTTGCATCTAGTCTAACAGAACCAATGATGAACCAATTTACCACCTTAGTACTGCCGTTTATTAGCTATGAAATAAGATGGAGATGCAACTGTCTTTCACCCCTTCAGAAGGTCATCTCCTTAAAGACAGAAAAAGTATTTTTAACCCTTGATCCCACTACTGTAAAATTTTGCACCAATGGGCAATCATTACCTCTGCTGAGTCAATAACGATGAGATAAACTGAATACCGGAAAATCTAACATGCTGAGTGCCTGCCCGTGGAGCACTCTTGTGTGCATCATCATGTTGGATCTTCACAACCCTATGAAGCTTTCCTTCGGATTCGAGCCTTTGTCATAAATCACCCATGTTTTGGCAGCTTTGCCAGGGCTATTTCTGTGCCTAGAACACAACCTTTGCTCTCCCCAACCTTCCAAATCCTACCTATCCTTTCAAGTTCCACCTCTGCCAGAAATCTAGAAAACATTATTGTCATACAGAGCTGAATTGTTCTGCCATGTATTAGCTGTGTGACTCTGGGCAAGACGGTTGGCTTTCCGAAGCTTTAATTTCCCCACCCGCAAAATGAAGATAATAGTGCTTAATTGTTAGGGTTGTTTCAAGGATTAAATGAAATAATGCTTGTCACATGCCTAGCATAGAAACTGGCACGGAATACCTGTTCGTGGCAGTCCTGTTCGTGGCAGTCGCTACTGATAACGTCAACAATTCTGGCTGCTCCAGCCCACCCTCACCTCCCCTTTCTCAGGTGTGACCACAGCACACAACCTGCACCAAGCCACATGGCAAAAGATCACAGGCTGGCTTGCTCTCTCATCACGTATGAATATTTTAACTCCCAATTATACTACACAAAACGGGGACTCACTTTTCTCTTCCCAATGCCAGGTACAGCACAAGACACACTACAGACATTACACACTCACTTTGTGGAAAAAGGCAGAAACTTCAGTTGAGAACTGCTTTCTTCCCATCTAGCCAAAACCCCAAGAGACCCTTCAGGAGGCTCACCCGGCACTTGACCTCATCCCCGATGTGGTACTTCTTCTCCGGATTCTTCATCAGGATGTCAGCCAGGTGCATGGGAGGTACCAGGCCCCTCATCTGCTCGCCCACCTTCACCAGCATCCCATATGACTTTATGGTTAGCACTGTGCCCTAGAGAATCCAAAGATAAGCTGCCACAATGTCTCAAGAATGGCCTTTCCCCCACCTCTTACAACAAGGCATGTCATACCTCCCCTTCACAGCCAACTTCCTGGGCTAACTGTGCCTGTTATTCCAGATGGCACATGGGTGAAGCACACACCCCACACTGAGCTGGATTATTCTGTCAGCTTTATTTATGGGAGCCTTCACATCTTTCTGTGTGAGCATGTGCTTTCTGTGTGCCTTAAAATACATTCCCCAAAGGAAGGGACTATGTCAAGGTCTCCTAAGGAATAAACTCTACATATAAAGGGAGCTGCTCGATTAGAGCCAAATGGTCGGACAGGACAGGTACCTGGAACTGGCTTCTCACTAATATCCCAGGTAGATCAATAATCACAGGACTAACTTTTGATCAGGTCTACTAACCACCATCAAATCCCAAATCTCAGGATTTATGATCTACTGCCTTTGTGTAGCTGGGTGGTGCTAGTAAGATCTTACCTTGAAATTAACTATGAGTTACCCAAAGAAAGAGAAAGAAATTCTAGTCAGCAGGCAGAAGCAAGGAACATGACATTCAATGTGTTAACATGAGGACTAACGGGCTGACAGTCACCTGTGCGTGAACTAAAGAACGCCTGATGGTGAGGCAGTACCTAATTATATGCTTGAGGTCTTACCTTTACCACTGCCCCAGGTTCGATGTCATGATATCTAAGGTACTGAGCTTCAATAATAGACCTAGGACAAGGAGAAAACACAGAATTAAATAAACTAGGGCAGAGGTTGCCTAAAATTCAGGGCTACCACAGGCATGCTGGCAAGAAAGAAAACCCTTCCCAAGCACAGCCAGGAGAAATGGAATATGAACATGTACAGGTGCACATCTCTACACCCCTACCTGTTAATGACAGACTTACGTTCGTAGAGAGAGCAAGGCCAGTTCATCCATTTGGCTGTAGTCAATAATTCTACACTTGTGAGTGTTCCCTGGCTTGAAGGCCTCAGGATTGAAGACGTTCTTAGAATCAGAGAGATGGCTGAGCTGCAAAGTACCAAGTGATTGAGGATAAGCCAGGGACAACAGGTCTGAGCCAATGAGACCTTACAGCCCATAGAGAGGACTCAACACTTATCATGTACCATAAAAACAGTACTTTGATTGCCTGGTTAAGTAATTCTTCACACTAAAAAACTGCTCTTTATCATCACAGAATTTCAGCAAGGTCAGGGAAAGTCCAGAACACAGGTCAGTCAACTGTGCCTAGTGCCTGTTTTTGTAAATAGAAGTTGTATTGGAATACAGCCATCTGTTCATTTACGTACTGTCTATGGCTGCTTTCATGCCATAACAGCAGCGTTGAACAATTAGGACAGAGACCACAGGGCCCACAGCCTAAAGTATTTATGACATAGCCCTTTAAGAAAAACTCTGCTGGGCCCTGGTCTGGATCCTAACTCATCCTTATACTTAACTATTAACCAAGTATCAGATATGGCAAGCTGGTTCTAAGGCATCCTAATACAGTCAATAGACATTGTTCTAATCACTATGAACAGGAATTAGAACTACAATATCCAAAAATTTTAAACTAGCATCAAGGAATGAAAGAAGCAGAAATGGCCCCCTGTGCTCCAGAAGTCCTTCCAGTGATAAGATCCCTGACCAAACAAAGAGGCCTCCTTACCCGGGCATAGGCCAGAACCCCATCCTTCAGCCTAAAGGTGGCCCCAGCCTTTTTGAAAAAACCCTGGACAGGAACATCATCCAGCACTGCTCCAAGGTTCTGGCAAGAGAGTCGGGTGAGTGGGCGTCCAGGCTGTAGGAAGATGGGGCGCAGGCTCAGGTGCACAACTCTGGTTCGAGGATGGACGCAAAGGATGCAGGCCCTCACCTAGACAAAAGGAAGGGCAGGGTGAGCAGGAGGAGGCACACAGGAGCACCCTAGAGCAGACCTTCCAGGCATCAAGCCTTTCCACATGCTAACCAGGTATGTGAGTACTCACATCCTTAGTATGTAAGTACTCAAACTGGCTTCCACACTCAAGCAGAATGCAGAAAAATCAAAATGTCCCATAGGGACTATGTATGACTAAATCAAAGCTTACTCAAGCCAGGTATGGGTGGCTCACACTGGTAATCCCAGCACTTTGGGACACCAAGGCAGGTGGATCACTTGAGCTCAGGAGTTAGAGACCAGCCTGCGCACATAGTGAAACCCTGTCTCAACAAAAAATACAAAAATAGGCTGGGGATCATGGCTCACGCCTGTAATCCCAGCACTTTGGGAGTCTGAGGTGGGCAGATCACTTGAGATCAGGAGTCTGAGACAGCCCAGCCAACATGGCGAAACCTCATCTCTAGTTTTAATAAAAAAAAGTTAGGCTGGAAGCAGTGGCTGATGCCTATAATCCCAGCTCTTTGGGAGGCCGAAGCAGGCAGCAGGCAGATCACGAGGTCAGGAGATCAAGGCCATCCTGGCTAACACAGTGAAACCCCGTCTCTACTAAAAATACAAAAAATTAGCTGGGTGTGGTGGCACACACCTGTAATCCCAGCTACTCAGGAGGCTCAAGCAGGAGAATCGCTTGAACCCAAGAGGCGGAGACTGCAGTGAGCCAAGATCACGCCACTGCACTCCAGCCTGGGCGACAGAGCAAGACTCCGTCTCAAAAAAAAAAATTAGCCGGGCATGGTGGTACGTACCTGTAATTCCAGCTACTCAGGAGGCTGAGGCACAAGAATCACTTAAAATGGGGAGGCAGAGGTTGCAGTGAGCCAACACTGTGCCACTGCACTCCAGCCTGGGTGACAAAGTAAGACTCAGTCTCAAGAAAAAAAAAAAAAGTTAGCCAAGCATGGTGGCATGCACCACTTTGGGAGGCTGAGGCAGGAGAATCACCTGAGTGAGCCCAGGAGGTCAAGGCTGCAGTGAGTGATGATCGTGCCACTGCACTCCAGCCTGGGTGACAGAGTGAGACCCTGTCTCAAAAAATAATAATAAAATAAATAAATAAAAATTAGCCAGAAAGTTTACTCAAGGCCAGAAAACTATATACTAGGTGTCCCCTCAACACCAAGGAGCTGATGTATCTGTAATACAACAGAAACCATGTACTGGTGTCACTGCATCCAAGGCTCCTCTGAAACTAACAGAAAAAGCCTGATCTCATCATAACATTAAAAGATGTAAAATGTCTCAACTCTATACACAAATGCTTATAGGGTGAAAAAAATTACTAAAAAGAGGTTTAGGAAAATATTAACAGTATTACCACTAGGTAGTAGAAAATCCTAGTTTCACTTTAAAAAAAAATTCTCAGCTAGTTGTAGTGGCTGAAGCCTATAATCCCAGCACTTTAGGAGGCTAATCCCAGCACTTTAGGAGGCCTAGGCAGGAGGATCATTTGAGCCCAGGTGTTTAAGACCAGCCTGAGCAACACAGCGAGACCCCATCTCTATAAAACATAGCAAAAATTAGCTGGGCGTGGTGGCATGCATCCGTAGTCCCAGCTACTCAGGAGGCTGAGGTGGAAGGATCGCCTGAACCCAGGAGGTTGAGGTTGCAATTAACCGTGGTTGTGCCATTGTACTCCACTCTGGGCAATAGTGTGTGACCTTGTCTCAAAAAATAAATAAATAAATAAATTATCTATAGCACACATTACTATTTAAAAAAAGAAAAGTAAGAAATCATTTTAGAATTCTAAAAAATTCTGAATAACATATATTAGGATTTTCTTCCCAAATATCCATGTTCATTGTAGGAAATTTGAATATTTAAATACGAGCGGAGCCAGGGTTGTGGCTCACACCTGTAATCCCTGCACTTTGGGAGGCCAAGGTTGGGGGACTCCTTGAGCCCCGGAGTTCAAAACCAGTCTGGGCAACATGGCGAGACCTCGCCTGTAAAAATTTTTTTTTTTTTTTTTTTAAAGACAGAGTCTCACTCTGTCGCTCAGGCTGGGGTGCAGTGGCACAATCTCGGCTCACTGCAACCTCTGCCTCCTGGGTTCAAGCGATTCTCCTGCCTCAGTCTCCCGAGTAGCTGGGACTACAGGCACGCACCACCAGGTCTGGCTAATTTTTTTTATTTTTAGTAGAGACGGGGTTTCACCATGCTGGCCAGGCTGGTTTTGAACTCCTGACCTTGTGATCCTCCCACCTCGGCCTACCAAAGTGCTGGGATTATAGGCGTGAGCCACCACACCTGGCCTAAAAAAAATTTTTTTTAACTAGCCAGGCATTGTGGCACACATCTGTGGTCCTAGCTACTCTGAGGACTAAGGTGGGAGATCAATTGAGTCCAGGAGATTGAAGCTGCAGTGAGCCGTGTTTGCGCCACTGCACTCCAGCCTGGGTGACAGAGTAAGACACTGTCTTAAAAAAAAAAGAAAAAAAAAAAAAAGAAAAGAAAAGAAAAATCACCCAGAATTCATCACTATTAACACCTGATTGCCTAATATTCCAGTATTTTAACCAGAGGTACTTTTTAAAATTTTTTTCAAAGTTGGATCTATACTATACAACTTTTAAAATCACCTTTTGCTGTTTAAACGTATCTTATTCTCCTATGTTAAATATTCTTCTAAACTACTTTAAATTATAAAAACAAAAATACTACTACCACCAAAGGAAAAAAAAATCAAACTATATGGAAGACTATGAAGTAAAAACTGAAAGTTGCCTTCTTCTCCACCTGCTCCTTCTCTAATTTCAGTTCAGCCACTGAGAGTTTCTTACTTTCCTTCCATAACACTTTTTTTTTTTTTTTTGAGATGGAGTCTCGCTCTGTTGTCTAGGCTGGAGTGCAGTGGCACGATCTCAGCTCACTGCAACCTCGGCCTCCCGGGTTCAAGCGATTCTCCTGCCTCACCTTCCTGAGTAGCTGGGACTACAGGCATGCGCCACCACGCCTGGCTAATTTTTGTATTTTTAGTAGAGACGGGGTTTCACCATGTTGGCCAGGCTAGTCTTGAACTCCTGACCTTAAGTGATCCGCCCACCTCACCTCCTAAAGTGTTGGGATTACAAGCATGAGCCACTGCATCTGGCCTCCATAACACTTTTCATTATTCCTCTCATCTCCTCTCTGCACACCTGTATGCATGCAGTCCTAGGACCTCCCTGTAGCTAGCTGTGATACTGGACAGCAAATGGACCACAACTGGAATCAAGAAAATATAGGCTCAACATTTCTTACTGCCTGATTTGAGAAATATGTTCCAGCTTTCTTGGGATCCAGGTGCATAAAGTCAACCACGCCCGTGAAGAATGTGAGGAAGTTTAGCGTAAGGCCAAATGGAGTCACCTAGAAATAAACAGAACAAGTTATAAAAAAAAGTTCTTTGAAAGAACCAGGAATGTGAGACATTGCTCACAGTAAACACTCAATGCCATAGTATCCCTAACTGTGTATCTCTCCTCTCCCAGGTAACTCTTAACAATCTTTTCTTCCTATACAAATAACTGGCAGAACAATTCCTGCACTGGCTGTTTCTTTCCTTAGTAGGCTCACCTCCCTTCCAGCTAAGAGAGGACATCAATCCTCCCACTCTCTGGGAGTCCTCCATGGAATGGAAGAAGCTTTGTATATGTATCCTTGGGGAACTGCCAGCCTGACAACTGGAATAGATTGTTACTAACTTAGATATTTTCCCAGTATAGGAAGGTAAAAAAAAAAGGTTAAAAAAAAAAGGGCTTGCAAAAGGGAGATACTGACCACAAGCAAGCCAAGTCACCCTTATGGAGTCACCAAAAAGCGAAAAGTAACAATCCCCTCAAAAGATAGTGGTGAGGGAGATGAATGAAATCAGAGAACTAAGACCTCTCTCTTACCTTCCCGGAAAATACTAAACCTATTCTCTGGGAAAACTGTTACCAGAATCAAAAAACAGGAAAAGTGCAAATTCTGAAAATGTCAATTAAATTCTAAATATCATGTAAATATTCTTATGTCAATTAAATTCTAAATATCATGTAAATATCCAGCCCCTTTCTCGTACTCATTCTCGGGCAGCCAGGCTTAGACCCTCGTGGGTGGAGATTGCCAGATCCTTTCTAGAGAAATCTAACATGCCAGAGAAGACCTATAACAATCACATTAGGAGGTTGCCCAAATTAAATCTGCTAGTCCTGTTCCTGACAGGAAAGTTAAACGGTCAACAAGAAGGTGGGCGCAGTGGCTCATGCCTATAATCCTAGCACTCTGGGAGGCTGAGGCAGGTGGACCACCTGAGCTCAGGAGTTTGAGACCAGCCTGGCCAACACAGTGAAACCCTGTCTCTACAAAAATACAAAAATTAGCCAGGTGTGGTGGTGGGTGCCTGTAGTCCCAGCTACTCTGGAGGCTAACGCAGGAGAATCACTTGAACCTGGATGGTGGAGGCTGCAATGAGCCGAGATCATGCCACTGCACTCCAGCCTAGGTGACAGAGCAAGACTCTGTCTCAAAAATAAATAAATAAATAATTATAAAAATTTTAAAAATTAAAAAAACAGTCAACAATCCCACACAGGCACATAGACTTGCTCACAGTTTTTTAGTACCTCACTCATCATATGGCAATCTAAACAAAAACTTCCTAGAGAATTGGAAGTTAAAGTTGAGAGGCTCTCCCAGGATGCTTCTGGATAATGTACCACACTAAAACGAGGGAGTAAACCCAAAAAGAAGAATACATGGGACCAAAGAAGGCTCCAATACAGACAGAGGAGACAGCAGAAGGGAAGTCCTAGGATACCGGCTATGCAGGAGCCCTACAGAGCAACTAGTCCATCCTAGAGCACAAGGACATTAAAAAGGGTTCTAGGTGGGAGGAAAAAGAAACTAGTAGTTTACTTAAAGGGTTTGAAAACATGCAGAATTGTAATAAGTGGAAAATAAGTTGAAGGTATAGGAAAAAATACTGATAGGAAGAGAATTTCGCAAATGACAAAAACAAAGCTGACTGCCAACTCCAAGGGAAAAAAGCTGTTCAAGGTCATAGTAGGCCAGGTGTGGTGGCTCACACCTGTAATCACGGCATTTTGGAAGGCCCAGGCAGGCAGATCACTTAAGGTCAGGATTTTGACACAAGCCTGGCCAACATGGTGAAACCCTGTCTCTACTAAAAACACAAAAACCAGCCGGGTGTGGTGGTGTATGCCTGTAGTCCCAGCTACTCGGGAGGCTGAGGCAGGGGGATCGCTTGAATCCGGGAGGCAGAGGTTGCAGTGACCCGAGATCACGCCACTGCATGCCAGCCTGGGCAACAGGGCGAGCCTCCGTCTCAAAAAAAAAAAGAAAGTCATGCTAGTATGCTGGGTGAGGTCACTCATGCCTGTAATCCCAGCACTTTGGGAGGCCAGGGTGGGAGGATCACTAGAGCTCAGGAGTTCAACACCAGCCTGGGCAACAGAGTAAGACTTCACCTCTATAAAATATATATATTTTGTTTGTTTGTTTGAGACGGAGTCTCGCACAGTCGCCCAGGCTGGAATGCAGTGGCACAATCTTGGCTCACTGCAAGCTCCACCTCCTGGGTTCACGCCATTCTCCTGCCTCAGCCTCCCGAGTAGCTGGGACTACAGGTACCCGCCACCACACCCAGCTAATTTTTTGTATTTTTAGCAGAGACGGGGTTTCACCGTGTTAGCCAAGATGGTCTCGATCTCCTGACCTCGTGATCAGCCTGCCTCGGCCTCCAAAGTGCTAGGAAAATATATATATTTTTTAATTAAAAAAAGAGAGACCAAAATCTTTTCTACCTTGATAAAAAGTTAAAACTCAATGCCTAAGATGGAAAAATCAAGAGATACCAGCAGAAGCTTATTACTCAAAAATATGGAGAGAAATTTCAAAAGATAAGCTAAAAGAGTTAAAGATGGGGGTTATGACGGATAAGTTCTTCATTATAAACCTTTTAATTCCATTTGACCTTTCAGATCAGCACTGTCCAACAGAAATACAATGTCAGTCACACAAGTAATTTTAAGTTTTCTAGCAGTCACATTTTAGAAACTACAAAGAAACAAAAGACTTTTTAGTATAGTTTTTTAACCTAATATATCCAAAATATTATCATTTCAACATGTGGCACTGGCCACATTTGAAATGCTCAATGGGCGTAAGTGACTAGTGACTACCTTTATCAGACAGTAGTTTTAGACTTTATGCATTTAATATTTTGAAAAGAATTATTTTTATTTTAAAAAGTAGTAGTAGCATAACAGCTTACCTTCTGTACCTGAGCTTTGACCACCAGTCCTGGTAGCAAGTTATTAAGGTTCCAGCTCTGCTGTTCAGTAGCAATGGCCGTAGAAACCTCTGAGTGACCAACAGACAGACTAACAACTCCTCCGTTGCCTTTCACCTTTTCAACAATGCAGTTCAGGTACTGACCCACCTTTAGTTTAGCACCTGTAAGCCCAGACCCAGGCCCCAAAAGGAAAAATGTATCTATGAGAAGGACTTTTAACGTGGGCCCAAGTAATACCTGAAAAGACCCATGGCCTACCTGCCCAGTTAGCATCAGTTACTCCCCAAATTCCCAATCTTTAAGGGGCCAACTACAAGAAGGAAACGAAGTTATCCTAATTGATCTGGAATTCAATTACCACACAAAAATACACAAGCCAGGAGACTGCTGGTTCAGAAGCCATGGGGGCCCTAATTGCAGTGGAATCTTCCAGGTTAGAAAAACTGACACTGTTCCATCAGATCTTAGTGAGACCTTACCACTCGCTGGCCCTTCATACATCTTTCCTTTCCTATTAACTAGGATTAAGTGCTGGTTTTACCAAAGCCACAGCACCTTCAGGGTCACCATTCTGTCATGTTACTCATCAAAATGGCACTTAAATATAATCCCCACATGTACCACCTCACCACCATGTACTGGCCCCTTTTCTTGCCCTCACCTTTGTTCTTCTGTCTGATGTACTCCTGGGCTTTCAGCAGTGGCAGAAAAGCTCTGGTCCCATCAACACCAATGTCCACTAGGTAGCCATGGTCTTCCAGGCTGGATACGGTACCTGTAAGTAGCTGGGGAAGAGAAAGTAGTCCCAGAAGTTCCAATTCAAAGGTAATGGGACACACACAAAACATCCAAACTTGAATGTTCCTGCCACTAAGCTCACACTCTGCCACTATCCCACTCCCACATTAAACCTTAAGCCACAATCCCACTAGACAGCAGACATCAAATTCAACACTCCCAGGCTTGAAGGAGCTGATGGTTGCCAGGCAATGAGGAATGTTTAACACAGCTGAATGATGGAACAATATAGAAGAGTCTCTTGCCTCAAGTGGTTTCAAAAGATAGCAAACTTTCGGCAGGGCACAGTGGCTCATGCCTGTAATCCCAGCATTTTGGAAGGCTGAGGCAGGCAGATCACTTGAGGTCAAGAGTTTGAGACCAGCCTGGCCAACATGGTGAAATCCCGTCTCTATTAAAAATACAAAAATTAGCTGGGCATGGCACCTGTAATCCCTGCCTCAGGAGGTTGAGGCAGAAGAATTGCTTAAACCCAGGAGGTGGAGGCTGTGGTGAGCCGAGATCATGCCACTGCTTTCTAGCCTGGGCAACAACAGCGAAACTCCGACTCAAAAAAAAAAAAGAAATTTGGACTTGCTTTCTCTTTTCTCTTCTCCAATGTAATGATTAGGTTCAAGTCTTCAATGTCCATTAAGTGCCCAAAGAACCCAAGAGACCTTCCTTCCAGAAAAAGAACCACTCCTATGTGTCACAATTGAGCTGAAAGTAAAAGGTGGCCTAGACCACGCTCCCTCAGAGGCAGAGAGAAGGCACATTGCCACTCTTCCTCCCCGACCCTAGACACCTACCATGCCAGGCTTCAGGGCCTCAGCACTCAGCACTCTGTTGACATTTTTGGGGTTCAGAGACAGCTTGACACTCTTCTTGCCCCTGTCTGTGATGCCCAGACTGCTCACCACACATCTTACCAGCATTCCAGGTGAGAAAAGTTCAGGCAAGTGAAGTAGGTCCTGCATAACACAAATGAGAAAGACCTGATATACACCCTTCTCCTGAACCAAAAATCCATTACCCAGCTTTGGCTCAGTGACTTCTCATCCTCAGACCCCAGAGAACCCAAAAGGTGGGTGAGGAATAACCCCCCATCCACAAAGGAAGTTGGGTCTGTGGCCTAGCCACAGTCTTGAATTTCAGCATAAGGCCTTCAAATATTTCCACATAACTGGCATGTAAAATGACTTGTCAAAAGAGTTGTCTACACTTTCTGCCTCTACTTCATCCCTTACTCATTCTTCGGCTCACTGCAATCTGCTTTCCACCCCTCTCACTCCACCACTCTATCTCCCATAGAATCACCAATGAGTTCCATATTGTTAAATCCAGTGGTCAGTTTTGCAGTCTATCTCTTACATGACCATTAAAAAGCACTTGAGGGTCGGGTGTGGTGGCTCATGCCTGTAATCCCAGCACTTAGGGAGGCCAAGGCGGGCAGATCACCTGACGTCAGGAGTTTGAGACCAGCCTGGCCAACATGGTAAAACCCTGTCTCTACTAAAAATACAAAAATTAGCTGGGTGTGGTGACATCTGCCTGTAATCCCAGCTACTCAGGAGGCTGAGGCAGGAGAATTGCTTGAATCTGGGAGCTGGAGGTTGCAGTGAGCTGAGATCATGTCACTGCACTCCAGCCTGGGCTAAAGAGTGAGACTCCATCTCAAAAACAAACAAACAAACAAAAATCATAGGTCAGGCATGATGGCTCACACCTATAATCCCAACACTCTGGGAGGCCGAGGCGGGTGGATCATTTGAGGTCAGGAGTTAGAGACCAGCCTGGCCAACATGGTGAAGCCCTGTCTCTACCGAAAATACAAAAATTAGCTGGGTGTGGTGGCTGGCACCTGTAATCCCAGCTACTGGGGAGGCTGAGGCAGGAGAATCACTTGAACCCAGGAGATGGAGGTTTCAGTGAGCTGAGATCATGCCACTGCACTCCAGCCTGGGCAACAGAGTGAGACTCTGTCTCAAAAACTGAAAAATCATGATCATCTCTCCCAATCCAGGTCCCCTTCAGGGTTTCCTATCTCAGGATGTCATGACCAAGCATCAAATCATGCAAAACAGAAACCTAGAACTCAGCCCTGACACCTCTATCTGCCCCACCACCCATATTGAATCTATCACCAAGCAATGACTTTGCCTCCTCAGTCCTCAGGAAATCCTGAACCCAGGTCACCATCAATCTCAGGACGTGAACGACTACAAGAGCCTCCTAACTTGTCTCTAAGCAACTTCTCATGCCTCTTCAATCTACACGTTATGCTGTACCCCAGTGAGAACATTTCAAGGACTTCCCATTGATTCTAGAATTTAAAAACAACCCTTAAAATGGTCTACAAGGCTGCATGTGCCCTGGCCCCCATTCAGGCTCTCCTGCCCATCTCACATCACACTCTCTCTTGCTCTCCTTACCTAGCCATACTAGCCTTCTCTCTGTTATATATTACATTGCTTCTGCCTGAACGCCTTTCCTTCTTTATCTAGGGAACCCTCATTCTTTAGATCTCAGCTTAAGCATCCCTTCCTCAACAGTCTTCCAGGCTCCCAGACTTAGTCAAAAATTCCTTTATGATAAACTCTCACGGGACCTTGTACTTTCCCTTCTTAGCACCTGGCAAAGTTGTAATTTTAAATCTATTTGTGTTCCACTTATTTTCAATAACAGGCTTCATTCGGATTTCCCTTACCTTCAGAGGTTGTTCTTGTGTCACCTGCTCATTCAGCTTTTTGGTGTAGGCATCACAGATTTCAGTGACTTGCACAAAGCCCTGGAGGCCATTGGGGAGACTAATCACCAGTTCCAGTTCATTCACCTCTTTCACGCAACCCAAAATACGCATTCCCTCACACAGGGACTAGAAGAGAAAAAGTGAAATGTGTACAATAAGGATGGGAACAACAATAGGGAAGGTTGGAAGGTCTGGCTTCTAGTGTCAATTTAAAAGCTATAAGGCCAAGCACAGTGGCTTACGCCCTATAATTCCAATACTTTGGGTGGCCAAGGCAGGAGGACTGCCTGGGCTCAGGAGTTTCAGACCAGCCTGGGCAACGTAGTTTCTCCAAAAAAAAAGATTAGCCAGGCATAGTGGTACACGCCTGTAGTCGCAGGTACTCGGAGGTGAGTGGATCGCTTGAGCCAGGAGGTTGAGTCTGCAGTGAGCTGTGATCACACCACTGCACTCCAGCCTTGGCAACAAAGTGACACCCTATCTCAAAAAATAAAGATAAAAAATAGGCCGGGTACAGTGGCTCATGCCTGTAGTCCCAGCACTTTGGGAGGCTGAGGCGGGTGGATCACCTGAGGTCAGGAGTTCGAGAGCAGCCTGGCCAACACGGCAAAACCCCGTCTCTACTAAAAATACAAAAATTAGCCGGGCATGGTGGCAGGTGCCTGTAATTCCAGCTACTCAGGAGGCTGAGGCAGGAGAATCACCTGAACCTGGGAGGTGGAGGTTGCAATGAACTGAGATCATGCCACTGCACTCCAGCCTGGGCAACAAGAGTGAAACTCTGTCTCGAAAATAAAAAAATAAAAATAAATAAAAAATAAAAACCTACAGGAATTTTATAAATGAAAAGAAATACACATGTGTACATATCAGTGAACTTCTCAAATATCTGACCGAGCACTGTAAAAGGTCTAGATTATACAACAGTGTTAACAGCACTGGGATACTGGAGGACACCTTTGCCTTTTACATTATTCTGAGCAACCCAAACTCAAATGCCTGGCAGACAACACAATGAAGGAAGCCAGCTAGTGGAGACAATGGCAGTCTGGAGTGACCATGCCAGGTCTAAAGGACACAACCACTACTCAGCTCCTTGTCATTACAAACATGAGGGAATACGGGCCTTCTGCTATCAGTACTTTCAAATTTTTACAAGAAGCCAGAAATCATATTTTCATGTAAAAAAATTTTTAGTTTTCAGCCAGGTGCAGTGGCTCACGCCTGTAATCCCAGCACTTTGGGAGGCGGAGGCGGGCAGATTACAAGGTCAGGATATTGAGACCATCCTGGCTAACATGGTAAAGCCCCGTCTCTACCAAAAATACAAAAACTTAGCTGGGCGTGGTGGCGGGCGCCTGTAGTCCCAGCTACTCAGGAGGCTGAGGCAGGAGAATGGCGAGAACCCGGGAGGCGGAGCTTGCAGTGAGCAGAGCAGAGATGGCACCACGGCACTCCAGCCTGGGCGACTGTGCGAGACTCCGTCTCAAAAAAAAAAAAAATTTTAGTTTTCTAATGTTGGCACCAAGTCTAACAATTTTTTTAAAGTATCATATAGGACAAAATATTGACTCTGAATCTAGCCAAATATGAATGTTCCTCTTCAAAGTTATTTAACTTCTTTTCTTTTTTATAACTAACACATATTGGTGTTATCATCTAAAAATGTAAGGCAGGCTGGCCGCGGTGGCTCACGCCTGTGATTCCAGCACTTTGGGAGGCCAAGGCAGGCAGATCACGAGGTCAGGAGTTCCAGACCAGCCTGACCAACATGGTGAAACCCCGTCTCTATTAAAAATACAAAAATTAGCCAGGCGTGGTGAGACACCTGTAATCCCAGCTACTCAGGAGGCTGAGGCAGGAGAATCGCTTGAACCCGGGAGGCAGAGGTTGCAGTGAGCTGAGATCACATCACTGCACTCCAGACTGCGCAACAGAGAGAGATTCCGTCTCAAAATAAATAAATAAATAAAATAAAATAATTTCAAAATTAAAAAATAAAAAATAAAAATGTAAGGAACACAGACCACTTCAATTCTTGGAAATGGGTTTCACATCTATGAAATGAATGGGTAAGATGAGAATGACTGCTAAAGTTACTGTCCATTCTAACCTCTGAATATATCAGAACTCAAGTCCTGTGAGGACACAAACAAGCCCACGACAGCTTTAAAGGAAAAAAAGGGGGCAGGCACGGTGGGTAGCTCATGTCTATAATCCCAACACTTCGGGAGGTTGAGGCAGGAGGATTGCTTGAGCACAGGAGTTCGAGACCAACCTGGGCAAAATAGCAAGATCCAAGCCCTACAAAAGATTTAAAAATTAGCTGGGCATGGTGACACACACCTTTAGTAGTCCCAATTTCTCAGGAGAAGCTGAGGCAGGAAGATTGCTTGAGCCCAGGAGTTCAAGACTAAAGTGAGCTATGATCATGCCTGCATTCCAGCCTGAGCAACAGAGTCAGGCCTGTCTCTGGAAAATAATAAATAAATACAAAGAAAAAGAAAAGATTCCTGGCATCGGTTAGCAATGGAAGGAAATCATGCTTACTCCTTAGCATAAATTCCAAGCATCTCTACACACACACGCATGAAATATAATATATTAAGGGGAAAATGGAATTAAGGGAAAAAAGAAGGAAAGAAGAAAAAAAGAACATACACAAACTTAAGCAACCAAGGTCGATTGTTTAAATGAAAACCAACTTTAACAAACCTCAACACTAAGGATTTCAAACTTCTCTCTTGCGGACTTGCTGCTTTCTCTCTTTTCGATTTTCAACTTTTTTGTTTTTGCTGGCCCCTTCTGGCTCTTTTTTCTTTTGGTGGATCCCTCTTCAGTAGAAATCTAGAAGCGGGTAGGGGGAGCCCACAAAGACCCAAAAGAATAAGAAGCAATCTGAGTTTTCCCTCCTATTTCAGGTCATCACTCACCTTGCTTTGTTACTCCTTCACTCCACCCTACCCCATCCCACTCCCAATTGTTCCTTTAATTCTTGCTTAAAAAAAAAAAAAAAAGGGGGGGGGCCGCCAATGTTCCCTCTGCCCAAGGTCTGAGAAGCCTCCTTCATGTTCCCAAAGTCTCTTCTCTCTTGTGTTCTCCCTCTCTTGACTGGGATGAACACTGGGTTCCCCAGTTTGAGAAGCAATGTAGAATAGTGCATGAAAATGGACACCAGAGTTACACAGACCCAAGTTAAATTCTCATCTTTTCCACCATAACAAGCTATGTGGTTTCAGCTAAATTATATAAAATCCAGGCACAGTGGCTCACACCAGTAATCCCAACACTTTGGGAGGCCAAGGCGGGAAGATCACTTGAGATTAGGAGTTCAAGACCAGCCTGGCCAACAGGCTGTATTTTTTTTTCCACTAAAAATACAAAAAAATTAAGCCGAGCATGGCAGCACGCACCTATAGTCCCAGGTACTCGGGAGGCTGATACAGGAGAATTGCTTGAACCAAGAAGTGGAGGTTGCAGTGAGCTGAGATCACAACACTGCACTTCAGCCTGGGCGACAGAGCAAGACACTGTTCCTCATCATGGAATTGCAATCAGTGCTTCACAGTACAGTTGAAAAGATTACATAATACAGACCTAAAGCCACACACTCAAATGTTAGTTCCCTTTCCCCAAGCATTTGGAGCACAGCCTAGTCTAGGTGAGACTGTGAAGTCTAATGCAAATTCTGACCATTACATGTGGCAAGGAACCCCTGTAAAAATGCAATGATCAGTCAGACACAGTGGAACATGCCTGTTGTTCCAGTTACTCAGGAGGCTAAGGAGGGAGGATCGACTGAGCCCAGGAGTTTAAGTCCAGCCTGAGTAACAGAGTGAAACATCATCTCTCCCCATCTCTTGAAAAAACAACAACAAAAATAACAAAAACATCAGCTGGGTGCAGTGGCTCACACCTGCCATCCCAGCACTTTGGGAGGTCAAGGTGAGCAGATCATCTGAGGTCAGGAGTTTCAGACCAGCCTGGCCAACATGGTGAAACCCCATCTCTAACAAAAATACAAAAATTAGTCAGGTATGGTAGCAGGCACCTGTAATCCCAGCTACTCACGCCACTGCACTTCAGCATGGGCAACAGAGTAAGACTTCGTCTCAAAAAAAAAAAAAAAAAAAAAACTGCTTCCTCTCCATCCTTAATCAACATGGCACATGGCAAAGAGTGTCTAAGAACAAGGAACAGCACTTTATTTATTTTGTTTGTGTGTTTTTTGAGACAGAGTCTCACTCTGTCGCCCAGGCAGGAGAGCAGTGGCACAATATTGGGTCAGTGCAACCTCCACCTTCTTGGTTCAAGCAATTCTCATGCCTCAGCCTCCCAAGTAGCTAGGACTACAGGTATACTACCATGCCCAGCTAGTTTTGGTATTAGTATAGACGGGGTTTCACCATGTTGGCCAGGCTGCTCTTGAATTCCTAGCCTCAAGTGATCCGCCTGCCTCGGCTTCCCAAACTGCTGGGATTACAGGCATGAGCCACTACGCCCAGCTAATAACAGTACTTTAATACTAAATGCCAAGCTTCAAAAGATACAGCCTTGTGGTGGTATGGCCTCTCTAAATGAGTTAAATTTATAGAAGTAGACTTCAATGCAAAAAAAATCTGGAAAAATAACACATTCTCAAATAAGGCTCATTTTTCACAAGACACTACAGTAAAAGTTTCCAGTGAGTGTCACCAAACAAGCATACTACTTACATCAAATAAGTTGTCTTGTTCAACTGACTGCTGGAAAGCTTTCTCTGGTTTGTGGATCTTTCTTGTACCTCCTCGGGGGAAGCTTTCTTCCAGGTTTGCCATGTTTGGGTCTCCTAAAAACAATGCAAAGGATAATGGTGACATGTTGTCTTGGTAGCAGATTTCAGAAAGGTGTTATCAACGGGCAAGAGACAGAACGTTCCAGCAATATGCTAGACAACATTCAGGACTACAACATAGATGGTTTAGATGTCAGGCCCGGAATAATCCATACTTCATCTTTCCAAAGGTCTCTGCTTCAAAACCACAAGTCCACCCACCTTCTTCCAGAAAAAGAAGTTATAGATTCAATGTAGCACATACTCACTAAGAAGCTACAGTTAAGTCAGAGATACACTGTAGCTCTACAGATGAATATATAATCCTCTGCCTTCAAAGAACATGCACACTTTTTGGAAGATAAAACAATTATGCAAGTAACTTAAAATGCAAATCAGATTATAAATGATCACAAAGATGTAGGAAGGGATAAGGCAATGTAGGAAGGGATAAGTAAAGGAGGCAAGCTTCATAAAGAAGATCTTTTTTAGCTTAAGGGTAAAAGATGAACAGAAGCTTGACAGGTAGAAAGGGAATGTGAGAAAAGACATGGATGGGAAAAGCCTATTATTTCAATAAACACCAGCAATTTCCCTATCAAACAACTGCTCAAAGGCTTGCTGTTGTCTCTGAGGAATTATTCAACTAGACCACTGGGAGATTAAAGCATAAAAATTGAAGTTAAATTTTAAAGAAGGCCGGGCACCATGGCTCACACCTGTAATGCCAGCACTTCGGGAGCCCGAGGCGCGTGGATCATCTGAGGTCAGGAGTTCGAGACCAGCATAGTCAACATGGCGAAACCCCGTCTCTACCAAAAACGCAAAAATTAGCCGGGCGTGGTGGCCTGCGCCTAGTCCCAGCTACTAGGCAGGCTGAAGCGTGAGAATTGCTTGAGGCCGGGAGGCGGAGGTTGCAGTGAGCTGAGATCATGCCGCCGCACTCCAACCTGGGAGACAAAGTGAGACTCTGTCTCAAAAAAATTAAAGGAGAAGTTGGGCTTTTTTGTGGAAGACCTTGAATTAGATATGGGTAGTTTGCTTTGGCAAGTCAGAGACTTAAGCAGGGAAAGCGAGAGAACAGTAAGCAAGAAAAATATACTGCAGGCTATAGATTGGACATGAAGAGAGACAGTATTGAAGGCAAGTAAATTCGGTAGAAGGATTCAAATGCACTGTTTCCTGTTATCTCAGTGACAGAAAAAAAAAAAAAAAAAAAGGATTCAAATGCAGTACAGCAGAGAAACCATGAGAACCAGAACTGGGTATAAGTGAAAACAGAAGACAGGAGAGGTTAGTTCTGACAGACACTTGGTAATAAGACTCTACAAGGGCTTTAGACTAAAGAAGTGATGACCGGGTGGGGCCAAGGATATGGAATCAGGGATGGGTATATGATTCATAGAAACAGGAAAGTTTGGGGGGTCTAGTTTGCTGATAATTTCACCCTTAATTTCCTTTCAAGCAAGGGGAAACTGAGGCTCTGAAAAGTAAGGCGATCCAGGGGCACAGAAGATACTTAGGCTACTTTCCGAACACAAAGCCTGGGGTTACAGGGGCTGCTACAACAGAGCCGGCTTCGAAGCGGGGCTAAGGTGGCCGAACCACACTCATCTAGCGTGTGCCTGGCAGGGAACCAGGCCTGGGACAGACCTGACAGCCATGAGGTTTCCTCCTTTTTCGCCTCTGCCTTTACTCACCAGCGCCACGGCGTCTGCACCCAGCTACCACTAACCTCGCGCCGCGGTACTCACACACGCGGAGACCAGGATACCCACAGTCCAGTGCAATTCTTCCGGAAGTGTGGGCGGGCTCAACACCCTACTTCCGTTGCTGTGTTGCGGAGGTGACCTAGAGACAGGAATCGGAAGGGCGGGATTTGGAGCCATAGCCAATCGTCGCATTAGGCCGAATCGCGGGGGCCGGCTAAACGCGTGCGGGGGAGGTGGCTTCTTCCGGCCGGGCCGAGAGGTGGTTACATTCGTTGAAGGACACCAGCTGCGGAATTTGCGGCTTTGGCAGGTGGGTGAAGAGGGGAGTCCGGGCTTGGACCTGGCGCCTGCACGTTGCAGGACCGCCCGCCGTTTCTGGCCGAGGAGCAACTCGAGTTCTTAGCTTTGGAGGAGAGAAACGGTGGGGAATGGGAAAGGAGCTAGAAAAAACGAGGGGCGCAAGGGGGCGGCCAGCGGGTGAGAAGCCTCGAGGTGAGGCGGATAGGTGCGCCCAAGGGCTCCCACAGTTTCCGAAGACCCTTAGATTGCATTCGCCAGTGGAGAAAAATGAGGCCCTCCGCGAAGCGTCCCTCGAGGTCACCCAGTGACGTAATATTGGACGAGGACTAGGGCTTCTGATCCCCATCACCGGCCGAATTAACCTCTTTTCTTCTGTATGTCCATAGCTGTTTGTTCCCACCGAGCTGTGCTTTAGGAAGCTGGCCAGCCGGGCCTCCTTTAGGTGCGCTGCAGCCTTTTTCAAAGCGAGTGAATGTGGCCCGGCCCCTACAGTTCGCCAGGCCCGCTGTAAAAGGGTTAGATTTCAGTCTATAGACGATCAGTGGGAAGGCCTTTCCTAGGAGGTAACCAGAACAGAGAGCTGTAAACTCCGTGAATGCAAGAGGCTGCTTCTGTTACCTGAGTGGTTCTCACTCATCTTTGCCTTCCTTACCTCGTGATCTCACCATTCCAGGTAGGTGTTAAGTTAGAAAGGAAAATAGCAATATCGAGGAACAGAGAAAGTAACAAGAGCTACTGGTCACTTTGGACCTTTAATAAAGTGCCCATCTCACAGGTGGAGAGAGGCACGGAAGGATTAGTTACATTTAAGAGCAGTTAGTGGCCGGGCGCGGTGGCTCACGCCTGTAATCCCAGCACTTTGGGAGGCCGAGGCGGGTAGATCACCTGAGGTCCAGAGTTCGAGACCAGCCTGAGTAGTATGGTGAAACCCCGTCCCTACCAACAATACAAAAATTAGCCGGGCGTGGTGGCGCGCGCCTGTAGTTCCAGCTACTCGGGAGGCTGAGGCAGGAGAACCGCTTGACCCCGGGAAGCGGAGATTGCAGTGAGCTGAGATCGCGCCACTGCACTCCAGCCTGGACGACAGAGCGAGACCTTGTCTCAAGAAGGGCAGTTAGCAACTTAATTAAAACATACCACCGTTTAACAACATTAAATCACAACTAGGAGTCTTACAAAGGGCACTGTAAACACAAGGGTTCCTTTATCTTTGCCCTAAAGTAACCTGCACCGTGCTGAAGAGTGCAGAACCAAATTTTTCGACCTTACTCCATTATCTCACCAGCAACAATCCCGTTCCCCATTTGGCCCTCCATTTGAGCCTCTCAAGAGTCCTCCTCCTTTAAGACCCAGACTAACTTGAGTGATTGATTTCAGTTCTTGAACCATGCACTTCCCTGCAATCAGAATTAGTCTTCTGTGGGATATCACAAAACATCAGCCTTCCTCCCATATTGTGTGTAAATTAAAGGGAAATTTAAAGCGCTGTAGTATTGTTGGGCATATCCTCCTAAAAAGTTTAGTTAGATGTAATGTAGTGGAGGTTTTCGTTAATGGTCAAAGTGAAGCCCTTATTTTCTGTAGCGTTTCTCCTAAAAACCTACTTCAAACCCTAAGAAGTGAATCCAAAAATGTATCATGAAATGAATGGAGCTGGTGGGGGGGCGGGGGGCGGGGGGAAGTATGTCTTTAGTAAGTTTAGTAAAGTGGAACAGTTGATAGCTACATTATAAAGTTGCTTTTATCGCTTCTGTTGGCTAAGATCAAGTGTATAAAGTTATTTTTAATGGAGATTTTCCTACTTGGGCTAGACTGGCCAAGGTCTCTGAAGAGGCCTAAGGAAGTTTGGATTTCCTTCATTGCTCCAAGAACCTTCTTGAAACTTGAAAATTAAGGTCATTTTTCTCAAATTTTCATTGCCAATTCTTTACACAAGAATGCCTCTGAAAGCCTTTGAATGGGGGAGTTCCAGTTTCCATAGTAATGACTCCCTGACAGATATCTCCCTCTTCCATTTCATCAAGACCCAGCTGAGTCACTGTCACTGCCTACCAATCTCGACCGGACCTCGACCGGCTCGTCTGTGTTGCCAATCGACTCGGCGTGGCGTCGGTCGTGGTAGATAGGCGGTCATGCATACGAATTTTCAGCTCTTGTTCTGGTGACCTTTTGAATACGTCTTGTCTATAAAAGAAATTCATGCCTTTGTAAAATACACAGGTACTATAGATTAAGCTGCCTTTGCTATATATTCTTCCAGAGTTTTTTTTAATACACTTACTATTTTTCTATTTCATTTACTGCAGTATTTTTCAAACTTTAGCATGCTTTAGAATTATCTAGAAGCCTTATTAAAATAGATTCCTGGACCCAGAGTTTCTGATTCAATAGGTAGGGCCTAAGAATTTGCACTAACAAGTTTCCAGTGATGCTAATGCTGCTGGTCTAGGGACAAGACCCAGAACCATTGACGTGCTTTATAAAATCCAGAAATAAGATTTTTTCTTACAAAATTGAACGTTACTTGGGACATCTTCCCATGTCAGTACACAAAGATCTGTGCCTGTTGTGTGTCGTTTAATGGAAACCATCATTTTTTAATCAGTCTTCTATAGATGGACTTTTAAGATTTTCATAAACAGTATTTCATTGACCATCTTTGAACCACACAATGTGTTTCCACTTTGTAATATTTCAATAAGGGTAAATTCCTGGAGAAAAACACCAGCTAGATGAAAGGGTATACTCATTTTATAATTCGATAAGATACTGCCAACTTGCACTTTCTGAAGGTTGTACCAGTTTATTTATTTTTTATTTATTTATTTTTTTTTTTTTTGAGACGGCGTCTCGCTCTGTCGCCCAGGCTGGAGTGCAGTGGCGCAATCTAGGCTCACTGCAAGCTCCGCCTCCCAGGTTCATGCCATTCTCCTGCCTCAGCCTCCCGAGTAGCTGGGACTACAGGCGCCCACCACCACGCCCGGCTAATTTTTTGTATTTTTAGTAGAGACAGGGTTTCACCGTGTTAGCCAGGATGGTCTCGATCTCCTGACCTCGCATCCACCCGCCTTGGCCTCCCAAAGTGCTGGGATTACAGGCATGAGCCACCGTGCCAGGCTGGTTTTACCAGTTTATACTCCAAGCAACAGAGAGAGAATTCTTAGTTTTCTCACATACTTAATACTACTACTTACCATAATTTTATTTTTGCTTGTTTGATGATTAAATATTGATCTCATTTTACATTTCTTTGACTAATAGGTTTTATGTTTTTTTTGGTTTTTGGCTTTTTTTCTTAATATTTTCCCTTCCCTGAGATGACTTAAATATTTCCCCATGTTTTCTTCCAGGACTTTTTGGTTTCACTATTTACATTTAAATCTTTTATCTATTTTGGTGGTGGTGCAAGGATTCCAGCTTCCTTACTACCACCAGTAGCTATTATTAACTCCATTTAATAAATTATCCCTTCTCCCTTCTCCCATGGAGGTCCTAAATTACTTATAACAAGAAAAATTGTATAAGTAGGGGTTGTAATTGAGCTGTTTAGTTGATGGTCACCCGTTGAATGTTTGAAAAATACCAGCTCCAATTTTTGAGTAGCCTTAAAATGGATTAATTCAATGGACTGTGGTGTGATGGAGCCAGGAATGAAAATATTAAGCTGTATTGGGTCAGAGAATGAACTTAGCAGGGGCTATTGTGTGATTTGATGTATTCTGAGGTGTTCATGAAATAGCGATCAAGGTAAAATCCTACTTCCAAAAGCTTTTCTTTCAGGAAGGCTTTTTCCACCATCTTTGCTACTACTGTGTTGGGTGAGATATAGATAAAAATTTACAGTATTTATATGCAGTGACCTTGAGTTTTTAGACTAAAACAAGACAAAATTTATTTACTTTTAAATTACATCCAAACCAATTTAATGTTGCTTTCTTTCTTTTTTTAAAAGATTGAAATCATGGCAGGTCCAGAAAGTGATGCGCAATACCAGTTCACTGGTATTAAAAAATATTTCAACTCTTATACTCTCACAGGTAGAATGAACGTAAGTATTGATAACTTTAAGCAGTTATATTTTAAAATAATATAGATGGAACAACAAGTCTTGTTTACTTTTTTCTTTCTTTCTCAGTGTGTACTGGCCACATATGGAAGCATTGCATTGATTGTCTTATATTTCAAGTTAAGGTCCAAAAAAACTCCAGCTGTGAAAGCAACATAAATGGTAAGAAGTTGACATTTAAACCTTTATAATTTAGCCATTTTGATGTTAGGATTTTTCCCTAACATTTAGTATAAAAATAAACCATTGTCATTTTGCAAAATTTATAGCATACAAGAAAAAAAAATACAGAGGCCTAGTATAGTGGCTCATACCTGTAATCCCAGCACTTTGGCAGGCCAAGGCGGGCAGATGACTTGAGCCCAGGAGTTCAAGACCAGCCTGGGCAACATGATGAAACCCCATCTCTACCAAAAAACAAAAATTAGCCAGGGTGGGAGAACTGCTTAAGTCCAGGAGGCGAAGGTTGCAGTGAGCCGAGATCACGCCACTGCATTCCAGCTTGGGCGAAAGAGCAAAATCGTGTCTCAAAAAAAAGAAAAAGAGGCTGGGTGCAGTGGCTTGTGCCTGTAATCCCAGCACAATGGGAGGCCGAGGCAGGCGGATCACCTGAGGTCAGGAGTTTGAGACTAGCCTGGCCAACATGGTGAAACCCCATCTCTACTAAAAATACAAAAGTTAGCCAGGTGTGGTGGCAGGCGCCTATAATCCCAGCTACTCGGGAGGCTGAGGCAGGAGAATAGCTTGAGCCCAAGAGGCAGAGGTTGCAGTGAGCTGAGATCACGCCATTGCACTCCAGCCTGGGGGACAAGAGCAAGACTTTGTCTCAAAAAAAAAAGCAAGAAAAATATTGCCCATGTCCCAAGACCCTAACAGTTTTTGTTACATGTATTTTGTTTGGTTTCCAGTGACTATGATCACGTCTGTAATTTTGTCTTATACCAAATATATCTTTAATTTGAATGCATGTCTGTTTATAAATATATGAACTATTTCAGAGAGGAACTCTCGTTCCCATTAGAATTAGTAATACTACAATGAATGCTTTTGAGCATGAAGCCTTGTCTATATCTAGGATTGTCATCTTAGGCAAAAGTGCTTTCCCAATTATGAGGTACCCAGCTTTGTAAATGGGTGTGTCTTTTGCCCAGCCAATGTGAAATGTAAGTTTCTGGTTTTTGCTAATTTGATGAGTAAAAAAAATTGTGTTTTTTGCTTTTTGAAGGGCATGTTTTTCTGTGTTTACTGTTTGCATTTTTCTTGAAAATACAATTCATTCTATACATGTTTTTATTTATCAATTGGGTGACTTGGAAGCTCTATGTAATCATTAACCAACCTTTTATATCAGTTGCAAATATTTCTTTTTCTAGTTTGTTTCCAATGTTTATGTAATTCTGTCTTTTCCTTAAATCCCCATAGGTTTTATTTTCTTATAATCCTCCAACCCCCATTTGCCCACCCTTTAAATATCTGTTGTGTTGGCAATGGGTGATATGTGGAAAGCCCAAATGCCAGATCTTCATCTGATGTAGCTCTCCTTCGCAGACTTTTTTTTTTTTGAGATGGAGTTTGACTCTTGTTGCCCAGGCTGGAGTGCAATGGCATGATCTTGGCTCACTGCAACCTCTGCCTCCCGGTTCAAACAATTCTCCTGCCTCAGGCTCCTGAGTAGCTGGGATTACATGTGCACACCACCACGCATGGCTAATTTTTTTGTATTTTTAGTAGAGACGGGGTTTCACCGTGTTGGTCAGGCTGGTCTCAAACTCCTGACCTCAGGTGATATGCCCGCCTTGGCTTCCCAAAGTGTTGGGATTACAGGTGTGAGCCACCACACCCAGCCCGGATATTTTTCTTTTTGAGACTCTAGCTCTGTTGCCCAGGCTGGAGTGAAGTGGTGCGATCTCAGATCACTGCAACCTCTGCTTCCCGGGCTCAAGTGACCCTCCCGCCTCAGCCTCCTGAATAGCTGGGATTTCAGGTGCATGCCACCACACCCAGTTAATTTTTGTATTTTCTTTTGGTAGACAGGGTTTTGTGATGTTGCCCAGGCTGCTCTCAAACTCCTGGGCTCAAGTGATCCACCTGCCTCAGTCTCCCAAAGTGCTGGGATTACAGGCATGAGCCACTGTGCCTGGCCTCTTCTATGCTTAAGAGCTTTTCCAATCTCAAAACAGTTGACCTTAGGGAGTGCATATCCGAGAATGCAGTGATCACTGGCTTATTCCTGACGAACAGGTAGTATTTTGCCCAATTTTTTATATTAATTACCTCCTAACTTCAGAAGGGTGGTAGTATCCCCATTACAAAAATGGAGAGGCTGGGCGTGGTGGCTCACGCCTGTAATCCCAGCACTTTGGGAGGCTGAGGTGGGTGGACCATCTGAGATCAGGAGTTCGAGACCAGCCTGGCCAACATGGTGAAACCCCATCTCTACTAAAAATATAAAAATTAGCCGGGCGTGGTGGCAGGCACCTGTAATCCCAGCTACTCGAGAGGCTGAGGCGTGAGAATCACTTGAACCCAGGAGGCAGAGGTTGCAGTGAGCCGAGATTGCGCTGCTACACTCCATCCTGGGGGATAGAGCGAGACTGTGTCTCCGAACAAAAAAAAAAGATGTTACTTTATATGCTAGACTTTTCCAATAGTATACCTTTAGGATCATACTAAATTGTTGGTAGCTTATTTGTTAAAGGTGGAATGTTAGGTTAAAATGTATTAATCTGAGGCCAGGCACAGTGGCTTACACCTGTAATCCCAGTACTTTGGGAGGCTGAGGCGGGTGGATCACTTGAGGTCAGGAGTTCGAGACCAGCCTGACCAACATGGTGAAACCCTGTCTCTACTAAAAAATACAAAATTAGCCGGGTGTGGTGGCACATGCCTGTAATCCCAGCTACTTGGGAGGCTGAGGCAGGGGAATCACTTGAACCTGGGACGCGGAGGTTGCAGTGAGCCGAGATTGTGCCATTGCACTCCAGCCTGGGCAACAAGAGCGAACTCTGTCTCAAAAAAAAAAAAGTATTAATCTGAGATACACTTTAATTTTTTTGGTGTTACATCTTTGACAATCTAATAAATTCGCATTCAGTTTCAGTGGGTTCATGTTACCTTAGTAATTCTTGAGTGTCTTAAGAGTAAAGCTGGCCACATTTGTATCTAAACTGTTTGCTTTGTTTATAGGATTTTAAACTGTCTACGGTTCTTAACCTCATCTGTTAAGTTCCCATGCCTGGAGAAGCTAATGCCAACTCATCATGTGATAATTCAATTTGTACAATAAATTATGAACCTGGAAAAGCTGGTTGTCTTTATTTACAAGATATCAAAAATATAAAAACTGTACAAAATGCAACAAAGGCAAAAACTGGCAGTGACTTGGTCTAAATCTTTTAGTTTCCCAAAGCAAGGCTCAGTACTGGAGGTAAGCAACTGAAATGTCTGTCTGACTTCAAGTGTACTAGGTTGTATGTAGCTGTTTTAGCTGAAGTAGAACATGGAAGCTAAATTTCTTCACCTGGTTTATCGAGTGTTTGGGTGCACTCAAAACTCAACAGGTATATAAATTCAGATGTCAGTGGGTGGCTGTACTTCCTCTAGATCTAAGAAAGGAACCCTACCTAGTTACATACATTCCATTAATCATGGGCCAAGAAAAAAAAAGTTAGTGGATCATTTAACATAGTTTTTGAGTGCCATACAGTAACTACGTTTTTACAGCAGAAACATACATGCTCATAGGATTCTTCAGCTAAAATTCAAGATGATAGTATATTTCTGAATTTGAATCTTGAAGCAGGATGAATTATTGAAATCAACTTTTTTTCTAAATGTAATAAATTAAAATAGCATTTGAACAGAAAATGCATAGTTTCCACACAATCCAAAGCACCATAAATGTCCCCTCCATGATCATAATACCTCTTATTCAACTAACGGAAATTAGTCAAATGTGGTTGCTATAGAAACGTGGAACTGTCCTGTTCAGATTTTTCCAAGCAGCATACTTCCAGATCCATATAGACAAAAACATTCTCTGTAGCTTAAATATTAATCACTGAGGTATTTGCTTTTAGTCTCCCTTTTTAAAAACAGTAGCTTCCAAAAGGTCTTTAATACCGATGGTTTATTGTGGACTATAAGCTCCTGCAGCTAGAACCAGGTTTCTTCGAGTAAAATGAAGGTGTACAACTGGTGTTGATTTGGTCATATATGTTCCCAACAATAACTCCTGTGAATTCTCAGGTAAATTTATATGCCCAGTGGCTGTAGTAAAGTCATCGGTCTCTAAATCTTCAAAGGCTTTGATAGCATCCCATAATCGAACTGTATTATCCATTGAACCTAAGGGGAAGTCAAAGGAAACCATTAGTTGCATCCATCATATTTACATTCGGACATTTTGTCCACTACACTATGTATTTACTGTACATTTTGGGTGAAAAATCTAAACTTGACCAATAACTCTATTCCTTCCTAAGGAGCATTATCAAGCAGTACTTTAACCTGAGAAGTGATTGATGTAGGATGACACTCTGGAATCATAGCTAAAGGGAAGTAAAACCTAAAACATAAGGACTTAGTATTGCAGTCGTCAACACTGTTTCCTCTTAACATAGCATTTATCGTAAAGCCATTAATAGTCATTTACCTGATGCCAAAATTTCACCATCTCTACTAAACCTAAGTGAACAGACTGTATCAGTGTGGCCTTTTAATTCTCCAACCATCAAACCATGTCCAATATCCCAAAGAAGCACTCTGCCATCTGTTGCTCCTGTAGCCAGGAATCTCCCATTGGGAGAAAATGTCAAGGAATGAATTGGTCCCTAGAAAAAAGTTCATAGAAAAGATCAAAGTATGTCTAGGAAAATAAGACAAAATTTTAAAGTTTTGTAGTAAGAATGGTATCTTTAAAATTTATGTGTCACTTGTTTAAAAAATATTTTTATTTTGAAAGCAACCTTGGATGCTGGAATAGTAAGAGTGTAAAATACCTTGTGTCCAGTGAAGATCCTTACACAGTTACCATTCAGGACGTCCCAGAGCCGCACAGTTCTGTCTGCAGAGCCCGTAGCAACATAATTAGAATTTGGATGGAATCTGGTACAATTCACATCAGCAAGATGGCCGGCAAATATTCTTAAAGGCTGATAGTGGTCTGTAGCCCAGAGCCTTTTATAAAGTTATTGAAAGCAAAAGATGACAATTAGTAGATAGCTGTGAAACGCCAAAAATCTATACAAAATAAATACAGAAACATCCACATAAAAAGTTAGTTCTGAGTGGGCCCCCCACTTACTAGTTAACTGAGGGGAAGAAAAATGAGACTCACAGTCCTAAGAGTTCATCTGGTACAATTTTTTTTTTTTTTTAAGCTGAGGTCTTGCCAGGCATGGGGGCTCACGCTTACACTTCTAGCACTTTGGGAGGCCGAGGCATGCAGATCACGAGGTCAGGAGTTCGAGACCAGCCTGACCAACATGGTGAAACACCGTCTTTACTAAAAATACAAAAAATTAGCTGGGCATGGTGGCGCACGCCTGTAATCCCAGCTACTCAGGAAGCTGAGGCAGGAGAATTGCTTGAACCCAGGAGGTAGAGGTTGCAGTGAGCCGAGATGGCGACACTGCACTCCAGCCTGGGTAACAGAGCGAGACTCTGTCTCAAAAAAAAAAAAAAAAATGCTGAGGTCTTGCTCTGTTGCCCAAGCTGGATTCAAACTCGGTTCCAGCAATCCTCCCACCTCAGCCTCCCCAGTAGCTGGGACTATAGGCGTGTACCACTGTAGCCAGCCAAAACTTAAGTTCTAGAACTCCAATTCTCTGTATATTCTTCCTCCTCTATTCCTAGTCTAAACCACAGAAAAGTATTTTCCCCTAGTTCTGGCCACCAAATAGTTGTTTTGTTTTGAGACAGTCTCACTCTGTCATCCAGGCTAGAATGCCGTGGTGCAATCTCGGCTCACTGCAACCTCTGCCTCCTGGGTTCAAGCAATTCTGCCTCAGCCTCCTGAGTAGCTGGGACTACAGGCACGTGCCACCACACCCGGCTAATTTTTGTTTTTTTTTTCAGTAGAGACGGGGTTTCGTCATGTTGGCCAGGCTGGTCTGGAACTTCTGGCCTCAAGTTATCTGCCCTCCTTGGCCTCCCAAAGTGCTGGGATTACAGGCGTGAGCCACTGCACCTGGCCAAATAGTTTCTAACCTGAACTACCTTATCCTCAACTTCTAAGCAGATGACAGAGAAACATAAAGGTGCTCACAGTGGTATGGAAGACAAGGTTAAGTATCTGATGGGGTTGGGAGGGAGGATTGTTAATTAACTATTTTTTAAAAACCAGGATTCATATAGATGTAATTGCAGATATAATAATACTCCTGCCCCAATTTCTTTTCTTTTTTTTTTTTTTTTT
The DNA here is from genome assembly GCF_000001405.40 of Homo sapiens. Taxonomy (NCBI): domain Eukaryota; kingdom Metazoa; phylum Chordata; class Mammalia; order Primates; family Hominidae; genus Homo; species Homo sapiens. Next base: position 103,385,934 of record NC_000010.11, on the reverse strand, counting down.
TTTTTTTTTGAGATGAAGTCTCGCTCTTGTCCCCTAGGCTGGAGTGCAATGGTGCGATCTCGGCTCACTGCAACCTCCGCCTCTCAGGTTCAAATGATTCTCCTGCCTCAGCCTCCTGAATAGCTGGGATTACAGGTGCCTACCACCACGCCCGGCTAATTTTTGTATTTTTAGTAGAGACGGGGTTCCACCATGTTGGCCAGGCTGGTCTCAAACTCTTGACCTCAGGTGATCCATCCACCTCGGCCTCCCAAAGTGCTGGGATTACAGGCATAAGCCACTGCGCCCGGCCCCAATTTCAAATAAGTTATAAATGCAAAAGCTTCTCAGAAAGTTGAACCTCAATAATGGAAGTGTAAATGAATTTGGCTGGCTGTGTAATTCCCAACAAGAAACCATTCTGTTCATTGAATAGACCCAGTCATAAGATCACAGTGTTCTTACCGAGCTACTCGGTCATGGCCCCCTGACACAAAATAATATCCATATGGAGAAAATTGTGTGTCCCATACTGGATAGTTGTGTCCTTTATATCCCACCAAACAAGTAAATGTTTGAAGGCTCCACAATCTAACAGTTCCGTCCTCTGAAGAGGAAAGCAGATAGTTCCTGAGAGAAGAGAAGGTGATATATTTGACTCCCAGAGTAACCTTTGGTCACCTGCCCAGTTTTATATACATTTGAATACATTTAATATTTTATATATATTTGACTATATTAAATATACCTAACATGCTGCATCTCACTTTTAATTCATACACGCAATTCACAGTAGGTATCAATTGAAAGAACTAACCAAACTAATGTTAACCCTGACACTCTACATATACCGAGCACCTACTGAATGAGGTAATATGATACAAAAACTTAGGGAAAATCAGAGTTCTTTACAAGAAAAAAATAGCAGGGGTAATTAACAAAGTATAGTCAAATAAGGTCAATTGAGAAAGTTTAAGAAATGTGATATGTCACTTAAAACTCAACAATTTTTGACCCTAAAATAAAGATGCTATTTTCCCATGCTGTGTAAGCTATGTAAGAATTAAAAAGGAAATGTCTTTTGAAGAAAAAGAAAAAAAAACTACAGACATGCTAATAATTCTCTACCTTTTTCAAGCATAAACACAAAAGATTGATAGTCAGAAGGTTATTACAATTTTCACTGAAATCAGACGTTTCCCTCAAAAATGTATCATCTGGCAAAACCTTATCAAGCAACAAAAAACCTAATTCTCAAAGTTTCGTAATGATGAAACCTTGATGGATGGAAAGCTATTATCTTTTTTTCTTTTCTTCTTTTTTTGAGATGGAGTTTTGCTCTTATCACCCAGGCTGGAGTGCAGTGGTGCAATCTCGGCTCATTGCAACCTCTGCCTCCCATGTTCAAGTGACTTTCCTGCCTCGGCCTCCCAAGTAGCCAGGATTACAGGTGGGCGCCACCACACCCTGCTAATTTTTGTACTTTTTAGTGGAGACAGGATTTCCCATGTTGGCCAGGCTGGTCTCAAACTCCTGATCTCAGGTGATGCGCCTGTCTTGGACTCCCAAAGTGCTGGGATTATAGGCGTGAGCCACTGTGCCCGGCCTGAAAGCTATTATCTATCCAAGTAATATACTGATGGTATTATGAATACAAAACACCCTCCACCCATTTTTACAGTGTTAGAGATCATGAAAAATAGGCAAATACCTATACACATAGGATGACATTGTAATCATACACCTAAAGGGAAGCAAACCAATTTTGAATTTCCTTTTTCATTTACTCTTAGTACTTTTGATTATAGAAAGATTAATCCTCAATTACTAGCTAATATGCCATTAATGTCAGGAATTTGTCTTAAATTTGATGAAGCAGCCAGAAGACACAATGCAGGGACCCAATGAAGCAATTCAACCCCTAATGGAGTTCTATAAAACTAAAGCTTTGGTTGGTTATTTACCATTGGGTAACAAATAAAAATAATTAAAAAAAAAAAAGGGAAATACTAAAGCTAATTTTTAAAACCAGTAAGCCCTGAAACTGTGCATTTTGATTCTATAAATTTGAGTATACAGGCCAGGCACAGTGGCTCACGCCTGTAATCCCAGCACTTTGGGAGGCTGAGGTGGGCAGATCACCTGAGGTTGAGAGTTCAAGACCAGCCTGACCAACATGGAGAAACCCCATCTCTAATAAAAAAATAAAATTAGCCAGGTGTGGTGGCGCATGCCTGTAATCCCAGCTACTCAGGAGGCTGAGCCAGGAGAATCGCTTGAACCCAGGAGGCGGAGGTTGCGGTAAGCCAAGATCACGCCATTGCACTCCAACCTGGGCAACAAGAGCGAAACTCTGTCTCAAAAAAAAAAAAAAAAAAGTGAGTATACATTAAATTGCTACCATGTACAAACACCAGGATTCAAAGATGAATTAGCAAATGGCAAGATTCTAAAAGATGATGAACGTCAGACAACCATGAGATTTTTATCAGAATTTTCCCAGCATTTGCATAATGTTTCCAGTAGTTAACTTTTATATAATTTCAATATAACATAGCAGTATTTAATTTTTATTGTTTGTATTTTACCTATCCGGACTGAAGCTGGCTCCGTAGACAGGCCCACTGTGACCATACAAAATCTTCAACTCACTTGCTGTTTTCTCATCCATGATTCTTTCTAAGACATCATCTGATTCTTTGTCTATAAGACTAAGATCTAAAATGGTCCAGAAATATTGATATTTTATAAGTACATTCATCAAAACTTTTAAAGTAATCATATCACAGTGCAGGAGAGGAATTAACATTTGAAAATTTCCTCCTATATACCAACCGCACTTTGCTAATCCCTCTAAATTAGGCAGTATCATCTCAGCGTGTAAGAGAAGAAAATGACGTTCAGAACAGATAATTTGCTAGAGTGCACACAGCTACTCAGTGTGGGAACCAGAACTGAAACTCAGTTTTGCCCACTATGCCACAGTGTTTCACAAAATGAAAACTATGGGCCAGGCATGGTGGCTCACACCTGTAGTCTCAGAATTTTGGTAGGCCAAGGCGGGCAGATTGCTTGAGCCCAGAGGAGTTCGAGACCAGCCTGGACAACATGGAGAAACCCTGTCTCTACAAAAAATAAAAAATTAGCCAGTGTGGTTGCACACACCTGTAGTCTCAGCTACTCAGGAGGCTGAAGTGGGAGGATCACTTCAGCCCAGGGATTAGAGGCTGCAGTGAGCCGTGATCACACCACTGCATTCTAGCCTGGGCAACAGAGTGAGACCCCATCTAAAAAAAATTTAAAATTAAAAAAAAAAAACCTATGGAAATATTGAAATAATTTAAAATATATTGTTTTATTTAAATAATATAGTTAGTAAAAAACTTTATTTCAGGCCGGGTGTGGAGGCAGGAAAATCGCTTGAACCAGGGAGGTGGAGGTTGCAGTGAGCCACCTATAATTCCAGCACTTTGGGAGGCCAGACAGGCGGATCACTTGAGGTCAGGAGTTCGAGACCAGCCTGGCCAACATGGCGAAACCCTATCTCTACTAAAAATACAAAAATTACCTGGGCATGGTGGTGGGCACCTGTAATCCCAGCTACTGGGGAGCTGGGGAGCTGACACAAGAAAATCCCTTGAACCTGGGAGGTAGAGGCTGTAGTGAGCCAAGACTGCGCCATTGCACTCTAGCCTGGGTGACAGGGCGAGACTCTGTCTCAAAAAAACAAAAAGTAAAAAACTTTCAAATAAAATCCTGACCTTATTTGTTCTTTTTAGCCATTTTTATGACTAAAACAGGAAGTACCATCCCTTATTTAAAGATTTTTTAAGATTTACAAGCAATCATAAAATGTTAGATTTTTAACTTTAAGTTTTTTAGCTTAATACTCACTCATTCTACAGATGAGAAAACTGAGACCTAAAGAAATTAAACCAGTCTAGCACCCCAGTCACTCCAAAGCTTTTTTCACTGTTGGGAATGTTAGAATCTTGAGTTAAAGTAAAATCAAGTGAATTTCTGTAAAGAACACAATCTCCTGTGTATTTTCCATGGAATCAAGATTGGTATAGACTAATGGCAAGTTCACATTCCAAAAGGTCATCTCAGTTACCTGATGCTTGTTTGACACTACGAAGCTTTTTGGGTGTTACCGACCACACTCTGACAGTTGAATCTGCAAAACCTCCAGCAATCAGACTAGAATCATCAGTGACATCCACTGCAGTGAGACCCTGCCAATAAAAGGGTTAGACTAAACAATACTATTTTAGGATATTTAGAGATAGGAAGCAAATGTTAATCATTTTCACACTATACTAAATATCTCCTCAATCCTCTATTTTAAGGAATATATAAAGACTTTTAAAATTCTTGATTTAAAATATTGGCCAAGCGCACTGGCTCATGCCTGTAATCCCAACAATTTGGGAGGCTGAGACAGGTGGATCACCTGAGGTTAGGAGTTCAAGACCAGCCTGGCCAACATGGTGAAACCCCATCTCTACTAAAAATACCAAAATTAGCCAAGCAGGGTGGTGGGCACCTGTAATCCCATCTACTTGTGAGGCTGACGCAAGAGAATCACTTGAACCCAGGAGGCAGAGGTTGCAGTGAGCCAAAATCGTGCCACTGCACTCCAGCCTGGGCGACAGAGTGAGACTCCATCTCAAAAAAAAAATAATAATAAAATAAAATACTAAGTTTGGCCGGGCGCGGGGGTTCATGCCTGTTATCACAGCACTTTAGGAGGCTGAGGCGGGTGGATTGCCTGAGCTCAGGAATTCAAGTCCAGCCTGGTCAACCTGGTGAAACCCCTTCTCTACTGAAAATACAAAAATTAGCTGGGCGTGGTGGCTCATGCCTATAATCCCAGCTACTCAGGAGGCTGAGGCAGGAGAATCACTTGAACTGGGAGGCGGAGGTTGCAGTGAGCCAAAATTGCACCACCGCACTCCAGCCTAGGTGTCAGAGCAAGACTCCATCTCAAAAAATGAAATTAAATTAAAATAATAAAATAAAATAAGGTTTATATGGCTGGGCACGGTGGCTCACGCCTGTAATCCCAGCACTTTGGGAGGCTGAGGCGGCCAGATCACTTGAGGTCAGGAGTTCAAGACCAGCCTGGGCAACACGGCAAAATCCTGTCTCTACTAAAAATACAAAAATTAGCCAGGCATGGTGGAGGGTGCCTGTAATCCCAGCTATTCAGGAGGCCGAGGCTGAGGCACAAGAATCGTTTGAACCCGGGAGGCAGAGGTTGCAGTGAGCTGAGATCTCACCTCTGCACTCCACCCTAGGTGACAGCACAAAACTCTGTCTCAAAAAAAAAAAAAAATTGATAAATAAGTTTACGTAAGTACTTAAACCAAGTTCAACAGAAATGAACTACAATTTGCTCCTCCTCAAAGGCTAGCAGAATTCTGATCGGTGAAACAAATGCCATTAAACATTGACTTCTATCTATTCTGTGCAGTATCCAATTCTCTCTTCCTGAATGCTGTCTTTAAATTGTATAAGAGTTTAGGGGCCACATGCGGTGGCTCATGCCTGTAATCCCAGCACTTTGGGAGGCTGAGGCAGGCGGATCACAAGGTCAGGAGATCGAGACCATCCTGGCTAACACGGTGAAACCCCATCTCTACTAAAAATACAAAAAATTAGCCGGGCATGGCGGTATGCGCCTGTAGTCCCAGCTGCTGGGGAAGCTGAGGCAGAAGAATGGCATGAACCTGGGAGGCGGACATTGCAGTGAGCTGAGATCGCGCCACTGCACTCCAGCTGGGCGACAGAGCGAGACTCTGTCTCAGAAAAAAAAAAAAAAGGAGTTTAAATAACGAAACTCCATTTTAGCTAATACATTTGTTTCTCTCTTAATGGTAAATCATCATCCTACATGACTCTCCAGGCAGAAATCGCCCAATTTTTTTACCAACCTGGTAAGCATTGAGAAATGTATAGAAACAAATGGAGGGTAAGCAGTCCGGCCCAAGGCGCACTCGTTTGGTGGTTTCTTTCATATTCATTATCTTATCCAACTTATCTGAATCTTTCAACTCAGGAAGAGGGATTCTGTGAAAGAAAAAGAGAGTCAAAATTACCTTTTGACTATTAACAAACTTGAACTCTATATAACATGTTGTCTTATACCTCCACACACAAGTTCCTGAAGTTTTTTCCTCACCTGTTCTGAGGTGGAGCATTGGGATCTTGTTTTTTGCTTTTGGATCCAATACTATCTTTTTTAGGCTTCTTCTTTTTAGGTTTTCCTTCTTCATTTTCTCCCTCTTCATCCTCGTCATCCAAAGGTACCTCAATTTCTGGTTCTTTTAATAAACCAAAAAATACCTACAAGTCAAAAGAGCCAACATTTTTAAAATTATTTATTCATTAATATACCCATTTTACATCTTGATAGGATAAATCACAATTACAAAATAGTAATTTACACTCTGAAGCAGGGTTCTGTATTTGTCTACCCAATAGCCATTCTCCCCTTTTTCCTTACTAACAGAACCCTGATTTTATTGGAGTAGCAATGTGCTCAGTTAAATCATTTCTGTTCCCAGGCTCCCTTTCAGCTAGGAATGTCCATATAAGTATACTGGGTATGGTTGTATCAAAAAAATATTGTTTTCCTGATTAAAAAGGGAAAGCTTCAGCAGAGATATGCCTTTTGTCCTCCCCCTTCTTCCTTCTTGGAACGGAGCTGCAATGCTGAAACTGCAACAGCCATTTGTGAGCACAAAGAGGAAAGCCACATTCTGAAGATGGTGGATCAGAAACCAGAAGGAGCCAGGGACCTTGATGGCACTGTGGAGCCTTCATGCCAGCCCTGGAAGGCCTTCCTCTGAAATTCATTTTATGGGAGAAAAATTCTTTGTTTCAGCCACTGCATTCAGGGTTCCATAAAATGCAACCATACCCAAATTGTCACATATAAACATCACCCTTAGAACACAAAATTTTATATACAGTATAAAATTGTTTCCAAGCGGCCAGGCGCAGTAGCTCACGCCTGTTATGCCAGCACTTTGGGAGGCGGAGTCGGGTGGATCATCTGAGGTCAGGAGTTCGAGACCAGCCTGGCCAACATGGTGAAACCCTGTCTCTACTAAAGTAAATACAAAAATTAGCCAGGTTGGTGGCGTGTGCCTCTAATCCCAGCTACTCGGGAAGCTGAGGCAGGAGAATCACTTGAACCCAGGAGGTGGAGGTTGCAGTGAGCTGAGATCACGCCACTGCACTCCAGCTTGGGTGACAAGAGCAAAACTCCGTCTCAAAACAAACAAACGAAAAAAATTGTTTCCAAGCTAGCTATAAGAAAAATGTGTAACTTATGTAGATGGAAATGCTACAATTTTTCATAATCTGCATTATAGAGTTCTTAGGTTCATTCCCATACCTTTGATTTGTTTGCCTCTCGTTTAGCCTCTCCTGCCAAACTTCCCACCATCGCATCTATCTGTTGCTTACTACGCGGCATCCCATCAAAGATGTCAATGTAGAGGTGCTCCTGAACTATGTTCCATATCTGATTGTTCTGTTTCTCCTGAAGATGCCTCTTCAAGAGTTGGTACGAGTCACGGGAAATACGCAGAACAAATTTACTTGTTCGAAAATCCAACATGGTCTCATTCCCTTTCATGTGTTCCTTTTTGGTAAGACTAGATAATACTCGTAGGTCATCCTGGTAATAACATTCCTGATCTCCATGGAACCTGTTTCAGTGATTTTAAAAAGTCATTTTTCAATGTAATCATTAAGGGATCTGCCTTTCCCCCATATACTTATAAACCATCCCAGAATATTTTCAATGTAGTAGTCTAAATAATCCTGAACTAAGCTGTAGGATAAGAAGTAACTCATTTCAAAATGACTATAATTCAGTTTCTGAATTTATTCTAAAAATGAACAAATGTAATTCTCTAATGAAATGTATCACAAACATTTTAAGAAAAGAACTTAAATATCCTAAGTGAAAAATAATATACCCACCATTGGTAGACAGTTTCTTTAGAATGGAGACATTTAAAAGAAACTGGTAGACATTTGAAAATATAAGAACCCTTGCTTTACTAAATGTTATGGTTTCTCAAAACCCACTTTTAAAAGTTTTATTATGAAAATTTCAAAGGCATAAAAAAGAGTATAATGAACTCAATGTACACAGTACTCAGCATCTCAACAATAATCAATATATAACATTCTCATAAAACCCATCATTTTTAATGATTTCCTATATTTATTGGAAACATGTACCAGACATTTTTAAAATATCAATACTTTAATATGATCACTAAACAACAAAGTGGAAGTACTCATTGTTTGGTATCAACAACTATTACCAAAGACAATAAAATAAAGCCTTTAGCCTTGATAACAACTAGTAAACTTAAATGTACTTTTGTTTTTACAACGCTTAATTTTCCTAAGAAAATAAAATTAAAGACAATATATTTGGCATTCACTAAAAACAGCAATCAATGCAAAAACATTTTTAAAACAATGACTAAACATATTAGGGCTCCAGCTCTGATAAGCACATAGTCAACAGATTTCTAAACTGTTAACTATGTTACCCCATTACAACTCATCAATATATGATCTAAGATTTGAATAAAATTAGAAATCTCAGCCTCTTATATCAGTAACTGCCCATTATCCTCCTGTGGTGATGGGGTCCTGGCAAGGGGTGAGACTGTCCATAATGGGAAGACAGAGAATCCCCTATGACGTTCCAGCTTCCTATGTGGGGAGACAGCTACACCATGAGACAGGAAGAGCAAAAAGGTTTTTCCTTCTTTTTTAGAGACAGGTTCTTGCTCTGAAGCCTAAGCTGGAGTGCAGTGGTTCAATGCAGCCTGAAACTCCTGGGTTCAGGGATTCCTCTTGCCTCAGTCTCCCGAGTAGCTAGGACTGCTGTGCCACCATACTCCACTAATTTTTGTTTACGCGATCTCAGCTCGCTGCAACCTCCACCTCCAGGGCTCAAGCAATTCTCATGCTTCAGCCTCCTGAGCAGCTGGGACTACAGGCACGTGCCACCATGGCTGGCTAATCTTTTGTATTTGAGTAGAGATGGGGTTTCACCATGTTGGCCAGGATGGTCTCGAACTCCTGAGCTCAGGCATTCTGCCCGCCTTGGCTTCTCAAAGTGTGGGATTACAGGCATGAGCCACCATGCCCGGCTCAATTTTTGTTTACTTTTTGTAGAAGCAGGATCTCGTTCTTTTGCCCAGGCTATGTTTTTGTTTTTTTAAGTGACAGTATCTATGTTGCCAAGGATGGAGTGTTTAGATGACAGTACTTTAAAGAGAAATTAGCTTCTAGGGTAGAAGTTCTGTCATCAGCCTTTCTTATTTTTTTTTTTTTCAAAAGCACTTGGCTACAGAACATTTTGCCTTATATACTTCCTATTAGGCATCCTAATATAATGAATTTACTATAATGGCATAGAAGCCAGGGGTGCTAAGTTCTACTGTTCCTCTATTACTACTACCCTGTGTTAAGTGATAAATCTTGACTTCAGGCTCTGTTGCTTGTATTAAACATTTCTCATTCAGGCCAGGCCCAGTGTCTCACACCTGTAATCCCAGCACTTTGGAAGGCCAAGGTGGGCAGATCACCTGAGGTCGGGAGTTCAAGACCAGCCTGACCAACATGAAGAAACCCTGTCTCTACTAAAAATACAAAATTAGCCAGGCATGGTGATGCATGCCTGTAATCCCAGCTACTTGGGAGGCTGAGGCAGGAGAATTGCTTGAACCTAGGAGGCGGAGGTTGCAGTGAGCCGAGATGGCGCCACTGCATGCCAGCCTGGGTGACAAGAGCAAAACTCCATCTCAAAAAAAAAAAATTATTCACACTGCTAAGCACGGCCTCCTTTTTTTTTTTTTGAGATAGACTTTCACTCTTCGCCAAGGCTGGAGTGTAATGGCGCAATCTCAGCTCACTGCAACCTCTGCCTCCCAGATTCAAGTGATTCTCCTGCCTCGGCCTCCCAAGCAGCTGGGATTACAAGTGTCTGCCACCACGCCCGGCTAATTTTTGTATTTTTAGTAGAGACAGGGTTTTGTTATGTTGGCCAGGCTGGTCTCAAACTCCTGACCTCAGGTGATCTGCCCACCTCAGCCTCCCAAAGTGCTGGGATTACAGGCATGAGCTACCACACCCAGCCTGCCTCCTTCTTAAATACTCCTTTCCCTTGGCTTCTATAACTCAGCCCTCCCCTGGTTTTCTTCCTGTGTATCTCTTCTACTTGGCCATTAAATTTGGAGCTCCTTGGGCCTAGCCCACTGACTGACTTATTTCATACTCTCCCCTAGTCAACCTCATCCATATCCATCAATATTGCACACAACTCCAATTAATAGTTCTAGTCCCTACCTCTGTTCTGAGCTCTCATATATCATCTACCTATCAACTTGACATTTCTTAAATGAGTCAAAGGCATATTCAAATCAGAACTCAAAATTATTCCAAGGCTGACAAATCAAGTCCTCTTCTAGGGTTTTCTGTGTCAGGAATTGGCTCCCCTATCCAGCTAGAACGGCCAGAAAACTGGAGATTTCAATGATATCTCCATCTCCCTCACCTCCCTAGCCAATCTATCAAGTGTCTCATGACTTTGTCTACTTCTCTTCACCTCCACCACAACCTAGTCCAGTGCTTCTCAATAAGGGTGCTATTAACATTTTGGGCAGGATAATTCTTTGTAAAGTGGGACTACCTAGGTGCACATATTAGAACATTTAGTATTCCTGCTCCTCCGCCCAGTCATTATGACAACCAAAAATGCCTCCACACATTTTCTTTTTTTTTTTTTTTTTTTTTGAGACAGGGTCTCACTCTTGTCATCTAGGCTAGAGTGCAGAGATGCAATCTCAGCTCACTGCAACCTCTATCTCCCAGGTTCAAGCGATTCTCCAGCCTCAGCCTCCCAAATAGCTGGGATTACAGGAGTGAGCTACCACACCCAGCTAATTTTTGCATTTTTTTGAAGAGACTAGGTCTCACCAGGCTGGTCTCAAACTCCTGAGGTCAAAGTGATCCACCCGCCTCAGCCTCCCAAAGTGCTGGGATTAAAGGCGTGAGCCGCAGCGCCGGGCCACCTCTACACATTTTCAAATGGTCTAGTGGAAGGAGCAATTCCACCTCCAGTTGAGAACCACTGCAATAACTTCCAAAACTTGTCCCTATAGTCATTCTATCCCCCATTTGTTTTCCCCACTGCATAAAGGTCCTTTCAAAGTATATATCTAATAACGACATGGTCCTTTAATGACTCTGTAGCAGAAATGACTCTGTAGCAAAAAGGCTTCGCTCTCCCCAAATATCCATTTTTCCTGTCTTCCTCCATAAAAGAAAACCTGAATATCAGCTGGGCACATAGACACTTAGGTAAAGACTACATTTCTTATTTCCCTTGTAGCTAGGTGTGGCCACTGACTGTTAAGATATAAAAGGAAGAAGTGTGTGCAGTTTCCGTGTGCCCTACCTGCTGACTGGCACACTGATGTGACTGCTTAGAGCAGGAAAACCATCTTATGCCACAAGGTGGAAATTGCATGAAAAGCATGAGAGAGCAACAAGACCGAGGGAGCTTGGGGCCCTGGTAATGAAGAACCCACCACACCAATCCCGAATGTCCCACATTTACGAGAAAAATAAACAAACTTTTATTGTATTTAAACCTCTGTTGTTTGGGTTCTCAGTTACTCTTATTCTAATCGAATCCTAACACTGCTTCCTAGTTTTCTTAAGATAAAGGCAAAAATAAACTTTTATTTATGCCATTGTTGATGAGTTTTCAGTGACTCTCAACCAAATCTAATCCTATCCAATACAACTCCCTACTGCTCTTAGGATAAACAAAGACCCTCAACATGGCCCAAAAACCTGCCTATCCTTTTTTTTCAATGCCTTCACTTTAACAATAGAACCTGCCTACTGTTCCAGTCCCTAACCAATTCCCAGCTTCATAGTATACCACACCCCCATCCCATTCTCTGCTCCAGCTACCCTGGCCATCTTTCAGCCTCTGTACCTACCAGGATCCTTCCCACCAGAGAGCTTTTACACATGCTTTTCCCTCTTCTCTTCATCTGGTTAACTCCTACCTAATCTTCAGATCTCAAATCTCACTTCAAGTATCATTTCCTCTGGAAGCCTTCTCTGACTTCTCCAGCTAGATCAAACCCCACATTTTAAGTTCTCATAGCCTCAGGTACCTCTCCTTCACAACGTACTTTTTAAGTTGCAGTCTTACATTTTTGTGGTTACAGATGTGAAAACATATGCACGCACACACACACACTACGTATGTGTGTATATATATATATGTAAAAATTTACATACTTCTCAAAGAATGACTTTGCTTCATTCTCATGTTGATTGTAGACTAGCTCCAAGTACATGTGCACAAACAGAGGATAAAAAAGTTGGGACAACTCTGCCCGATGGCAGTCCAGGGAACATTCAATGAAGTGTTTCAGTCCACTATAGTATTCTTCATACATTGTGGGATCTCCTTGTTGGTTGTAGGCTGACAACACGGCACTGACATCTGGCTGGTCTTCCACAGCAACACTTCCAACTATTTAAAAAACAAAAAACTTTTAAGAAAATGACCTATTATGACCATGTGACTATGGCTGTATTGTTAAAGCCCACAGGTGAGTTGTTTCTCAGACTGTTGTCTCTTTCTTCCCACTGTCTCTTCCTCAACACAATCACATAATCTTTTTTTTTTTTTTTTGAGAGGGAGTCTGGCTCTGTCGCCAGGCTGGAGGGCGGTGGGGAGATCTCGGCTCACTGCAACCTCCACCTCGCAGGCGAGTGTCTTGCCTCGGCCTCCCAAGTAGCTGGGACTACAAGCGTGTGCCACCATGCCCAGCTAATTTTCATATTTTCAGTAGAGACAGGGTTTCACCATGTTGGCCAGGATGGTCTTGATATCTTGACCTTGTGATCCTCCCGCCTCGGCCTCCCAAAGTGTTGGAATTACAGGCATGAGGCACCACACCTGGCCCACGTAGTCTTTTTTTTTTTTCTTTTTAAGATGGAGTTTCACTCTTGTCGCCCAGGCTGTAGTGCAATGCACAATCTCGGCTCACTGCAACCTCCCCATCTCGGGTTCAAGCGATTCTCCTGCCTCAGCCTCCTAAGTAGCTGGGATTACAGGCATGCACCACTATGCCCAGCTAATTTTTGTATTTTTAGTAGAGACGGGGTTTCACTATGTTGACCAGGCTAGTCTCAAACTCCTGACCACAAGTGATCCACCTGCCTCCCAAAGTGCTGGGATTACGAGTATGAGCCGCCGGGTGCGGTGGCTCCCGCCTGTAATCCCAGCACTTTGGGAGGCTGAGACAGGTGGATCACGAGGTCAGGAGATCGAGGCCATCCTGGCTAACACAGTGAAACCCCGTCTCTACTAAAAACACAAAAAATTAGCCAGGCGTGGTAGTGGGCGCCTGTAGTCCCAGCTACTCGGGAGGCTGAGGCAGGAGAATGGCATGAACTCGGGAGGTGGAGGATGCAGTGAGCCGAGATCGCGCCACTGCACTCCAGCCTGGGCGACAGAGCAAGACTCCATCTCAAAAAAAAAAGTACGAGCCACCGCGCCCAGCCATAATCTTTTAATGGAATTTTTTTCACTTGTTTCATCACCCAAACCGAAACCCATCAGCACACCCATATCTTAAGATAACAATAACAGGCCAACACGGTGGCTCACACCTGTAATCCCAGCACTTTGAGAGGCTGAGGCGGGCAGATCACAAGGTCAGAAGTTCAAGACCAGCCTGGCCAACATAGTGAAACCCCGTCTCTACTAAAAATACAAAAATTAGCTGGGTGTGATGAGACGTGCCTGTAATCCCAGCTACTCGGGAGGCAAAGGCATGAGAATCACTTGAACCCAGGAGGCAGAGGTTGTAGTGAGCCAAGATCGCTCCACTGCACTCCAGCCTGGTGACAGAGCAAGACTCCGTCTCAAAAAAAAAAAAAACAATAACAAGGAGTCAGTATTTCTCCTGGAACTACCTGATGTTAAAGACAAATTGTATAAAAGATATGTGCAAATCAAACAACTACATTAACTTTCTCTCAATGCTCTGTGCAAATGGCACCCACCACGACCAAGCCATGCACTGCAGTAACATTCCCAGCTCTCTGGGCCACCCAAGCACTGTGTAACATTCTTGTAACATATCCTATCCTGTGTTCCCTTCACATTATATACATCTCTTACCCCTTACAAAATGTAAGTACTTAAGGGTGGGAAGGACCATGCCTTATTTATATCTTCAAAAGATAGTTATATGCTTAAGACAATTTCCATAACCACCACTTCAAAACAGAAAACGTAAGTATTTATTGGTAATACAGCACCACCTAACAATACATCTGTCAATTAAATCAGTCAATTAATCTGTCAATTAAATCAGAATTTGGTTGTTGGAAATTTCTGTAAGTTGCCATTATAGTACACTTTGCTCTTTACTGCAGAAATGTGATAATTTCTTTGGTTACTCTGATGGCCTCTTTTCCTCCTTACTGATTTCTCAGTTATGATCTATAATTAGGTCAAGTTTCTGAAGAGATCTGAGATTACAGCAAAATAACCAACAATATAATTCATCTTATAGTTCATTCACAAAATTCAACATTCAAAAAAGATTCCTCTCTCTTTTTTTTTTTTTTTGTAAAGACGGAGTTTTGCTCTGTCACCCGTGCCAGAGCACAATGGCTTGATCTCAGCTCACTGCAACTTCTGCCGCCTGGGTTAAAGTGGTTCACCTGCCTCAGCCTCCTGAGTAGCTGGGGCAACAGGCACATGCCACCACGCCCAGCTAATTTTTTTGTATTTTTAGTAGAGATGGGGTTTCACCATGTTGGCCAAGCTGGTCTTGATCTCCTGACCTCAAGTGACCCACCCGCCTTGGCCTCCCAAAGTGCTGGGACTACAGGCGTGAGCCACCGAGCCCGGCCTTCAATCACATCTGCACACATTTCTATTTACGGATTACAATGAGGTATGAATACAATGCTATGTATGAATACTTCATTTCTGGCAATGCTGCAAAAATTAGGCCTCATACAGACTAATTTGGCTAAAAGCTCTGCACTGGGTAATTCAATAAACATTTATTGTTAGCTCAGGATCACCTTTGATACCTTATACGGTATATGAGTTTTACTGCATGGATTTGTGACAACAGTTGCTGGGAGAAAGGAGGGGCTCAGGTTTCAGGTACATACACAGAGGCATAAACTTATCCATACCAAACATTTTACATATAGATATTATAAGTGCCTCAAGTGGCCGGGCACGGTGGCTCACGCCTGTAATCCCAGCACTTTGGGAGACCAAGGCGGGTGGATCACAAGGTCAGGAGATCGAGACCATCCTGGCTACCACGGTGAAACCCCGTCTCTAATAAAAATACAAAAAAAATTAGCCAGGCATGGTGGCACGTGCCTGTGGTCCCACCTACTCGGGAGGCTGAGGCAGGAGAATCGCTTGAACCTGGGAGGCGGAGGTTGCAGTGAGCCAAGATCACACCACTGCACTCCAGCCTGGCCGACAGAGCGAGACTCAGTCAAAAAAAAAAAAAAAAAAAAGCCTCATAACCACTCATTTAATAGAGAGAGAAAATTCAACATGAGAATGACCTGCCTCCTGACAATATTAATGTAAAAAAAAAATTTTTTTTTTGAGACAGAGTCTCGTTCTATCACCCAGGTTGGAGTGCAGTGGCGCAATCTTGGCTCACTGCAACCTCAGCCTCCCGGGGTCAAGTGATTCTCCTGCCTCAGCCCCCCAAGTAGCTGGGATTACAGGCATGCGCCACCACGCCCGGCTAATTTTTGTATTTCTAGTAGAAAGGGGGTTTCGCCATGTCGGCCAGCCTGGTCTCAAACTCCTGACCTCAGGTGATCCACCCGCCTCAGCCTCCCAAAGTGCTGAGATTCACAGGCATGAGCCACGACGCCCGGCCAATACGAAGGTAAAAAAAATTAAAAACTAAAAAAATAATGACAATCAGCATCACACAAGTAAATGCAGCAAAGACAAAAAGGTCTGTCCAATGCCCATGCCTAAACACATGGCTCTCAAGCTGCCATATGTCAATACTCCTTAGAAGCACTTATTCAAAAGTGAAGATTCCCAGATTCCACCTCTAGAGGACCTGATTCACTAAGTCTGAAGTGATGCCCAGGAACCTGCATCCTCCAAAGACTTAACACTGGTGGTACTCAGCCCATATATATTTTTAAAATTTCAGCCGGGTGCGGTGGCTCATGCCTGTAATCCCAGCACTTTGGGACGCAGAGGTGGGTGCATCACGAGGTCAGGAATTCAAGACCAGCCTGACCAATATGGCGAAACCCCATCTCTACTAAAAATATATTTTTAAAAATTAGCCGGGCGTGGTGGCGCGTGCCAGTAGTCCCACCTATTCGGGAGGCTGAGGCAGGAGAATCGCTTAAATCTGGGAGGCAGAGGTTGCAGTGAGCTAAGATCACGCCACTGTACTCCAGCCTGGGCGACAGAGCAAGACTCCGTCTCAAAAAAAGAAAAAAAGAAAAAGAAAAAAAATTCAACTTTTAGCTGAGATTCAGGGGGTACATGATGTGCAGGACTGTTACAAGGGTATATTGTATGGCGGCCGGGCGCGGTGTCTCACGCCTGTAATCCCAGCACTGTAGGAGGCCGAGGCAGGTGGATCATCTGAGGTCAGGATTTCGAGACCAGCCTGACCAACATGGTGAAAGCCCGCCTCTACTAAAAATACAAAAATTAGCCGGCCGTGGCAGTAGGAGCCTGTAGTCCCACCTACGCGGGAGGCTGAGGCAGGAGAATTGCTTGAACCCGGGAGGCGGAGGTTGCAGTGAGCCAAGATTGCGCCACTGCACTCCAACCTGGGCAACAGAGCAAGTTTCCGTCTCAAAAAAAAAAAAAATCTATAAAGTATTTATCAACACATCTTTTAAGAGGAACTAAAGAAATAAAGAGAAAATAAAGTACTTACAGTACTTAAAGTACGCTAGTACGAAACT
The DNA here is from genome assembly GCF_000001405.40 of Homo sapiens. NCBI lineage: Eukaryota > Metazoa > Chordata > Mammalia > Primates > Hominidae > Homo > Homo sapiens. The sequence goes on along the minus strand of NC_000010.11, from coordinate 103,368,885 downwards.
GTACAAACACTGTTAGTGTCATGCGGACCTGCCCAAGGCTCAAAAGCCCAAATGAAAGGAAAGGGACCAAGAGCGTGAAGATCCCGCCTCTCCGCGCTCACCTTCCCCATACATCCCTCTGCTCAACAGCTCTCCTCAGCTTCTCACTGGAACTGACAGCTCGGAAGGGGGTTTGACTGCGCAGCCCGCGCACTAGAGAAAGGGGCGGGCATGTGGCCCTAGAGGCGGGCCCAGGAAATTCAAAACAAGCCCGCAGAGGTGCAGGCCTGCCAGCCCCTGCCTTACCGGCTTGCTCCCCTTCGCGGCGGCCGTACCTACCCGGGACCCCACGGCTCACCTTTACCCGGAGCCGCAGGACCTGAGGCTGAACCTGAGACGACCGTGGCCCCCGAAGCGCCAGTGCCCGGAGGGTCGGGGGCCGCAGGGCCAGGGGCCGAGGCGGTCACCCGGCTGAGAAGCGCGCTGGTCACCTCAGCGCCGGCGCTGTCCACCTCTCCCGGGGCTCCGGAGCCCGCCACTGCCTCCTCCAGCAGCCCGGCCTCACGGCGCAGCGCCTCTTCGGCCTCGCGGAGTTTGCTCTGCCGTAGGAACTGCAGCACGGCCAGTAGAGTCTGTCGGTCATGCGGAGCGCCGGCGTCCGGAGCAGCGGCGGGCACCGGGGCCGCCCCCGCCGGGGCAGCGGCGGAGACAGCCACCGTGGGCTTGGGGGTCCCGCCATCCCCGCCAGTGGACGACGACGCCGCAACGTTCCCGCCGCCGCCGTTGGGGCCGTTGTTGGTAGTGCCGCCGCTACCCTCGCCTGCGCCGTCCCCCGCCTGCGGAGGTAGCAGCGTTGGCGGTCCCTCAGGCTCTAGCTTGACCGCCACCTCCGTCTGCTCCTCCGCCAGCGCCGCCATCTTGCGGCTGAGCCACCTCGCGCCGTCAAGCGTGATTGCATTTTCGCCACATGGAGGGCGGGGAGGAGCATTTCACGACAACTCTAGTAGGCCATTTACGGCAGTAGGAGGAGCGAAAAGGAAGGAGAAACGGAATAGGAAAGAGAGCAACTTTCAAAACCGAGCGAAAGAAAGGCAGGAAGTGGGCATTGGTGACCACCTATTACATTTGCCTGAGAATAATTGCCATTTATTGCAGGCCAGCTATATTTAGGCATTATGATAGATGTTTTACATTATGTGATCTCCTTCAATTCAATAATCTTTTTCTTTTTTCTTTTTTTTTTTTTTGAGACGGAGTTTCGCTCTTGTCGCCCAGGCTGTTAAGCGATTCTCCTGCCTCAGCCTCCCCAGTAGCTAGGATTACAGGCATGCGCCACCACGCCCTGCTACAATTAAATAATCTTATGAGGTAATATTATCCCCACCTCGCAGATGGCTCAGTTGAAACCAAGAGAGGTTAAATAACTTACCAGAGGCAAGAAGAAAGTCCAAATGTCAACATTCGAATCCACGTATTTAACTCAAAAACATATACCATTTGCCAGAGGGAGGCTTCCGAGATACTGGTAGTTTTACATTTTGACCTGAATAGTGCTTACTTTTTTTTTTTTTTTGTCATTTTTACTTTTGTAAAAGTTAATCGAGCTGCATGCATTACATTACATTTATTTATTTATTTAACTTTTGAGACGGAGTGTCGCTCTGTCGCCCAGGCTGGAGTGCAGTGGCCCGATCTCAGCTCACTGCAATCTCTGCCTCCTGGGTTCAAGCGATTCTCCTGCCTGAGCCTCCCGAGTAGCTGGGATTACAGACGTGTGCCACCACGCCCGGCTAATTTTTGTATTTTCAGTAGAGACAGGGTTTCGCCATGTTGGCGAGGCTGGTCTCCAACTCCTGACCTCAGGTGATCCACCGGCCTCAGCCTCCCAAAGTGCTGGGATTACAGGCGTGAACCACTGCGCCTGGCCCGTATACATTACATTTCAATAAAAAGTTTTTAACGCCAGGTGCGGTGGCTCACGCCTGTAACCCCAGCACTTTGGGAGGCCGAGGCGGGCGGATCATGAGATCAGGAATTAGAGACCAGCCTGACCAACACGGCAAAACCCCGCCTCTACTAAAAATACAAAAAATTAGCCAGGCATGGTGGTGCGCCCCTGTAATCCCAGCTACTCGGGAGGCTGAGACAGAAGAAGAGCTTGAACCCGGGAGACGGAGGTTGCAGTGAGCCGAGATCCCGCCACTGCACTCCAGCCTGCGCGACAGTACGAGACTCCGTCTCAAAAAAAAAGTTTTTAAATACCAGAATGTTGTGGTTGTGAAATATGTACGTTATGTATTCATGCTATTATCCGTTATTACAAATAAACCATTTTAATTGTATATTTAAAAATCATGGCCACACGCAGTGGCACATACCTGTAGTCCCAGCACTTTGGGAGGCCGAGGCGGGTGGATCACCCGAGGTCAGGAGTTCGAGACCAGCCTAGCTAACATGATGAAACGCCATCTCTACTAAAAATATAAAAATTTAGCCAGGTGTGGTGGCGGGCACCTGTAATCCCAGCTACTCGGGAGGCTGAAACAGAGGAATCACCTGAACCCAGGAGGCGGAGGTTGCAGTGAGCCGAGATCGCACCATTGCACTTCAGCCTGGGCAGCAAGAACAAAACTCCGTCTCAGGAAAAAAAAAAAAAAAAAAAAAAATCATATATGCCATTTTGCAATGTGCTTCATAGGTTATAAAACCCTCCTGCATATTTTATCTCATTGGAAACTTGTAACTCTGTGGAATAGGTACAGACGAGAAAAGTGAGCCTGAGACATTGGGAAAATCTAGCACAGCCGTTCAAGTTATTGGTTTTGAGGTCTTACCAGCGTCCTTTGACCCTGCTTACTTTTAAAAAATATTTTATTTTATTAATTAGAGATCTGAAGCCTTACTATATTGCCTAGGCTGGCCTTGAACTCCTGGGCTCAAGCAGTCTCTCACCTCAGCCTCCCAAGTAGCTGAGACTACAGGCACAGACCACCTGGCTTGACCTTGCTTACTGGCTGAATAACCTGGAGCAAGTTACTTAATTTACTATGTCCCAGTTGCCTAATTTTTTTTTTTTTTTTTTGAAACGGAGTTTCACTCTTGTTGCCCAGGCTGGAGTGCAATGGCGCCATGTCGGCTCACTGCAACCTCCACCACTCAGGTTTAAGCAATTATTCTGCCTCAGCCTCCCGAGTAGCTGGGATTACAGGCATGTGCCACATCAGGCCCAGCTAATTTTGTATTTTTAGTAGAGACAGGGTTTCTCCATGTTGGTTAGGCTGGTCTCGATCTCCCGAACTTAGGTGGTCCACCTGCCTCGGCCTCCCACAGTGCTGGGATTACAGGCGTGAGCCACCACGCCTGGCCCCAGTTGCCCAATTTCTAACAAAAAAATAATAGTAGTTACGTCATAGTGTTTTGAGAATTAAATGAGGTAATGCATATGCAATACCTAGTATGTAATAAATAACCATTGGTTATTTCTACTTCACTTTAAAAGGTGTTCTGTAAATGTTTGATTAAGAAAGTGCAAGCATAATGTTCAAAAGTGATCCCGAGACTGAAATGCAAAGCTAATCTAGGGATAGGGGTGGCGGCTCATGCCTGTAATCCCAGCACTTTAGGAGCTGAGATGAAGGTTGCAGTGAGCCGAGATTGTGCCATTGCACTCCAGCCTGGGCCACAGAGCGAGACTCCAGCTCAAAAAAATAAATAAATAAATAAATAAAATAAAATACTGAGTGTGACCCATTAAATTGATCTTAACTGAATTAATTTTTTTTCTTTTTTTTTTTTTCTTTTTTTTTGAGACGGAGTCTCACTCTGTCGCCCAGGCTGGAGTGCAGTGGCCGGATCTCAGCTCACTGCAAGCTCCACCTCCTGGATTTAGGCCATTCTCCTGCCTCAGCCTCCCGAGTAGCTGAGACTACAGGCGCCCACCACCATGCCTGGCTAATTTTTTGTATTTTCAGTAGAGATAGGGTTTCACCGTGTTAGCCAGGATGGTCTCGATCTCCTGACCTCGTGATCCGCCCGCCTCGGCCTCCCAAAGTGCTGGGATTACTGGCGTGAGCCACCGCGCCCGGCCTGAATTAATTTTTTTTCAATCTCAGCTCACTGCAAATTCCACCTCCCAGGTTCAAGTGATTCTCATGCCTCAGCCTCCCGAGTAGCTGGGATTACAGGTGTGCACTACCATGCCCAACTAATTTTTATATTTTTAGTAGAGATGCGGTTTTGTCATGTTGGCCAGGCTGGTCTCAACCTCCTGACCTTAAGTGATCTTCCCGCCTCAGCCTCCCAAACTCCTGGGATTACAGGAATGAGCCACCGCACCTGGTTAACCCTGTGTTTAAAAAATAATAATAGTAATAATTCTATAACCCCTCACACTTTCTTTTTCTTTTTTTTTTTTTTGAGACGGAGTCTTGCTCTGTCGCCCAGGCTGGAGTGCAGTGGTGTGATCTCGGCTCACTGCAACCTCCGCCTCCCAGGTTCAAGCAATTCTCCTGCCTCAGCTTCCCAAGTAGCTGGGACTACAGTCGTGCACCATCATACCTAGCTAATTTTTGTATTTTTAGTAGAGACAGGGTTTCACCATGCTAGCCAGGCTGGTCTCAAACTCCTGACCTCGTGATCCACCTGCCTCGGCCTCCAAAAGTGCTGGGATTACAGGCGTGAGCCACTGCGCCCGGCATAACCCCTCACACTTTCACACACTAGTTTTAGCATCCATTGCTGAATTTTTTTTTTTTGCGTCAGTTATTAATACCATGGTTACCAATTGGTGCTTTTCTAATTTCATCATTTCTCCTACACTTATTAGTTGGTTTTCTAATGGAAGGAAGAAATTTTCCATCTCTTGGTTGGGCACAGTGGCTCACGCCTGTAATCCCTGTACTTTGGGAGGCTGAGGCCGGGGTGGGGGTCACTTGATGTCAGGAGTTTGAGAATAGCCTGGCTAACATGGTGAAACCCCATCGCTACTAAAAAAAAAAAAAAAAAAAAGCCTGGCATGGTGGCTCACGCCAGTAATCCCAGCTACTTGGGAGGCTGAGAGGAGAATCATTTGAACCCAAGAGGCGAGGTTGCAGTGAGCCGCCATCATGCCACTGCACTCCAGCCTGGGTGACAGAGGAGACTCTGTCTCAAAAAAAATAATAATTTTCTGTCTCCCTATTTATTTATTCACACAGTTACTATCAACATTTTTATTTTGATATTGTCACAAATTTGATCATTAGGATCTCCTTCAAACTGGCTCCTGTATTTCTTTGACATGGCCACATAATTGTTTGAGCACTTCCTTCTTAATTTCTAGCACAATGAGACATTCTACACTCCCTTTATATTGTCCCAGGCTAGAGTACAGTGGCACATTCATGGCTCACAGCAGCCTCGACCTCCCTGGGCTCAGGTGATCCTCCCACCTCAGCCTCCCAGGTAGCTGAGACCACAGGCATGTGCCACCATGCCTGGCTAACTTTTGTGTTTTTTGTAGAGATGGGGTTTTGACACGTTGCCCAAGCTGGTCTCAAACTCCTGAGCTCAAGTGATCCACCTACCTTGGCCTCCCAAAGTGCTGGGAATACAGGCATGAGCCACCGTGCCTGGCAAGTTCCTTTTATTGGTATTAGAAACCAAGACCAGAGTGTGAGGTATGTAATTGCTTCTAGGCCCTCTCAGCAGATAGTGCTGAGAAATGTACATACATCTACATGTACATATCTATCTATATCCATTTATCTTTATCCTTAAGTTCACCTTAAATGTCTCCAATTCTAATCTAGTAAAGCAGAATTTATTCTATCCATTCCCTTTTCTGTATTTTTGACACCCTTTTCCAATAGTGAGAATTCTGTCATTGTTCACAACATATTTACTTACTTGCTCAATCCTAGGATGTAGAGAAAGTGGCTTCAGAATTGCTAACCTATGTCTCTTTTAAAAAAGAAGTGTACTAATTAGATTCAATAATTTTTAGAATGCTGGCAGTTCTAGCTTTGCACAATAGTCTGGGGCCATAAAAAATAAGTGTGCTGGCCAAGTGCAGTGGCTCACGCCTGTAATCCCAGCACTTTGGGAAGCTGAGGCAGGCGGATCACCTGAGTAGAGGAATTTGAGACCAGCTGGCTAACATGGTGAAAACCCATCTCCACTAAAAATACAAAAATTAGCCAGGCATGGTGGCGGGCACCTGTAATCCCAGCTACTTGGGAAACTGAGGCAAGAGAATCACTTGAACCTGGGAGACAGAGGCTGCAGTAAGACAAGATTGCTCCACTGCACTTCAGCCTGGGTGACAGAGCAAGACTCCATCTCAAAAAAAAAAAGTTTGCAAGTGGAAACCATGCAAAGTGATATTAATAATCAATGTTAACATTGCTCTGTGACCTTCAAAAAATGTGAAAATATTCAACAGTCTCTTACTGTTGGGTGTAAATGTATAGAAAAATGAAAAACAGGCCAGGCATGGTGGCTCACGCCTGTAATCCCAGCACTTTGGGAGGCAGAGGCAGGTGGATCAGGAGATGACGAGATCAAGCCCATCCTGGACAACATGGTGAAACTCTGTCTCTACTAAAATACAAAAAATTAGCTGAGCATGGTGGCGTGCACCTGTACTTCCAGCTACTGCAGAGGCTGAGGCAGGGGAATTGCTTGAACCTGGGAAGTGGAGGTTGCAGTGAGCCGAGATCGAGCCACTGCACTCTAGTCTGATGACAGGGCAAGACTCTGTCTCAAAAAAAAAACAAAAATGAAAAACATAGTAAAACTAATATTTATTTGGTACACTGTAACTTAAAATATTAGAAACATTGAGGATTGGCTGGGTGCTGTGGCTCATGCCTGTAATCCCAGCACTTTGGGAGGCCGAGGCGGGTGGATCACGAGGTCAGGAGTTCAAGACCAGCCTGGCCAAGATGGTAAAACCCCTTCTCTACTAAAAATACAAAAGTAGCCGGGCGCAGTGGCAGGCACCTGTAATCCCAGCTACTTGGGAGGCTGAGGCAGGAGAATCGGTTGAACCTGGGCGGCAGAGGTGGCAGTGAAGCAATATTGCGCCACTGCACTCCGGCCTGGGTGATAGAGTGAGACTCCGTCTCAAAAAAAAAAAAAAAAGAAACATTGAGGATTAAAGTGCTTCATTTCTTTGTTAAAAATTCATCAAGAATAATAGGAGTCCAAAAGGCTTATTGGAAAAAAAAAAACTCATTACGAATAGTTTGAATAGTGCTTGCCTTCTTCTCTTATAATTTACAGTATAGTGATAGTGTGTTTTTCGTTCCTTAGCAAATTGTCGTACTCCTTTCTAAGTTTGCATTTTTTTTCTTTTGTGCTTTCAATGTTGTGAAATGTCTCTGAGACCTCGTATTTAATGCAAAGGTTTTTTTGCTGGCAACACTTCCTCTGGGATATCTTCATCCTTTTAATAACAACAAATTTCATCATTTATGTCAATAAATTTGCCATTTATGGGTGATTGAAATTTGACTTCCAACACTTTTCCTTTCGTTACTACACTTTCATGTTTGTTCATTAATTCTTTCTTCTGATTATTTATTTGTTTGTTTTGAGACAGGGTCTCACTCTGTTGTCTGGGCTTGAGTGCAAGGTGTAATTGTGTCTCACTACAGGCTCAACCTCCTAGGCTCAAGGGATCCTCCTACCTCAGCCTCCCAAGTAGCTGGGACTACAGGCTCGAGCCACCACACCTGGCTAATTTTTGTATTTTTTATAGAGACAGGGTTTCACTATGTTGCCCAGGCTGGTCTTGAACTCCTGGGCTCAAATGATCCACCCGCCCGCCTCAGCCTCCCACAGTGCTGGGATTACGGGCATGAGCCATTGTGCCAGCCTGATTATTCATTTTTATAAAATGTCATGTGAGTCACTGGCAGACAAGGAGACAAGACAACTACAACTGAATAAGGTAAGTACAATGACCAATCACCAGCTGACTTTGAAAGAAGTAAGATGCCTGGCGCAGTGGCTCATGCCTGTAATCGCAGCACTTTGGGAGGCCTAGGCGCAGGGATCACCTGAGGTCAGCAGTTCGAGACCAGCGTGACCAACATGGAGAAACCCCGTCTCTACTGAAAATACAAAATTAGCCGGGCATAGTGGCACATGCCTGTAATCCCAGCTACTCAGGAGGCTGAGGCAAGAGAATTGCTTGAACCCGGGAGGCGGAGGTTATGGTGAGCTGAGATCGTGCCATTGCACTCCAGCCTGGGCAACAAGAGCAAAACTCCATCTCAAAAAAAAAAAAAAAAGAAAGAAAAGAAAGAACTGAGATGATGGTTACCGATCACCAGGTGTCTCTTGTTTACTTAGAGATTTGTGGACTGAAGAGCTAGTAGCAAAGTTTATACTTTATGCAATTACAGTTAATATACTATGGTAACTACCTTTGAACCATGTTATTGTTGGACTGATGTTATTTAATTAAACTGTGGTAATTGAAATTCATACATGTCGGAACTGAACAAAGCAAGAACCTTCTGTATTTTTTGTGTTTAGCCTATGGATATATAGTCCAAATCCTATGCTGAAAAGTAATTTGGGTTAGTTCTTCCCCACCCCATCCTTCACGGTGGTTATCTTAATCATTTGAAGCACGGTTTGATTAATTTATTTCTCTTTGTATTCTATATATATATATATATATATATATATATATATTTTTTTTTTTTTTTTTTTTTTTTTTTTTTTTTTTGAGATGGTGTCTCGCTGTTGCCCAAGCTGGAGTGCAGTGGCGCAATCTCGGCTCACTGCAGGCTCCGCCCCCCTGGGGTTCACGCCATTCTCCTGCCTCAGCCTCTGGAGCAGCTGGGACTACAGGTGCCCGCCACTTCGCCTGGCTAATTTTTTGTATTTTTAGTAGAGACGGGGTGTCACTGTGTTAGCCAGGATGGTCTCGATCTCCTGACCTCATGATCCGCCCGCCTCGGCCTCCCAAAGTGCTGGGATTACAGGCGTGAGCCACCACGCCCGGCTGTGTTCAATTTTAGAAGGTTTCCCATCTTATTTTTAAATATAAAATTCAGAACTATGCAAAAAAGTATATTCAGGGAAGTGTCATACCCATTCCTTCTATCCTTTGTTCCACCCCATTCTAACCACACCTTTTTATCCTTTCTGTTTCTTTTTCAAATGTGCAGATAAGGTACAGTATATTTTCTTCTTTCTCTTTCTTTTCTTTTTATTTATTTATTTATTTATTTATTTATTTATTTATTTATTTATTTTTTGAGACAGAGTCTCACCTCTGTCGCCCAGGCTGGAGTGCAATGGCATTATCTTGGCTCACTGCAACCTCCGCCTCCCAGGTTCATGCGATTATCCTGCCTCAGCCTCCTGAGTAGCTGGGATTACAGGCACCTACCACCACGCCCAGCTAATTTTTGCATTTTTAGTAGAGACGGGGTTTCACCACGTTGGCCAGGCTGGTCTCGAATTCCTGACCTCAAATGATCCACCCGCCTCAGCCTCCCAAAGTGCTGGGATTACAGGCATGAGCCACCACGCCTGGCCTTTCTTTCTTTCTTTTTTTTTTTTTTTGAGATGGAGTTTCGCTCTTATTGCCCAGGCTGGAGTGCAATGGCACGATCTCAGCTCACCACAACCTCCGCCTCCCAGGTTCAAGCAATGCTCCCGCTGTAGCCTCCCAAGTAGCTGAGATTACAGGCGCACACCACCACGCCCGGCTATTTTTTGTATTTTTAGTAGAGATGGGGTTTCACCATGTTGGTCAGGCTGGTCTCGAACTCCTGACCTCGTGATCCGCCCGCCTCAGCCTCCCAAAGTGCTGGGATTACAGGCATGAGCCACCATGCCCGGCCAGCCTCTCTTTCTTAAACAAAAGGTGGCATACTATAGATCCTCTTTTTTTTTTTTGAGATGGAGTCTCGATCTCGCTCTGTCGCCCAGCCTACAGTGCAATGGCGTGATCTCAGCTCACTGCAACCTCCGTCTCCTGGCTCCAAGCAATTCTTCTGCCTCAGCCTCCTGAGTAGCTGGGATTACAGGCACACATCACCACACTCGGCTAATTTTTGTATTTTTAGTAGAGACGGGGTTTCATCATATTGGTCAGGCTGGTCTCAAACTCCTGACCTCATGATTCACCCACCTTGGCCTCCCAAAGTGCTGGGATTACAGGCGAGAGCCACCACACCCGACAGGTCCTCTTTTTTAAGTTGCTCTTTTTCACTTAACCATGTATCCTGGAAATCGGCCAGGCGAGGTGGCACACGCCTGTAATCCCAGCACTTTGGGAGGCCGAGGCGGGTGTATCACCTGAGGTCAGGAGTTCAAGACCAGCCTGACCAACATGGTGAAACCCTGTCTCTATTAAATACAAAAAACTAGCTGGGTGTGGTGACACATGCCTGTAATCCCAGCTACTTGGGAGGCTGAGGCAGGAGAATTGCTTGAACCCAGGGAGACAGAGGTTGCAGTGAGCCGAGATTATACCATTCCACTCCAGACTGGGCAACAGGAGCGAAACTCCGTCTCAAAAAAAAAAAAAATGTATCCTGGAAATCGTAACTGTCTTTAGAGAAATTCCTCATTCTTTTCTTTTTTTAGCATTGCACAGTACTCTATCTTGTGGATGTTCAATTGTTTATTTAACTACTCTCCTATGTATGGCCATTTAGTTTCCAGAATTGTGTAATTACCAACAGTGCTGCATTAAATAACCTTTTGTGTATGTATTTTTATATTGTTGGATTGTATCTTCAGAATAAATTCCCAGAAGAGTGATCACTAGGTGAAAAGATAAGTGGACATTTTGTTTTCCCAGGTGTTGCAGAATTCCCCTTCATAAAGTTTGTATCAATTTGCAATCCTGTCAGCAATGTGTGAGAGTGACTATTTCCTCACAGCCTCATCAACAGAGTGAATTGTTACTTCCTAAATTTTTGCCATTCTGATAGGTGAGAAATGGTATCTCAGTATGGTTTATTATTATTGTCATTATCATCATTTAATTTACATGTAATAAAGTTGAACTTTTTTGATGTACTTTTGTGAGTTTTAACACATCTTATAGATTTTTATTTTATTTTTGAGACGGGGCCTGGCTCTGTCACCTAAGCTGGGGTGCAGTGGCACAATTATGGCTCACTGCAGACTCCACCTCGTGGGCTTAAGCAAACCTCCCACCTCAGCGTACCCTCCCATTATCCCTTCCCCAGTAGTTGAGTCTACAGGCGAGTGCTACCACGCCCAGTTAATCTTTTATTTTTTGTATTCTTTTTAGAGACAGGGTTTTGCCATGTTACCCAGCCTGGTCTTGAATTCCAGAGCCCAAGTGACCCACCCGCCTCAGCCTAACAAAGTTATTTATTTATTTTAGAGACAGACTGTCACTCTGTTGCCCAGTCTAGAGTGCAGTGGCAGGATCTTGGCTCACTGCAGCCCCGACCTCTCTGACTCAAGCAATCCTCCCACCTCAGCCTCCCAAGTAGCTGGGACTACAGGCACAGGCCATAACACCTGGTTAATTTTTGTATTTTTTATACAGATGTGGTTTTACCATGTTGCCCAAGGTGGGGCTTTGTCTTTGTAGTGTTTTCCTGGCTATTGTTGCATATTTTTTTTTCTATCACGTATCATAGATGTATTGAAGTTTAAAATCAACATGTCTGTTTCCATGAAAAAGCTTGTATCTATTTGGCATTTTTTCTTTTCTGTTCTTTTTTTTTTTTTTTTTTTTTTTTTTGAGATGGAATATTGCTCTGTCGCCCAGGCTGGAGTGCAGTGGCACGATCTTGGCTCACTGCAACCTCCGCCTCCCAGGTTCAAGCAGTTCTCCTGCCTCAGCCTCCCAAGTAGCTGGGGCTACAGGCGCATGCCACCATGCTCGGCTAATTTTTTGTATTTTAGTAGAGACAGGGTTTCACTGGGTTGCCCAGGCTGGTCTCGAACTCCTGAGCTCAGGCAATCCACCTGCCTTGGCCTCCCAAAATGCTAGGATTACAGGCGTGAGGACCACACTCAGCTATTTGGCTTTATTTCTTTTGATAATTTTCATTTATTTTCCAATTTTTAAATGTGTGTGTGTGTGTGTGTGTGTGTGTGTGTGTGTGTGTGTGTGTGTGTGTGTGATCATGGTCTCTCTCTGTCACCCAGGCTGGAGTGCTGGAGTGCTAGGTGCAGTGATGCTGTCATAGCTCATTGCAGCCTGGAATACCTGGGCTTAAGCAATCCTACGCCTCAGCCTCCTGAGTCACTGGGATCACAGGTGTGAGCCATCCTGCCTGTCTAAAGTTGTACATATTTTTAAGTTTCTTGTTATATGTTAACTAATTTCTTTCTTTTCATTTTTATTTTTAATTTTTTTTCAGACAGGATCTCACTCTGTTGCCCAGGCTGGAGTGCAGTGGCATGATCACAGCTCACTGCAGCCTTGACCTCCTGGGCTCAGTGATCCTCCCACCTCAGCCTCCCAGGTAGCTGGGACTACATGCACGTGCTACTACTGTGGGCAATTTTAAATGTTTTTTATTTTTGTGGAGACGGGATCTCACTATGTTGCCAGGGTGGTCTGGAACTCCTGGGGTCAAGCAATCCTCCTGCCTTGGCCTTTCAAAGTTCTGGGATTACAGGCATGGACCAACACACCAGCCTAATTGCTTTCTTTAAGGTTGTACAGATTACACTGTCAACAGCAATAAAAAAAGGCCTATTTTCACTAAAATAATAACTTGACAATTTCAACATGTGGCCAAAATACAAATGTTTCTACCTTATGACCCACGAATTCCACAGCTAGAAGTATGGAAGTAATTATCAGGTATGCGCTGGCTTTCACAGGGTTGTCCTCTGAAGAATATGATGGTGTAATACCAGGTATTTTAGAAAGTGTAAGTGTGTTCAAGTCCATGAACGGGGATTATGGGAAAGGACTTCAATATTTTATTTTATATACTTTCTCATGTTGTTTTAATTTTTTGTTTTTGTTGTTCTGATAGAGTTTCTCTCTTGTTGCCCAGGCTGGAATGCAATGGCACGATCTCAGCTCACTGCAACCTCTGCCTCCCGGGTTCAAGCGATTCCCGTGCCTCGGCCTCCTGAGTAGCTGGGATTACAGGCATGCGCCACCATGCCTGGCTAATTTTTTGTATTTTTAGTAGAGATAGTGTTTCACCACGTTGTCCAGGCTGGTCCCAAACTCTTGACCTAAGGTGATCCACTCACCTCAGCCTCCCAAAGTGCTAGGATTACAGGCGTGAGCCACTGCGCCCAGCCTTAATTCTTTATCATATGTATTACTTTATATTGTGGTACAATATATCTAAAACATAGAATTTACCACTTTAGCCATATTTAATGTACAGTTCAGTGTCATTAAGTACATTCACACTGTTGCACAGCCATCACCACCCTCCATCTCCAGATTCTTTTCGTCTTCCCAAACTGAAACTCCAAACCCGTAAAACAGAAACTCTCCATTCCTCCTCTGCCCAGCTCCTGGTAACCAGGATTTTACTTTCTGCCTGTATGACCTTAACCACCCTAGGTATCGCATATAAGTGGAATCATATAGTATTTGTCTTTTTTTTTTTTTTTTTGAGGTGGAGTCTCACTCTGTTGCCCAGGCTGAAGTGTAGTGGTGTGATCTTGGCTGGGATTACAGGCTCATGCCAACATGTCTGGCTAATTTATATATATAATTATTTTATTTTATTTTATTTTGAGATGGAGTTTCACTCTTGTTGCCCAGGCTAGAGTACAATGGCGCGATCTCGGCTCACTGCAACCTCCTCCTCCCGAGTTCAAGCGATTCTCCTGTCTCAGCCTCCCAAGTAGCTGGGATTAGAGGTGTGTACCACCACGCCTAGCTAATTTTGTATTTTTAGTAGAGACAGGGTTTCATCATATTGGTCAGGCTGGTCTCGAACTCCAGACCTCAGGTGATCTGCCCGCCTTGGCCTCCCAAAGTGCTGGGATTACAGGCGTGAACCATCTCCTCCGGCCTATTTTTTATATTTTTGGTAGAGACAGGATTTCACCATGTTGGCCAGGCTGGTCTCAAACTCCTGACCTCAAGTGATCTGCCCGCCTCTACTTCCCAAAGTACTAGGATTACAGACATGAGTAGCCTCCTTGTGGTTTTGATTTGCATTTCTTTAATGATTAGTGATACTTAGCAGTTTTTCATATGCTGATTGGCCATTGCTGCTGCTTTTTTTTTTTTTTTTTTTTTTGAGACAGTCTTGCTCTGTCGCCCAGGCTGGAGGGCAGTGGCATGATCTTGGCTTACTGCAAACTCTGCCTCCTGGGTTCAAGTGATTCTCCTGTCTCAGCCTCCTGAGTAGCTGGGACTACAAGCGCATGCCACCATGCCCGGCTAATTTTTGTATTTTTAGTAGAGACAGGGTTTCACCATGTTGGCCAGACTGGTCTCAAACTCCTGACCTCAAGTGATCCGCCAGCCCACCTTAGCCTCCCAAAGTGCTGGGATTATGGACGTGAGCCACTGCGCCTGGCCCATTGCTTCATTTTTTATGAAATAATAAAATGTGGCTAAATAATATTCCACTGAGTGGATCAATGAGATTTTATTTACCCATTATCAGTTGATGGATATTGGAGTTCATTCTAATTATTTGTTACTATGAATAATGTTGGTATGAGCATTCATGTAAGAGTTCTTGTGTGAACATATGTTTTAATTTTTCTTTATATACCTAGGAGTGGAATTGCTGGCTCACATGGTAACTTTATGTTCAACCTTTTGAGAACTGCCAGAATGTTTCTCAAAGTTGCTGCACCATTTGACATTCTCACCAGCTATGTGTGAGGGTTCCCATTTCTCTACAACCTCCACAAAACTTTTTATTATCTGTTTATTATTATAGCCATCCTAATGGGTGAAGTAGGCCGGGCACAGTGGCTCACACCTGTAATCCCAGCACTTTGGGAGGTAGAGGCAGATGGATCACTTGAGGTCAGGAGCTCGAGACCAGCTTGACCAACATGGCAAAACCACATGTCTACAAAAAATAGCTGGGTGTGGTGGCATACTTCTGTAGTCCTAGCTACTGAGAGGCCAAGGCACGAGAACTGCTTGAAGCCAGGAGTCAGTGGTGGCAGTGAGACGAGATCATGCCACTGCACTCTGGCCTGGGCAACAGAGCGAGACTCTGTCTCAAAAAAAAAAAAAAAAAAACCTAATAGGGTGAACTAGCATATTATTGTAATTTTGATTTGCATTTCCCTGAAGACTTATGATGTTGACCATCTTTTCTTATGCTTATTGATATAGTCTCTTTGGAAAAATGTTTATTCAGATTCTTTGTCCATTTTGAAATTGGATTGCATGTTTTGTTTTTGTTTTTGAGATGAGCTGTCACTGTGTTGCCCAGGCTGTTCTTGAACTCTGACTATGTGGAATTACTGTAGAGCTCCACCAACATCCACTTGAGGCACTCTTTTTCAATACTATAGTCGTTTTTATTTCCAGCCCTCTGGAGTCTACACCTCCTCCATGTTTTAGAAGACATTTTCTTCCTTCCATTCCTTCTTGGGTCTTGCAGACTTCAGTATCTCAAACTTGACCAGACGTTGGGACTGGAGAAGGAGAGGTGGGGTCTGGTCCAGAAGCAATGGGAATACTTAACTTGGTTCACTGTTCCCCAAGGAAACACCATGACTTGATTTCCTCATCAATTCCCTAGACAACACATTCAGCATTTTCTTTTTTTTGTTGTTGTTAGACCGGGTCTCGCTCTGGCGCCCAGGCTGGCAATGAGCTACCACCCCTGGCACACATTCAGCTATTTTATTTTATTTTATTGTATTTTAATTTTTTGAGACGGAGTCTCACTCTGTCGCCCAGGCTGGGGTGCAGTGGTGCGATCTCGGCTCACTGCAACCTTCGCCTCCCGGGTTCAAGTGATTCTCCTGCCTCAGCCTCCTGAGTAGCTGGGATTACAAGTGTGCACCACCATGCCCGGCTAATTTTCGTATTTTTAGTAGAGATGGAGTTTCACCATGTTGGTCAGGCTGGTCTCAAACTCCTGACCTCGTTACCCGCCCAACTCAGCCTCCCAAAGCATTGGGATTACAGGCATGAGCCACCTCGCTTGGCCATATTTTTAAAATTTATTTTTTTTTTGAGATGGAGTCTTGCTCTTGTTGCCCAGGCTGGAGTGCAGTGGTGTGATCTCGGCTCACCGCAACCTCCACCTCGTCTGTGTTCAAGTGATTCTCCTGCCTCAGCCTCTCGAGTAGCTGGGATTACAGGCATGCGCCACCATGCCCGGCTAATTTTGTATTTTTAGTAGAGATGGGGTTTCTCCATGTTGGTCAGGCTGGTCTCTAACTCCCAACCTCAGGCAATCCGCTTGCCTCAGCCTCCCAAAGTGCTGGGATTACAGGCGGGAGCCACTGTGCCTGGTCACATTCAGCTCTTAAATGTGACTTTGCCAGGCATTATTTGATTAGGAGCATTTGACTTCCCGAATCTTTCTTGCAGGCATCGTGACATTAGCTGGCATTATCTTAGCAAGGATAATGGTTTTTTTGTTTTTTGTTTTGTTTTGTTTTGTTTTGTTTTGTTTTGAGATGGAGTCTCACTCTGTAGCCCAGGCTGGAGTGCAGTGGCACGATCTTAGCTCACTGCAAGCTCCGCCTCCTGGGCTCAAGTGATTCTTCTGCCTTAGCCTCCCAAGTAGCTGGGATTACAGGCACGCGCCACCATGCCCAGCTAATTTTTGTATTTTTAGTAGAGACGGGGTTTCACCATGTTGGCTAGGCTGGTCTTGAACTCCTGACCTCATGATCTGCGCGCCTCGGCCTCCCAAAGTGCTGGGATTACAGGTGTGAGCCACCGCGCCCGGACTAGCAAGAATAATGTTAAGCCAACTCCAAACCTCTCTTAATAAAATTGGGCAATGGGGTGGGTTGTACCTGGGTGGGTCTGAGTTTCTGCTACAGTAGGCCCTCAATAAATGTTTGTTGGGCCCGGCGCCCTGGCTCAGGCCTGTAACCCAACACTTTGGGAGGCTGAGGCGGGTGGATCACCTGAGATCAGAAGTTTGAGACTAGCCTGGTCAACATGGTGAAACCCTGTCTCTACTGAAAATACAAAAGTTAGCTGGGCGTGGTGGCAGGCGCCAGTAGTCCCAGCTGCTTGGGAGCCTGAGGCAGAATCGCTTGGACCCGGGAGGCGGAGGTTGCAAGTGAGCGCCACTGCACTCCTGCCTGAGCGACAAGAGCGAAACTGTCTCAAAAAAAAAAAAAAAAAGCTTTTCGAATTCAATATAATGGGCTTTATGGGATGGGGTGACATGGATGATCTTTGAGTAGTGATTAGATTTTCACCTTGTATCAATACACTATATAATTCCTTAAAATAAATAAACGTACATACTTCAGAACAGGAACTTTATACTTCCTAAGGGAAATAATCTTGGATGGAGGTGATTTGCCACAGAGGAAATGCATAATTGGTACTCAAGTGGAAATGATTATTATTTGTGATGCAACGTCACATGCTACCTAGTTCAGTGCTCTGTGAATTAGGTGATGCAAACAGAATATTGTTGCTTGGAACGGTAGCAATTTTGCTGTTTTTAAAAGGCGGCGAAGAGAGCGTCCCCTTCCAAGGAGAAAATCTGGTGAGATTCCTTTAAAGTGCGGCCCGCGCGCCCCGCAGCCTGCCCCGGAGCTGCAGGGTTTGCGCCCCGCGGAGGTGAGGGCCGCTAAACCACATTTCCCGGCGAGCCCCTCAGGCTGCCGCGCCTGCGCAGTGGTGGCGTCCGAGGCCGGCCGAACTCCCGCGCTCTCCCGCCGCCTCGCCTCGCCTGGTGTCTCTCCCGACCATGGAGGGGGTCGCGGTGGTGACGGCGGGCAGCGTAGGCGCTGCCAAAACCGAGGGAGCTGCAGCCTTGCCGCCTCCGCCTCCTGTCTCCCCGCCCGCCCTCACCCCTGCACCCGCAGCGGGTGAGGAGGGACCGGCGCCTCTGTCTGAGACGGGGGCTCCCGGCTGCTCCGGCTCCCGGCCCCCTGAGCTGGAGCCGGAGCGCAGCCTGGGCCGCTTCAGAGGCCGCTTCGAGGACGAGGACGAGGAGTTGGAAGAAGAAGAGGAGCTGGAGGAGGAAGAAGAGGAGGAGGAGGAGGACATGAGTCACTTCTCGTTGAGGCTGGAGGGAGGCCGGCAGGACTCGGAGGACGAGGAGGAGGTATTTAGAGCCCCCGCGCGACCCCGCTGGGCCCAAGCGGCGTCAGGGACGTAGCTGGCCCTCGTCTGCCGGGCGCCGGCCCGATCCTAGTGCGCCGCCGCCGCGCGGAGCACTGGAGCGGACCTCCCCCGACCTCTGCCCCGGCTGCCTAGGCGTGTGGCGCCGACAGGCCTCCGGCCCGGCCTGGGTCTTTACCCGCTTATTTTGTGAAGTTCTTGCAGGTCACTTAGGCTCTGCGAGTCCAACTCATTCGTTCTGTTAATAATTATAATTATTTTGAGACAGGGTCTCCCAGGCTGGAGTGCAGTGGCGCGACCATGGCTCACTGCAGCCTCCAACTCCTGGCCTCAGGCGATCCTCCCGCCTCAGCCTCCGGAGTAGCTGGGACTACAGGCACGCGCCACCACGCCGGGCTAATTAAACATTTTTTTTTTTTTTTGTAGCGAGGAGGGCTCCCTATGTTCCCAGGCTGTTCTCGAACTCCTGGGTTCAAGAGATTCTCCCTCTCTGGCCTTCCGAAAGATTACATGCGTGAGCCACGTTGCCTGTCCTGTATAATTATTGAAGCTACTGCTTACTAGGCAGTAAAGATCCTTTTGTTTTGTTTTGTTTTGTTTTGTTTTTGAGACGGAGTCTCGCTCTGTCGCCCAGGCTGGAGTGCAGTGGCGCGATCTCGGCTCACTGCAACCTCCGCCTCCCAGGTTCAAGCGATTCTCCAGCCTCAGCCTTTAGAGTAGCTGGGACTACAAGGCGCCCGCCACCACGCCCGGCTTATTTTTTGTATTTTTAGTAGAGACGGGGTTTCACCGTGTTAGCCAGGATGGTCTCGATCTCCTGACCTCGTGATCCGCCCGCCTCGGCCTCCCAAAGTGCTGGGATTACAGGCGTGAGCCACTGCGCCCAGCGTAAAGATCCTTTTGAAACAATAATTTGGCTGGGCGCGGTGTGGCTCACGCCTATAATCCCCGCACTTTGGGAGGCCGAGGCAGGCGAAACACGAGGTCAGGAGTTCAGCCTGACCAAAGCGGTGAAACCCCTTCTCTACTGAAAATACAAAAAGTAGCGGGGCGTGGTGGCACGCGCCTGTAATCTCAGCTACTCAGGAGGCTGAGGTAGGAGAATCACTTGAATCTGGGAGGCGGAGGTTGCAGTGAGCCGAGATCTTGCCGCTGCACTCCAGTCTGGGCGACAGAGGCAGACTCCCTCTCAAAAAAAAAAAAAAAAAAACGGAAAGAAAGAAACAATAATTTATATTGTGTTATTATTGTAACTTTCAGTAGTCTTTTAATGGGTTGGAGGTGTATGTTTCCATGTTGCAATGACATTTTGAGATTATGGTTTAAGGTTTTGAAGAAGGTGGACTGAGCGCGGTGGCTCATGCTTGTAATCCTAGCACTTTGGGAGGCCTTGGCGGGTGGATCACCTGAGGCCAGGGGTTCGAGACCAGCCTGGCCAACATGGTGAAACCCCATCTCTACTAAAAATACAAAAATTAGCCAGGCGTGGTTGTGCGCGCCTGTAATCCCAGCTACTCGGGAGGCTGAGACAGGAGAATCGCTTTAATCCAGGAGGCGGAGGTTGCAGTGAACCGAGATGACATCACTGCACTCAGCTTGGGCTACAGAGTGAGACTCTGTCTCAAAAAAAAAAAAAGAATTTGTAAAAGGCAAGGACTTGTATTTTAAAACTGTTTCCGTTTATTTGCAGCGCCTGATTAATCTCTCTGAGCTGACCCCATACATCTTGTGTTCCATTTGCAAAGGTTACTTAATAGATGCAACTACCATCACAGAATGTCTTCATACCTGTAAGCATACCGATCACATTTCTGAATAATTTTTCAGTTTTTGAAATGTCTTGAAAGCATCCTGACTTCAACATTCTTTTTCAACAGTTTGTAAAAGCTGCATCGTAAGACATTTTTACTACAGCAACAGATGTCCAAAATGCAATATAGTAGTACATCAGACACAACCTCTTTATAACATAAGGTAAGAAGAATATATAAATTACAATTGTATTTTAAATATACTTTTTCTGAAAGCTTGAAGTTATATAGTTGGAATAAATTATTGACCTCTCAGGATGGGTTCAGTGGCTAATGCCATAATCCCAGCACTTTGGGAGGCCGAGGTGAGTGGATCACTTCAGATCAGGAGTTCAAGACCAACCTGGCCAACATGGTGAAACCCCATCTCCACTATTAGCCAGGAGTGGCGGCACATGCCTGTAATCCCAGCTACTTGGGAGGTTGAGGCAGGAGAATCGCTTGAACCTGGGAGGCAGAGGTTGCAGGAGCCAAGATCGTGCCACTGTATTCCAGCCTGGGCGACAGACTGATGAGAGTATCTCAAAAAAAAAAAAAACAAAAAAACTCTTGACCTCTCTCAAAATTAAAAGGGAACTACATATTCTTTTAAGAAATATGTATAGAGCACTTACTATGTACTAGGCACTGTAATATCTGCTGAGGACTTAAAAGAGGCACAGGCCTTTTTCCTGAGAATTTTAATCCCATCACTTACTCAGGTTAATGAGGCTAGTTTAGGCTTTTCATTTCCAGTATATAGGTATTCCAAATTCTGTTTTTTTAGAAGTAATACCTGAAACAACTGGCCTCTTTAGTAAAGCCCATTTGTCATTAGCTCATTGTGGCTTATTATTCAAATTTCCAGTTCATACTCAGTTTCTTAAGAGAGGGAAAAATACTAACAGTAGATTACTGTTATTCAACAAATACTATTGATTTTTACTACCTTCACACAGGAGTGCTTTGCAGATGATAGACAGAAGTTCAAAATACAGTCTCTGCCCTCAACTCGTATTCTTATGAAGGGAATAAAATCAAATTAACCAGGCGTGGTGTCACGCGCCTTTAGTCCCAGCTATTAAGGAGGCTGAGGTGGGAAAAATCCACCTAAGCCTAGGAAGTGGAGGCTGCAGTGAGCCATGATTGAGCCACTGCACTCCAGCCTGGGTGACAAAAGTGAGACCTTGTCACACACACACACAAAAAACAATGCACATGAAACAGTTTAGTGACCCATTCAAGAATCTGTGAATACTTATGATTACATATATTTACTTAAGGTTTTCTTGAGTGAGTTATATTTTAGGAACTGTAAATGCTACTTAAAAGTAACTCACCTCTGAGAAAAAAGATACCCACTCTCAAGAGAAAACACAATTAACTCACTCTGTACCAAAATGCATTTTTCTGAATTCTGAGGTATTCTCCATCCTTTCCTTTTATTAGGTTGGACCGACAGTTACAAGACATAGTGTACAAATTAGTGATCAATCTAGAGGAAAGTAAGTTTCTTTTATTACATGGTTGTGAATCCCAGAATCTCTGACTCTAGTAGTTACATTTTAAGTGTAATTTAGTCTGTGTTTTATCATTTTTTAGGAGAAAAAAAGCAAATGCATGATTTCTATAAAGAAAGAGGTCTAGAAGTACCTAAACCTGGTAAGTTTGGGTGTATACTATAATGTACTTACAGATTAAAGAATACTAACAATAAAATATATGCCCTTTGAAGTTCCTTTTGGGGGTAGCTTATTATATGATCAGAGAGATTTTGAAGGTAATGCTGTGTGTAATCCAATTTATTTATAAAAATTAGAGATTGCAGACTGTGGAGCTAGATTCTCTGAGTTTGTTCCTAGCCCTGCCACTTTATGAGGTGTATAACTTAAGCCAAGCCAGTTACATACGTAAATGTCTGTTTCCTCATCTACAAAATAATGATAATCATACCACTTCATTTAAAAAAATATATTGAGTAATATAAGCACTTAAAACAGTGCCTGGCACACAGTAACTGTTCAAACGTTAGTTTTTATGATGATGTAATGTCACGGAATGGACATGAAATAGATTTGGATTTAAATCCTGGTTCTTTTTATTTTGAGACGGAGTTTTGCTCTTGTTGCCAGGCTGGAGTGCAATGCTGTGATCTCAGCTCACCGCAACCTCCACCTTCTGGGTTTGAGCAATTCTCCTGCCTCAGCCTCCCAAGTAGCTGAGATTACAGGCACACGCCACCACACCTGGCTAATTTTGTATTTTTATTTATTTATTATGATTATTTTTTGAGATGTCACCAGGCTGGAGTGCAGTGGCATGATCTTGGCTCACTGCAACCTCCGCCTTCTGGGCTCAAGCGATTCTCCTGCCTCAGCCTCCTGAGTAGCTGGGGCTACAGGCGCCCGCCACTACGCCAAGCTAATTTTTGTATTTTTAGTAGAGACGGGGTTTCACCATGTTGGCCAGGATGGTCTCAATCTCTTGACCTCGTGATCTGCCCTCCTCGGCCTCCCAAAGTGCTGGGATTACAGGCTTGAGCCACTGTGCCTGGCCAATTTTGTATTTTTAATAGAGACGGGGTTTCTCCATGTTTGTCAGGCTGGTCTTGAACTCCTGACCTCAGGTGATCTTCCCACCTTGGCCTCCCAAAGTGCTAGGATTACAGGCGTGAGCCACCGCGCCTGGCTTTTTTTTTTTTTTAAATGAGATGGACTTGCTCTGTCGCACAGGCTGGAGTGCAGTGGCATGATCTTGGCTCACTGCAACCTCCGCCTCCAGGTTCAAGCAATTCTCCTGCCTTGGCCTCCTGAGTAGCTGGGATTACAGGCATGTGCCACCACACCCAGCTAATTTTTTTTGTATTTTTAGTAGAGATGGGGTTTCACCATGTTGGCCAGGCTGGTCCCGAACTCCTGACCTGAAGTGATCCACCCACCTCGGCCTCCCAAAGTGCTGGGATTACTGGCATGAGCCACCTTGCTTGGCCTAAATCCTGGTTCCTTGACTTAGCTGAGTGACTTTACACAAATTGCTTACTCTCTCTAAGCCTCAGTTTCTTTTTTTTTTTTGAGACAGAGTTTCTCTCTTGTCACCTAGGCTGGAGTGCAGTGGCATGATCTCGGCTCACTGCAACCTCCGCCTTCCAGTCTCAAGCGGTCCTCCTGTCTCAGCCTCCCAAATAGCTGGGATTACAGGCACATGCCACCATGCCTGGCTAATTTTTGTATTTTTAGTAGGGGCAGGGTTTTGCGATGTTGGCCAGGCTGGTCTCGAACTCCTGACCTCAGGTGATCCACCCACCTTGGCCTCCCAAAGGGTTGGAATTACAGGCATTAGCCATGGCGACTGGCGGTCTCAGTTTCTTTATTAGTTAAGAAAAAAAAAAAAAGCAGTAGCACTGGTACCTATATCATGGGACTATAGTAAGGACGAATGAGATGATGCATGAGAAGTGCTAAGTATGAGCCCTGACACATAGTAGTGCTTATGCAGGGTTGTCTACACATGTTGCTGTTCTAATGAGCTCTCTCTGCGTCCCTAATAAGCCAGCCACATGTCTGCCTTCCATTGTGGAGTGGTCCCCAGGCTTGCCTCTCATTTCACTGGCTTTGACAGATTAGCCAATGTCATTAAAGACAGGGAGATTGAGTGGTTTATGATCTTTTAAATACTCAACATAATTATAATACTTGTGTATTTTTCCAAAGATCTCAATTTATGGCATTTTTATTCTTAATTAACATTTTTGTTTGACTATTAAATAGCTGTTCCACAGCCAGTCCCTTCAAGCAAAGGAAGATCTAAAAAAGTCCTAGAATCAGTGTTTCGTATTCCACCTGAACTTGATATGTCTTTATTACTGGAGTTCATTGGGTGAGTACCCTAAAAATTTACCTTTTAACTTAAAGAATGTTAAAAGTCCTAATAGGAAATCATTGTGAACTCAGGTAAAATCAAGTTTTCTGACATCCCCTTGGAAAATTATGAAATAACTGAATATTAGAAATAATTAGAAAAAGGTATAAAGGGCCGGGTGCAGTGGCTCACGCCTGTAATCCCAACACTTTGGGAGGCCGAGGTGAGTGGATCACCTGAGGTCAGGAGTTCGAGACCAGCCTGGCTAACATGGCGAAACCCCGTCTCTACTAAAATTACAAAAAAAAAAAATTAGCTGGGCGTGGTGGCGGGTGCCTGTAATCCCAGCTACTTGGGAGGCTGAGGCAGGAGACTCTCTTGAACCTAGGAGGCAGAGGTTGCAGTGAGCCAAGATCGCGCCATTGCACTCCAGCCTAGGCGACAAGAGCAAAACTCCATCTCAAAAAAAAAAAAGGCTGGGCATGGTGGCTTACGCCTGTAATCCCAGCACTTTGGGAGGCTGAGGTGGGCGGATCACGAGGTCAGGATTTCAAGACCAGCCTGACCAACATGGTGAAACCCTGTCTACTAAAAATACAAAAATTATCCAGGCATGGTGGCAGGTGCCTGTAATCCCAGCTACTCGGGAGGCTGAGGCAGGAGAATCACTTGAAATCGGGCAGTGGAGGTTGAAGTGAACCGAGGTCGTGCCACCGCACTCCAGTCTGGGTGACAGAGTGAGACTCTGTCTCAAAAAAAAAAAAAAAAGTGTTTGTCATTCCCATGCCTTTTTTTTTCATGTGGTTGCCACGTGTATATCTATTCCTAAGCAATATGTAGCATTGTTTTTGCCAAACTTGAAATGGTATACTTTTCACTCAGTATTGTGTGATTCATCCCTGTTGAAATATATAGCCTAGTTCATTCATTTTCACCATTATTTGGCATTCCATTAAAATGAATATATTATTTCTTATCTTTTCCTGTTCTGTTGAATATTTAGGTTTGTTTCCAGGTTTGTTGGTTTATTTACTTGTTGCTGTTTTAAACAATGTTGCCGTAAACAAATTCATATGTATCTCCTGTGTATATGTGAGATAGATAGTTCTCCACGAGTGTAGATTTACTGAGTCTTAGGGTATGTTCCTCTTCAACTTTACCTGATTTTGCCAAATTAGTTAGATACCTTTCTTTTTTTTTTTTTTTTTTGAGACAGAGTTTTACTCTGTCGCCCAGGCTGGAGTGCAGTGGTGCAATCTCAGCTTATTGCAACTGCTGCCTCCCAGGTTCAGGGGATTCTCCTGCCTCAGCCTCCCAAGTAGCTGGGACTGCAGGCACATGCCACCACGCCTGGCTAATTTTTGTAGTTTTAGTAGAGACAGGGTTTTGCCATGTTGGCCAAGCTGGTCTCCTGACCTCAGGTGATCCACCCACCTCAGCCTCCCAAAGTGCTGGGATTACAGACGTGAGCCACCGTGCCCTGCTAGATACTTATAAATTGCTTCTTTCATACACTGTAGCATATGGTGTACTCCATTTTAGTGCAGCAATGTTAAACAGACTGTCATGGTCCCAGAGTTGGCATGTATCAAACTAGTTTTCAAACGCTTAACTGGCTGGCCCAGTAAACTAAAATGCCTTTCTTGGAAAAAATCTAGATTTCTCATGTTGTATCACTGATGACTATTTTACTTCTCAGTCATCTCTTTATAACTCTAGGCTACTTGTATCATTTATTATCTAGTGTGTGCTTTATTGTATTTATCTCCTTGTATATCCACTTCGTGCTCTCAACTGTTATTAAGAACCCCTAAGGCCGGGCGCGGTGGCTCACGCCTATAATCCCAGCACTTTGGGAGGCCGAGGCGGGCGGATCATGAGGTCAGAAGATCAAGACCATCCTGGCTAACACGGTGAAACCCCGTCTCTACTAAAAATACAAAAAATTAGCTGGTCGTGGTGGTAGGTGCCTATAGTCCCAGCTACTCGGGAGGCTGAGGCAGGAGAATGGCGTGAACCCAGGAGGCAGAGCTTGCAGTGAGCCGAGGTGGTGCCACTGCACTCCAGCCTGGGCGGCAGAGACTCCGTCTCAAAAAGAAAAGAACCCCTAAAAGGCAAGAGATTTGTTATGTCCCCAAGAAGCCCATAGTAGTGGTTGATGATAATGACATAAAGATCCCTTTGGAAAAATTAGAAGAAATCATGTAATTCCAAATTTTAATCCAGCAATTTCTATTATTAAAGAGTGTTGCAATTTATATCTCTATAAGGGAGTAGGTTAAATAATGGTATACCCATACATGAGTATGCACTAATATAATAATGTGTGTGATGATGTGGAATAGTCTCCAAGATGTATTAAGTGGGAAAAGCAAGGTGCAGAAAGGCAAGCCCATGTACCTTGTGCTCACTTAAGTTTTTTAAAAAGAGGATGGTGGAAAATACGCAAGTACACGTATACTTTTTATGTGTACAGGCCATTCCTGAAAGGCCATATAAGAAAATCTTGGCCAGGCATGGTGGCTCACACCTGTAATCCCAGCACTTTGGGAGGCCGAGGCGGGCAGATTACCCGAGGTCAGGAGTTCAAGATCACCCTGACCAACATGATGAAACCCTGTCTCTACTAAAAATATAAAAATGAGCCAGGTGTTGTGGCAGGTGCCTGTAGTCCCAGCTACCCAGGAGGCTGAGGCGGGAGAATTACTTGAACCTGGGAGGTGGAGGTTGCAGTAACCCAAGATTATGCTGTTGCACTCCAGCCTGGGCAATGAGAGCGAAACTCTGTCTGAAGGAAAAAAAAAAAAAGTCCGGGTGCAGTGGCTCACTCTTAATCCCAGCACTTGAGGAGGCCGAGGTGGGCGGATCACTTGAGATTAGGAGTTTGAGACCAGCCTGGCCAACATGGTGAAACACTGTCTCTATCAAAAGTATAAAAAATTAGCTAGGTGTGGTGGCACGTGCCTGTGATTCCAGCTACTTGGGAGGCTGAGACAGGAGAATCGCTTGAATTGGGAGGTGGACGTTGCAGTGAGCTGAGATTGTGCCACTGCACTCCAGCCTGGGTGACAGAGAAAGACTGCTGAGAAAAAAAAAAGAACATATTAATGGCAGTGCCCCTAGGAAGCGGCACTGGAGTCTATTGAGTCTGGGATGGGAACAAGTCTTACTTGCCATTGTGTTTGAATTTTTACACATGTGACAATGTGACTTTTGTTTTGTTTTCATACTAATCAAAAGAAGGCTGGAGTAATATCTTTTAATGACTAGCTAATTACAATTTGAAAATTAAAGAGTTGGCCGGGCGCAGTGGCTCTCGCCTGTAATCCCAGCATTCTGGGAGGCTTAGGTGGGCAGATTACTTGACATCAAGAGTTCGAGACCAGCCTGGCCAATATGGTGAAACCCGTCTTTACTAAAAATACAAAAAAAAAAAAAGCTGGATGTGGTGGCTTGCACCTGTAATCCCAGCTATTCAGGAGGCTGAGGGAGGAGAATCACTTGAATCCGAGAGGCGGAGGTTGCAGTGAGCCGAGATCACACCAGTGCACTCCAGCCTGGGCAACAAGGGCCAAACTCCGTCTCGAAAAATACAAAAACAAACAAAAAATACAAAAATTAGCCAGGCATGGTGGTGCGCGCCTTTAGTCCTACCTACTTGGGAGACCGAGGCAGGAGAATCACTTGAACCCGGGAGGCGGAGGTTGTGGTGAGCCGAGATAGTGCCATTGCACTCCAGCCTGGGTGACAGGAGTGAAACTCCGTCTCAAAAAAAATAAAAAAGAAAATTAAAAGGATTTTTTTTTGTTTTTGAGACGGAGTTTCACTCTTGTTGCTCATGCTGGAGTGCAATGGCGCAATCTCGGCTCACCGCAACCTCCACCTCCCGGGTTCAAGCGATTCTCCTGCCTCAGCCTCCCAAATAGTTGGGGTTACAGGTGCCAGCCACCATGCCTGGCTAATTTTCTATTTTTAGTAGAGACAGGGTTTCGCCATGTCAGTCAGGCTGGTCTCAATCTCCCGACCTCAGGTGATCCGCCCACCTTGGACCCCCAAAGTGTTGGGATTACAGGCGTGAGCCACCGCGCCTGTAAGGAATTATATTTTTAAAAAATTAAATTTTAAAAAATTATTTTGAGGGTCAGGCATGGTGGCTTATGCCTGTAATCCTAGCACTTTGGAAAGCAGAGGTAGGAGAACCGCTGGAGTCCAGGAGCTGGACACTAGCCTGGTCAACATGGTAAAACCCTGTCTCTACAAAAAAATACGAAAAGAAAATTAATTGGCCATGGTGGCATGCACCTGTAGTCCCATCTACTAGGGAGGCTGATGGGGGAGGATCGACTGAGCCCGGGAGTTTGAGGCTGCAGTGAGGTTTGATTGCACCACTGCATTCCAACCTGGGTGACAGAGCAAGACCCTGTCTCAAAAAAAAAAAAAATTATTTTGGGGAAATGTAACACTTTCCACTAATCACAGCAGGAACTTGGATCCACTTTTTATACCTTTTTTGAAAAGTCAGATATTGTAATACAACGATGGTAAACGTGTGATGGGTGTGCCACCATTTCTTCTTTCTTTACTTGTAGCAGAAATCAATAATTAATCATAGCAGGCTTTCCTGATGAGACTTGACCACACTGCTCAAGGCAGTCATTACCATTACTAAAGTTGTTACATTATTAATGCATTTCCTGCTGTAGAGGAAAAAGCCCTACCTTGGAATAGGAGATCTGGATTTAAGTCGTAGCTCTGCTGTTTTCTAGCTTTGTAACCTTGAATAAATTGCTTTTGTTTATTCATAAGGTATGTATATAAAATATATATATATATATATATATATTTTTTTTTTTTTTTTTTTCCCTGAGACAGAGTCTTACTTTGTCACCCAGGTTGGAATGCAGAGGCACAATCTCGGCTCACTGCAGCCTCTGCCTCCTGGGTTCAAGCAGTTCTCCTACCTCAGCCTCTGAAGTAGCTGGGATTACAGGCGCATACCACCATGCCTGAATTTTTTTTTTTTTTTTTTTTTTTGTATTTTTAGTAGAGGCGGGGTTTCACCTTGTTAACCAGGCTGGTCTCGAACTCTTGACCTCATGATCCACCTGCCTAAGCCTCCCAGAGTGCTCGGATTACAGGCATGAGCCACTGCACCTGGCCTCATAAGATGCTTTTGTGTGTGTGTGTGTGTGTGTGTGTGTGTGTGTGTGTGTGTGTGTGTGTGTGTGTGTTTTTTTTTTGAGACAGACAGAATTTCGCTTTTGTTCCCCAGGCTGGAGGGCAGTGGCGCGATCTTGGCTTACTGCAACCTCAGTCCTCAGTCTTCCGGTTTCAAGCAATTCTGCCACCTCAGCCTCCAGAGTAGCGGGGATTACAAGTGCCCTCCTCCACACCCAGCTAATTTTTGTATTTTTTAGTAGAGATGGGGTTTCACCATGTTGGCCAGGCTGGTCTCGAACTCCTGACCTCGTGATCCACCTGCCTTGGCCTCCCAAAGTGCTGGGATTACAGGCGTGAGCCACTGCACCTGGACTCATAAGGTATATATTAAGGTCCTCCTGTGTAAATAAAAATTGAACCTTAGAAATTGTTGGTTATGATGGGTATTCAGTGTACCTCCTAAGACAGTCCTTTATCTGTTTTTTCCTCCTTGAGACAGGGTCTTGCTCTGCTGCCCAGGCTGGACTGCAGTGGCGCGATCTCAGGTTACTGCAGCCTCTGCCTCCTATACTCAAGCAATCCTCTCGCCTCAGCCTCCTGAGCAGCTGGGACTATAGGCACACACCATCATGCCCAGCTAATTTTTTACCATATTGCCCAAGCTGGTCTTGAACTCCTGGCTCAAGCAATCTACCCGCCTTGGCCTCCCAAAATGATGGGATTACAGGCGTGAGCCACTGCACCTCACCCTTTTTATTACATAGAAAAGCATTTATGTTACCGCAAAAGTTAGGCTATTGGGGGTAACCTGTAGGAAACTGTTTTCATGACAGGACAAGGGGAGTTTTAGTCTGATGGAAGCACAGGGGCAAATTTGGTTCAGTGCTTGACTCTGCTTGACTTGGAGGAGGAAAAACACTGAGGTGGGTTCAGCCTCTGCACTAATTTCTCTGTTACTGGAATATGAAATTAGATTTCTCCCCTAAATTGGGTATGCATTTTTTTTTTCTTTTGAGACGGAGTTTCACTCTTCTTGTCCAGGCTGGAGTGTAGTGGTGTGATCTCGGCTCACTGCTACCTCTGCCTCTAGGGTTCAAGCGATTCTCCTGCCTTAGCCTCCCAAGTAGCTGGGATTACAGGCGTGTGCCACCATGCCCGGTTAAGTTTTTGTATTTTTAGTAGAGATGGGGTTTCATCATGTTGGCCAGGCTGGTCTCGAACTCCTGACCTCAGGTGATTCACCCACCTCAGCCTCCCAAAGTATTGGGATTACAGGCGTGAGCCACTGCACCCAACAGGGTATGTGTGTTTTATGGTCTTCTTTTTTTTTTTTTTTTGAGATGGAGTCTCGCTCTGTTTCCCAGGCTGGAGTGCAGTGGCGCGATCTCAGCTCACTGCAAGCTCCGCCTCCCGGGTTCATGCCATTCTCCTGCCTCAGCCTCCCAGGTAGATGGGACTACAGGTGCCTGCCACCACGCCCGGCTAATTTTTTTTTGTTTTTTTGTAGAGACAGGGTTTCACCATGTTAGCCAGGATGGTCTCGATCTCCTGACCTCGTGGTCTGCCTGCCTTGGCCTCCTAAAGTGCTGGGATTAGAGGCATGAGCCACTGCACCTGACCGGTTTTTTTGTTTGTTTGTTTGAGACAGGGTTTTCTCTTGTTGTCAAGGCTGGAGTGCAGTGGCATGATCTCGACTCACTGCAACCTCTGCCTCCTAGGTTCAAGCAGTTCTCCTGTCTCAGCCTCCCGGGTAACTGGGATTACAGACATGCACCACCATGCTCAGCTAATTTTGTATTTTTTTTTTTTTTTTTTTTTGAGACGGAGTCTCGCTCTGTCACCCAGGCTGGAGTGCAGTGGCGGGATCTCGGCTCACTGCAAGCTCCGCCTCCCGGGTTCACGCCATTCTCCTGCCTCAGCCTCCCAAGTAGCTGGGACTACAGGCGCCCACCACTACGCCCGGCTAATTTTTTGTATTTTTAGTAGAGACGGGGTTTCGCCGTTTTAGCCGGGATGGTCTCGATCTCCTGACCTCGTGATCCGCCCGCCTCGGCCTCCCAAAGTGCTGGGATTACAGGCGTGAGCCACCGCGCCCGGCCGCTAATTTTGTATTTTTAGTAGACACAGGGTTTCTCCTTGTTGGTCAGGCTGGTCTTGAACTCCTGACCTCAGGTTATCCACCCACCTCGACCTCCCAAAGTGCTGGGATTACAGGCGTGAGCCACCGTGCCCAGCTTTATGATCTTAAGATAGACTCTTATCCTTTTTGTTCTATAGTTTCTATGTGTAAAGTAGATTATAAAAAGAAATAACCCAAGACAGACAGTATGGTATGTTGAAAGAGTATAGGTTTTGAAGACTAACTCAGAGTAGGTAACCCTTGGGATGTAACTTCTCTGAACTGATCATCAGTTTCTGTATTTCTAAACTGGAGGTTACAATAGCAACTCAAAGGATTGTTGTAAGAATCAACATGTGATATTCTTAAGTCTGAATTATTATCAATATGAGTATTGAAATAATGCAGGGCCGTTCAAAAATAAAGGTTAAAGTGGTCCATGGTGCTATAATACATACACCTGCATACCAAAGAAAATAGAGTCTTAGGAGATGTGTGATACAGCAAAAATTTAATGCCATTTTAAGCTCAGTGGTGTTTAGTAAACCCGAGAGTAGTATCCCACTCTGTGCTGCCTTAGTCCAACAAGAGTATTGTGTTCAGCTCTGGGTACCATATTTTAAGAGAGATATTGGTAAACAGGTATAACTGGAATGGTAAAAGTTTGAAAATACGTCATGTGGTAGCAGAAGGAACAAAAATATTTTGTTTGGAAATAAAGCAATGGTAAGTCCCTCAAATTAGTTTAAAATCTTTAAAGGGTTACCAAATAAAAGAAAAATTGGTCTGATTCACAATACCAGAAGGCAAAACTATGACTTCTAGGTATATGTTACAGGGTGAAGCGTGTTTGATTAAGTGGAAGCAAGTAATTTTTTTTGCTTTTTTGAGATGGAGTCTGGCTCTGTCACCCAGGCTGGAGTGCAGTGGCACGACCTCGGCTCACTGCAACCTCCGCCTCCCGGGTTCAAGTGATTCTCCTGCCTCAGCCTCTCGAGTAGCTAGGATTACAGGCATGTGCCAACACACCTGGCTAATTTTTGTATTTTTATTGGAGACATAAGTTTACCATGTTGGCCAGGCAAGTCTCAAACTCCTGACCTCAAGCGATCCACCTACCTCAGCCTCCCAGAGTGCTGAAATTACAGGTGTGACCTACTGCACCTGGCCGCAAGCAAGCAATTTCTAACAAAGTCACCCACAAATGAAACTGCTGACTTGTCAGTTAAGCTGTCTTTAGATATTCAGGTAGAAGCTGATGCCCATGTACCAAGTATTCTACAGAGATAATTCTTACAATGAATGGGATGTTTTATTTTATAACTCTAAGATAATATAATTTAACATTCTATTTATGTGTATATTTTATATTTATTTGTACATTTACGGATTTACAGTTTACATTTATATATTGATATAATTTCATATAAAATAATATATCATTTATAGGTTTATAATATATAAATATTTCTGTATCTCTATTACTTTTTTCTTTTTATTTATTTATTTTTTTTTAAATTTTTTTTTTGGAGACGCAGTCTCACTCTGTTGCCCAGGCTGGAGTGCAGTGGCATGATCTTGACTCCCTGCAACCTTTGCCTCCCGATTTCAAGCGATTCTCCTGCCTCAGCCTCCCGAGTAGCTGGGACTACAGGTGCACGCCACCACACCTTGCTAATTTGTTGCCCAGGCTGGTCTCGAGCTCCTGAGCTCAGGCAATCCACCCACCTTGCCTCCCAAAGTGCTAGGATTACAGGCGTGAGCCACCGCGCCTGGCCTCTTTTCCTTTATTTTTTTGAGATGGAGTCTCGCACTGTCACCGGGCTGGAGTGTAGTGACACGATCTCAGCTCACTGCAACCTCCGCCTCCCGGGTTCAAGCAGTTCTCCTGCCTCAGCCTCCCGAGTAGCTGGGATTACAGGCATGCGCCACCACACCCAGCTAATTTTTTGTATTTTTAGGAGAGACGGGGTTTCATTATGTTGGCCCGGCTGCTCTTGAACTCCTGACCTCATTATCTGCCCACCTTGGCCTCCCAAAGTGCTGGGATTACAGGCATCAGCCACCTCGCCCAGCCTATTTTTTTCTTACAAAGAGTACTTTGCTGGGCACCGTGGCTCACTCCTGTAATCCTAGCACTTTGGGAGGCCAAGGTGGGCAGATCACGAGATCAAGAGATCGAGGCCATCCTGAACAACATGGTGAAACCCCGTCTATACTAAAAATACAAAAATTAGCCGGGTGTGGTGGTGGGTGCCTGTAGTCCCACCTATTCGGGAGGCTGAGGCAAAGAGAATCGCTTGAACCCGGGAGGCAGAGGTTGCAGTGAGCCGAGATCACGCCACTGCACTCCTGCCTGGGTGACAGTGAGACTCTGTCTCAAAAAAAAAAAAAAATGAGTGCTTTGGAGTCTGGGTGTGGTGGCTCACACCTGTAATTCCAGCATTTGGGGAGGCTAAGGCAGAAGGATGGCTTGAGGCCAGGAGTTTGAGACCAGCCTGGCCAACACAGCGAGACCCTATCTCTTAAAATTTTTTTTTTTTTTTAATTAGCCATGCATGGTGGCACATATCTGTACTCCCAGCTGCTCAGGTAGGCTAAGGCAAGAAGTTCACTTAAGCCCAGAAGGTTGAAGCTGCAGTGAGCCACTACACTCCTGCCTGGGTGATAGAGCAAGACCCTATCTCTTAAAGAAAAAAATGAAAGAAAAAAAGAATACTTTGGAGATGATGGAATTGTGAACTTGTCTAATCTTCACAACATAAGGAAGAAAGAACATTGGCTTTGATGTTAGGCACACCTGAGTGTGAATTTCAGTTTTATTACCTACCATATTTGTGTGTCCCAAAGAAAGTTATGACCTCTGTGAGCTTAATTTTTTTTCATCTGTAGAAAGGGGTACTAATACCTCATTTGCAGGGCTATTGTGAGGACTAAATGAAAAGCATGCATATGCACATGAATACCTAATTCAATGCCTGGCACATAGTACTTTCTCAACAAAAAGTTAGATACCCTTGTCTCCCTCATGGCTTAAAAGTAATTGATTTAACCAAGAAATCTGTAGGCTTCTAGGTGAAAAGGAAACTGAGTAAAATTATGTCCAGGTAATTATTCTGCAAAAAAAGCAATAGGAAGCATAGCAGCCTTCTTGTAAGAAATTTTATATTGTAAATGTTACTATAGAGAGGAAAATCACATTGATTATGATTAAAAGAAAAATATGAAATTAGACTAAGCTGTAAAATGTTAGGATGCTAAATGTGGGGTGAGGGGGAATCTAATATTTAAGAATATACTTTTTCCTGGAGATCTATTGTACATCATGATGACTACAGTTAATAATGTATTATATACTTGAAAATTGCTAAAAGTAGATCCTAAATGTTCTCACTACAGTAAAATAAGTATGTGAGCTGATGGATATGTTGATTTGCTTGATTTTATTAGTTTACAGTATATACGTATCAAAACCTATAGATATACACAATTTTAATTTGTCTATTATCCCC
This sequence comes from Homo sapiens, assembly GCF_000001405.40. NCBI lineage: Eukaryota > Metazoa > Chordata > Mammalia > Primates > Hominidae > Homo > Homo sapiens. Next base: position 103,334,250 of record NC_000010.11, on the reverse strand, counting down.
TAATAAAGCTGGAAAAAATAAGTAAATTCTCATATTTTCCATCAAAAAAAGAGAATATACTTTTAACTTCTAAAATTAAGTATAGAAAGTAGACTAAAATACTGGATAAAACTGCCTTTGCCTTAACCACTAGGTGGCAGAAATGACAATTACATTTGTTTATTTCATAAAACTTCAGGTGACTGTGTTCTAGAATTACAATGAATTGATGTTTCTCAAATATTTATATATGTTGTTTTATGATTAAACATATAGCTTAAAGTATTAAATATTGATTAATTTTGCTCTCATTTTTCAGTGCTAATGAAGGCACGGGACATTTTAAGGTATTTTACTTTTTTTTTCATTCATTTCACAAGAGGACTCTGTAGCACACAAATTCGAGTCAGATTAGCAACCAAATGGAGATTGTATAAATAAGTTATTTAAATATGAAGTACATTTAATAATATTATAGATTTATGAATAAAAGTTATTAAGTAGGGATTTGTTCATTCAGAACAGTAGTCTAAGGAAAATTAAGTGAATACTTTTTAAAACTAAAACCAAATGCTATGTTAATTTGGTGATAAAAAATGTCTCAAAGCATTTTTGCATATTTGGCATTTAGAATTAAATATGAGCTTAAAATTTTATTTGCATGTAACATTTTTTGCTCAAGTTATTTTGCCCTACTTGTTACTTCAATTATTCACTGAAGTTTTAGAGGTAAGAATGAACTCCTTTGTAACATATTTAAGTTCAGAGTTGATTTAAAGATTCCGAAATCACAGGTAACATTGTATACAGTGTTACTACTATAATGTGAGTCATCAGGAAAAGGTAACTTTTTAAAAAGGGGTAAATCAGACCTTATAGTTTCTTGGGAGGTAAATATACAAGGAATAGGTGACTTTGATCTGTTTAGATTTTCAGTGACTTTGTCAAGTGTCTGTACTGAAAGTTAGGTGAATTATACCTAGTTGGATATACTGTACTGTTTTATGAACACACTAGCTCAGAGACATGAATTAAAGCATAGGAATAGATAGGTAATTCTCTGGGTGAAGCATATTATACATGTGTCTCAGAGATTGATGTGATAGAGGGAATGCAGTTTTAAGTCCTCATGATTTTTTTTTTTTTTTTTTTTTAAATGGAGTCTTCCTCTGTTGCCCAGGCTAGAGCACAGTGGCGCAATCTTGGCTCACTGCAACTTCCGCCGTCTGGGTTCAAGCAATTCTTGAACCCAGCCTCAGCCTCCTGAATAGCTAGGATTACAGGCATGCACCACCACGCCCAGCTAATTTTGCATTTTTAGTAGAGACGGTGTTTCACCATGTTGGCCAGGCTATTCTCAAACTCCTGACCTCCGGTGACCCACCCACCTGGGCCTCCCAAAGTGCTGGGATTACAGGTGTGAGCCACTGCGCCCGACCATAAATCCCCATGATTTTTGATAGCGTTGAACCTCTTCTAAGTTGTAAAACATCAAACCGGTGGTGTTCAGCTTTAGGAAATTCTCGTAGCCATGTAGTGGGTGGGATAGTGGCAGATACGTTTTTGTATGGTTTAAGCACCAGGATATATGCTACCAGTGTTCCCTGAAGACGCCTGTCTAATAACCTGTAGTAGTCAGTCCAACAGAGTTTTAAAACCTCATGAAGAAAGAACTAGAGAATGAATTGAAATATTAGGCCGGGTTCGTTGGCTCACATCTGTAATCCCAGTACTTTGGGAGGCCAACTCAGGAGGATTGCTTGGAGCCAGGAGTTCAAGACCAGTCTGGGCAACACAGGAATACCCTGTCTCTATCAAAAATAAAAATGTTAGCTCTGCATGTTGGCATGGGCAGTTCCAGCTACTCAGGAAGCTAAGGTGGCAGGATCACGTGAGCCTAGGAGATTGAGGCTGCAGTGAGCTGTGATTGCGTCACTACACTCTAGCCTAGGTGACAGAGTAAGACTCTGTCTTAAAAACAGAAAAGATAAAGTATTAGTCTACTGCTTCCTCAGAAACACATGTGCAACCCAGAATATATAGTTGTGGTTCTTACACATGAAAAAACATGGTAGCAATATCACCTTGAAGTGTTCTTGCCAAGACATATAGGAAGGTGACTATGCTTCTAGATTTAATTACTAATTTACAAGAAATACAGGGGACACAGAGATGTATTAGGCCGGGCGCGGTGGCTCAAGCTTGTAATCCCAGCACTTTGGGAGGCCGAGGTGGGCAGATTACGAGGTCAGGAGATCAAGACCATCCTGGCTAACAGTGAAACCCCATCTCTACTAAAAATACAAAAAAAATTAGCCAGGCGCGGTGGCGCGTGCCTGTTGTCCCAGCTACCCGGGAGGCTGAGGCAGGAGAATAGTGTGAACCTGGGAGGCGGAGCTTGCAGTGAGCCAAGACCTCACCACTGCACTCCAGCCTGGGCGACACAGCGAGACTCTGTCTCAAAAAAGAGAGAGAGAGATGTATTAAATGACACTGAAGGAATATAATAAGCCAGATCAAGATAGTGGAAAACTACATAGCAACCAATTCTGTTTCTTCAGCAAATAAATTAAAAAGGAAAGAGATGAAGAATAAACCTACAGATGAAACCTATTGAGAAAAGTAACTTAAGGGACATATAAATTAATTACATTGTGTGCACATTATTTGGATTTGATTTGAAATATATATGTATTTTTAATAATCTCAAATTGGGCTGGGGACATTGGGTCATGCCTGTAATCCTAGCACGTTGGGAGCCCAAGGCAGGTGGATCTCCTGAGTTCAGGAGTTCGAGACTAGCCTGGCCAACATGCCAAAACTCTATCTCTATTAAAAATACAAAAATTAGCCAGGCGTGGTGGTGGGCACCTATAATCCCAGCTACTTGGGAAGCTGAGGCAAGAGAATCACTTGAACCCGGAGGGCAGAGAACTTGGCGAAGTGAGCTGAGATCATGCCACTTCACTCCAGCCTGGGCAAAAGAGCGAACCTCTGTCTCAAAAAACATAATAACCCCAAACTGGAAACAGTGTATATAACCTATTAGCTGATGAATGGATAAACAAAATGTATTTTCATATAATAGAGTATTATTTGACAGTAAAAAGGAATGAAGTACTGATACATGGTCTGACATGGGTAAACATTGAAAACATGATGCTAAGGAAAAGAAGCCAGTCACAAAAGGCCATCCATATATTATATGATTTCATTTATCTGAAATGTGCAGAACAAGAAAATCCACAGGAGCAGAAAGCAGATTAGTGGTTGTCAGAGGCTTGGGGAAGAGGCTGAATGGGGAGTGACTACCAAGAGGTACAGGTTTCTTTTTTTCTTGTTGGAGATGGAGTCTCGCTCTGTCACCCAGGCTGGAGTGCAGTGGCGCAATCTGGGCTCACTGCAACCTCTGCCTCCCAGGTTCAAGCAGTTCTCCTGCCTCAGCCTCCCAAGTAGCTGGTATTACAGGTGCGCCCCACCACGCCCAGCTAATTTTTTGTATTTTTAGTAGAAACGGGGTTTCACCGTGTTAGCCAGGCTGGTCTTGAACTTCTGACCTCAGGTGATCCACCCGCCTTGGCCTCCCAAAGTGCTGGGATTACAGGCGTGAGCCACCTTGCCCAGCCAGGCGTCTTTTTAGGGTAATGAAAATATTCTGAAATTACATAGCAGTGATGGTTGCAAAATTTTGTAGATATACTAAAATCCATTTAATCGTACACTTTTAAAGGGTGAATTTAATGGTATGTGAATTACATCTCAATAAAGCTGTTGATTTTTTTTTAATACCTAAGCCAAGATTCGATAGAAACTTTGAATAGAAACATTGTTTGTAATTTGCTTGGTGTAAACATTTTGGGGATATAAAAATGTATCTGGTTGAAACAATATATGCTTGTCCAGGCACGGTGGCTAACGCCTGTAATCCCAGCACTTTAGGAGACCAGGACGGGAGGATCACTTGAAGTTAGGAGTTGAGACCAGCCTCGGCAACATGGGGAAACCCTGTCTCCACTGAAAGTACAAAAATTAGCCCGGTATGGTGATGCATGCCTGTAATCCCAGGTACTCAGGAGGGCTGTGGCAGGAGAATTGCTTGAACCCGGGAGGCAGAGGCTGCAGTGAGCCGAGATTGCGCCACTGCATTCCAGCCTGGGCTAAAGCAAAACTTCATCTCAAAAAAAAAACAAACAAACAAAAAACAGGCCGGGCACAGTGGCTCACACCTGTAATCCCAGCACTTTGGGAGGCTGAGGCGGGTGGATCACGAGTCAGGAGATCGATACCATCCTGGCTAACACCCGTCTCTACTAAAAATACAAAAAATTAGCAGGGCATGGTGGCAGGCGCCTGTAGTCCCAGCTACTCGGGAGGCTGAGGCAGGAGAATGGCGTGAACTCAGGAGGCAGAGTTTGCAGTGAGCCAAGATCGTGCCACTGCACTGCAGCCCAGGCGACAGAGCGAGACTGTCTCAAAAACAAACAAACAACAAAAAAACTGGCCGGGCACGGTGGCTCACACCTATAATCCCAGCACTTTGGGAGGCTGAGGTGGGCAGATCACCTGAGGTCAGGAGTTTGAAACCAGCCTGGCCAACATGGTGAAACCCTGTCTCTACTAAAAAAACAAAAATTAGTGTGGTGGCTCACGCCTGTAGTCCCAGCTACTTGGGTGGCTGAGGCAGGAGAATTGCTTGAACTCGGGAGGCAGAGGTAGCAGTGAGCCAAGACCGCGCCATTCCACTCCAGCCTGGGCAACAAGAGCAAAACTCCATCTCAAAAACATATATATGTATATGCTTATGTTAGAATTTTTGTTTAAGCCCGTTACTGGTTATATTTTTTTCATGAAATCTTTGTTTCAGTTTTCTCTTTTAGTAATGACAGCCCTATAAAACAATAAAATCATTTTCTACTAGGTTTAAGAAATTGGGGCCGGGTGCGGTGGCTCACGCCTGTAATCCCAGCACTTTGGGAGGCCAAGGCGGGTGGATCACCTGAGGTCAGGAGTTTGAGACCAGCCTGACCAATATGATGAAACCCCATCTCTACTAAAAATACAAAATTAGCCAGACGTTGGTGGCGGGTACCTGTAGTCCCAGCTACTTGGGAGGCTGAGATAGGAGAATCACTTGAATCCAAGAGGCAGAGGTTGCAGTGAGCCGAGATTGTGCCACTGCACTCCAGCCTGGGTGACAGAGCGAGACTCCATCTCAAAAGTTAAAATCCGCCGGGCGCAGTGGCTCACGCCTGTAATCCCAGCACTTCGGGACGCTGAGGCCGGTAGATCATGAGGTCAGGAGATCGAGACCATCCTGGCTAACACAGTGAAACCCTGTCTCTACTAAAAATACAAAAAATAGCGTGGTGGTACACGCCTGTAGTCCCAGCTACTTGGGAGGCTGAGGCAAGAGAATCGCTTGAATCCGGAAGGCAGAGGTTGCAGTGAGCCACGATCGCTCCACTGCACTCCAGCCTGGGTGACAGAGCAAGACTCCATCTCAAAAACAAAAAACAAACAAAAAAAGTTAAAATCCTGTACATAAAGAGCAAAAATGATGCAAATAATCTTAGAGACAAATGGCTCACAACACTAACAACTCTTCAGTGCTTACTATGTGACAGGTATTTTTATTATTTACATACATTAACTTATTTTCATGATAATTGTATGAAGCAGGTGCTATTTTTATCTATTTTACAAATAGAGACACAGACAAGTTCAGGAACTTGCCCAAAGACTCACTATTAGAAAATGGCAGAACCAGGGTTTGAGCCCAGGTGTCTGCCTGGAGTGCCTACACTCAACACCTATTCTGTATGCTGTACTGTGGTAATAACGGGCAGACCATTTATCAGTTGCTCAAGTATAACAAGCAAGCCCAAGACACCTAGAAAAATAAAATACCTATCTAATATAGACTCTGAGTTTTAGTTGGGAAAGTTCTCAAGAACAAACTACTGTACAGATAGGAAAGCTGAGTGCTGTAACATGGAACAAATGTGTGCCTCGGTTCCCTAGGTAGCCATTCTAGGCTCCCAGTCTGTAAGTCCTAAAAAAACACTTTGTGCTTTTCCTGTAAGGGACTGTTTAGTTCTGATTACTTCAGCTTTTTATTTGCATGAGGTCGTAGCATCGTTAGTTGTCTCAGATCGGAGCTGGGTAAGCATTAGTTTTTACTTTCAAACTCTGTCATCTACTTATCACCTCCTACACCTCAAACTATTGGGTCCCACATTCCAGCCACATGTGTCTAGATAGTGATCTTTTTATTTTTCACTTAAAAAAGAAATCCCTGGCTGGGCGCAGTGGCTCATACCTGTACTCCCAGCACTTTGGGAGGCTGAGGCGGGTGGATCACGAGGTCAGGAGATTGAGACCATGCTGGCTAACAGTGAAACCCTATCTCTAATGAAAAAAAAAAAAAAAATTAGTTGGGCGTAGTGGTGCACGCCTGTAGTCCCAGCTACTCGGGAGACTGAGGCAGGAGAATAGCGTGAACCCGGGAGGCGGAGCTTGCAGTGAGCTGAGATTGCACCATTGCACTCCAGCCTGGGTGACAGAGTGAGACTCTGTCTCAAAAAAGAAAAGAAAAGAAAAAAAAAAGAATTCCCTTTATTATGAAAATTTTAAAACTTATACAAAAGTAGGCAGAATAGTATAATGAACTCCCATGTACACACCACTCCAATAATTATAAATTCATGTTAAGTGTCCTTTTATGGCAACATAATAATGATACTACAGTTTTTTAAATTAATGATAATCCCTTGATCAGATATTCATGTACTACTTAAATTTCCTAGATTGTCCCCTGAAAATTGTTGATAGTTTTTCAATCAGGATTCAGTAAGGTCCATACATTGTAATTGGTTAATGTATTTGTCATTTACACCCCTTAATGTTTTTTAGTCTCGCCATTCCTTCTCCATCTTGTTTTTTCTTCCTTGCAGTTTTTTGGGTTTTTTGTTTGTTTGTTTGTTTTTTAGACGGAGTTTTGCTCTTGTTGCCCAGACTGGAGTACAATGGCACGATCTTGGCTCTCTGCAACCTCTGCCTCCCAGGTTCAAGCGATTCTCCTGCCTCAGCCTCCCGAGTAGCTGGGATTATAGGCATGTGCCACCTTGCCCAGCTAATTTGTATTTTTAGTAGAGACGGGGTTTCTCCATGTTGGTCAGGCTGGTCTCGAACTCCTGACCTCAAACAATCTGCCTGCCTCTGCCTCCCAAAGTGCTGGGATTGCAGGCGTGAGCCACCATGCCCGGCCTCAAAGTTGTTTCAGACATTTGGTATTGGGTGTTTTCTCTGTGTCTTTAAAGTGTAAGTTCAGTACTTGAAATGAATGAATAAATTTTACTCTGAGTTTTGTTTTTTCAATGAAACATTAAAATAAACCAGCAAGCCTATTTAGAAAAATTGTTGACATACTTTTCAGAAAGGGAAAGCTAAGCAGAATTTCCATTTTTCTTCTCTGATATGTGTATTAACTTGTTTCATAGTAAGTTTTTTCAAGAGTCTATTGAATCATCTTCGCTATAAAATTTTCTTTAATGTTTACACATTACATATATATACACATACGTCATGCATGTACAGGTATATTTAACCTAAAAATAGTTTTATCTGTCTGTTTTTGTAGCCATTGGAAAAGAAGTTTGTTCGAGTTTCAGGAGAAGCAACTATTGGACATGTAGAAAAATTCCTCAGAAGAAAAATGGGTCTTGATCCAGCTTGTCAGGTACAGTACATATATGTAAAAGAATAGGTAAAGTTGTGAGCTTACCTTTAGCACACTGTAGAAAGAACTCTGTAGGATTTCATGCAATTATTTTTGTTATTTTTGTTTTATGATGTTGTAGACATTGTTTTTTTTTTTTTTTTTTGAGATGGAGTCTTGCTCTGTCGCCCAGGCTGGAGTGCAGTGGCACGATCTCAGCTCACTGCAAGCTCAGCCTCCCGGGTTCACGCCATTCTTCTGCGTCAGCCTCCCGAGTAGCTGGGACTACAGGCACCTGCCACTGCACCCGGCTGATTTTTTTTTTGTATTTTTAGTAGAGAAGGGGTTTCACTGTGGTCTCGATCTCCTGACCTCGTGATCCGCCCGCCTCGGCCTCCCAAAGTGCTGGGATTACAGGCATGAGCCACCGCGCCTGGACATTGTTAATGCTAATTGAATATTGATACATAGTGATTCACACCTCCAGCTTTAATCACATTTGATTTACTGTCCATTTCTTTTTTTGAGACAGGGTCTGTTTCTGTTGCCCAGGCTGAAGTACATTGACACGATCATGGCTCACTACAACCTTGAGGTTTTCCTGGGCTTGGGTGGTCCTCCCTCCTGTCTCAGCCTCCTGAGTAGTTAGGACTAGAGGCACATGCCACCATGCCCAGCTAATTTTTTTTTTTTTTTTTTTTTAAGAGATGCGGTCTTGCTTTTGTCCAGGCTGGTCTCAAACTCCTGGCCTCAAGTAATCCTCTTGCCTCAGCTTCCCAAAGCACTAGGATTATAGGAGTTAGCCACTGTGCCAGGCTAGTATCCATTTCCTACTGCCACTGATGGCAATCTATTAGTGTCATAGAAAAGCTGAAGATAGAAATATTAAAGAGGCCTCAGTTCCAGCTCTTTCCATTTTGGTAGTAGAGAAAAATATTGCTTATCATCCGCTTTCTTTATAGGACATCCTTGCATTTATTAGTTGTTCAAGTATAACAAGCAAGCTCGGCCAGGCGCAGTGGCTCATGCCTGTAATCCCAGCACTTTGGGAGGCTGAGGTGGGTGGATCACGAGGTCAGGAATTCCAGCCTGACCAACATGGTGAAACCCTATCTCTACTAAAAAATACAAAAATTAGCCGGACCTGTTGGCACACACCTGTAATCCCAGCTACTCAGGAGGCTGAGGCAGGAGAATTGCTTGAACCTGGCAGGCAGAGGTTACAGTGAGCCAAGATTGCGCTACTGCACTCCAGCCTGGACGACAGAGCGAGACTCCGTCTCAAAACAAAACAAAACAAACAAAAAAACAAGCAAAGCTCAGGACACCTAGAGAAGTGAAATATTTTTATCTAATAGGGACCCTATTATTTTATTTTATTTTATTTTATTTTATTTTATTTTATTTTATTTATTATTTTGAGACTGAGTCCCACTCTGTTGCCCAGGCTGGAGTGCAATGGCGTGATCTCGGCTCTCTGCAACTTCCGCCCCCCGGGTTCAGGCGATTCTCCTGCCTCAGCCTTCCTGAGTAGCTGGGATTACAGGCAGGTGCCACCATGCCAGGCTAATTTTGTATTTTTAGTAGAGATGGGGTTTCTCCATATTGGTCTGGCTGGTCTCGAACTCCTGACCTCAGGTG